>NC_000003.12:118251028-118554058 GCF_000001405.40 Homo sapiens | reverse complement strand
TTTTTAGCATGTCCTGGTTAGATATCAACATCTTTAGACCGGTTTTAGACTACTGGGAACAATAGAACTGATTCCTAATGCAAAATCAACGTCTTTGAGCACTGACTAAAAAAAAAAAAAATGTTAATACTTTAGTAGCCATTTCATTCATTTAGCACTTTGGATTTGGTGACTTTTTAAAAATAATTTTATTTCACTTTCATCTCAAGCAAGGCTGTGATATAGAAAGGAGGTTAGAATTATTATCTGTATTCTGTATTTTATATGTAGAAAAGTTGAGGTAAAAAAGATGAAGTACTTTGCCCAAAACTATAGTAATTGACAAATCTAACCCAAAATGCAGGCTTTATGGATTCTGATCCATTAGACTTCACCTGTTCAATATTTAGTATATTCTATCCCTTAAGACACTACGTTTTTAAAGAGGCAATTTTTGTAAAAGAATTTTAGCATTATATCAGTAAAGATTTTTTTAGTGTCAAATAACAGAAAATATAACTCAAAGCTGCTTTAATAAAATGGGAATTTTCTTGACATACATTTCTAGGGTAATCTGGGATTCAGTTGTGGCTTCATCCAGGAATCCAGGATGCTTCATTTTTCTTTATCCCTGGCTTTTTTTTTTTTTTTTTGAGATAGAGTCTTGCTCTGTCACCCAGGCTGGAGTGCAGTGGCACCATCTTGGCTCACTGCAACCTCTGCCTCCTGGATTCAAGTGATTCTTCTGCCTCAGTCTCCCAAGTAGCTGGGAATACAGGCATCCACCACCACACCCGGCTAATTTTTATATTTTTAGTAGAGACAGGGTTTCACTGTGTTGGCCAGGCTGGTATCAAACTCCTGACCTCAAGTGTTTTGCCCATCTCGGCCTCCCAAAGTGCTGGGATTACAGGGTGTGAGCCATTACACCTGGTCCTGGCTTGTCTTTCTATTGTGTTGACTTTATTTTCAAGTTTCCCAAAGTAGGTAGGTATCTGGCAGTAACTCTGACCCTTCAATGTTGCCGTGTTTGGGTCCAGTGGACCTGAGAGAACAAATCTTCCTGGCAGCTCCTGAATAAGCCCTAGGATTCATCCTGATTGGACCAGCTTGGGCCATGTGCCTGTCTCAGAACCAGTCACTGACCAGTCCCTGTGATGTGCTGATGTACTAAACTGAGTAACAGGCTTCACCTCTGGAAGTAGGAATGGAACCACACATGCACTCAAAGTGAGTGTAGGGTAGTTCTCCAAAAAAAGTCGAAGGTGATAGTTCCAGAGAAGACAGGAAATAGACGCTGGGTGGCCAAAGCAACAAATGTCTTCCACAAGGAGCCACCCAAATCCCTGGGTTTGTTCTCTAGTTGATTGAGGAAATGAAACATTTTATTGAAAACTAAGGCCCTTGTCTACCACATAGCAGTCATCATCACACTGTGTCACTATAATGCAGGGAGACACACAGCTAGATTGTGGGGAACGTAAAGTTAGCTTCATTGCACCATAGTGCCCCATTCTGAATCCAAGTTTTCTAAACTAAGGCCACTGAGTAAATTGGACTTGGGTGGTAGTTTCTGTGCTGGCTTTCAATTAGCTTCTAGTTTAGTCCTAACTTTCAGCCTTTCTCTCTCTCCAGCTTTATGCTTGTCACACTTCACCTGTATCCACAGATTTCCTACCTACCTGGTGCTCTTATATTCCTGTGGTTTTCTAGGGGCTCCATCTTCTCCATGGTTTGCTCTTCCTATTTTTGGATCCCTGATGAGATCATTCCTAATTATTCTTCATGACTCTGTTTGTTACCTGCTCTGTGAGCTTTTCTGATCCTAACCCTTCAGGCTGAAACGGTGTTCTCACAAGACCCTATACATTTTTTAAATAATGTACTTATTATATTGCATTGTACCACGTTTTCTAAAATTTATTTTTAACTGACAAATGGTAATTATATATATTTATAAGGTATAATGTGATGTTTTGATCTATGTAGAGAATTTGGAAAATTTAATCAAGTTAATTAAAATATCTATAACCTCACCAACTTATCGTAGTAATTCTTGACTTCCTTATCTATCTTCTTCCACCTGAGCTCCTTTATGGCCACAACTTGATCTAGTTGCCTTGTAACTAGTAACCATCCCAAGATTGACTCACAGTAGGTTCTTATATATTTACTAAATTTGTGATAGACAAATGAAAATGTGAGCAAATCATCTGAATAATAATTAAAGGGCATCAACTTCACTCATAGGCCTGTATCATTTACTACCCTTTCTAATATCAAAGTACAGAGACAGAGGAAATGCTCTGAGGACACTCACCCAAAGCCAGCATAGGAAAAAGCAGCAGATATCAATCATTGAGGATTGACTTCCCAGGATCAGACCTGTGGGAGACAATACTTTGCAGAGAACTTGCCACTTGCCATCTTTTCAATGTCAGTAAGAGCTGAAGAAATAGGATTGGAAGACTCACAGATCTGTGGCTCAATTAATGATCGTGGCTGCTCATTATGGTGAAAAACCTGTGCCTATGCTGTGTCAGAAGCTACCTACATCAGAGTGTTTTTATTAACTACCTCCTTTTTTTGGATAAGACTGCCAAGAGATGTGGTGTTGTCATCTAACAGGAGATCACTAGTGAAGGCAGCTGCTACCTAGCAAGCCATTTTCAGAATGTTGTGACCAACTTGTAGTATCTCAGAATCACAGGATGAGCAGAATGTATATAGCTGGAAGTCAAGCACCAAAAATAATTGCACAGTGCTGGAAAAAAAAATGGCCTATGAGAAAAAGTTAGAGTAATTAGCTTATTTCACTTGGAGAAGAAAAATATGGGGAAATGTATTACATTAACAAGCTTCAATTCCACAACGGGTAACTCTAGAGGGTGGGGAATTTAAAGTTGTAGATGTTGAAGGATTTTTCTTCCTGTCCTCTCTCCACTTCCTGCTTTATTTCTCCTCTGCAATATGTTGATGAAAGGTAATAATGTGGTGATTTCAGAAAATGTATGAGAATAAATATTTTGGACATTTGCAGCATTATTGCATTGTCTTGCAACTATTTCCTTCACTTTCCCCTCCCAAAAGAAAAAAAAAAACAAAACAGAAAGGAGTAACTATACCATCTGCAAAAGCCCTTTTCTCTTTTATAGCCATCCTGTTGCCATCTGCTAAAATCCTCAGCCCACCTGCATAGTGAACAGCATTCATTGTTTTCCAGAAATGTGCAAGAACCACAGTCTCCCCCAAGACTGAAGGTAGGAGGAAGGGGACATTTTACAGCAGCTTCAAGTGAGCTTTGCACCCTGCAACTTACCTGGATTGCTTTGTTAATCTACTGTGTGCTCAACCAAGTTTATTGTCTGAGCAGGGGATGGTTCTTGGATAAAACAGAATCTTAGTGTTTGTTTCTTTTGAAATTTCTGAAGCCTGCAGAGACTCAGAGGTGCTGTTCCTAATGTTGAGAAGAGTTTAGAGGTTACTGTTGGAATAACAGTAAGGACTTTTCATTTCTTTTTTTTTTTTTTTTTGCCATAAAGAATCTTCTTTGCTTCCAATTAGAGAATGTTTTTCAGCCAAATTTTGGCATATTCTTTGAAATAATGGCTGAAGTTTAGTTTTCCTTGATGATATTAAGCAAGTGCTTGTGATGTTCTGAAAGGGAATTGGCTAACATTTCTCAATGCTATTGTCATTTTGTGCAGGAAAATTCTTCCTTTTGGAAAACTGTGACGTATGTTGCAGGAATGTTTTCCTTCCCTGGCGACCATTCTTTCAATGCCATTGGTGTTTCCTACCATTGTAGCAACTCCAAGGCCCTCATATATTTCCAAACAGCCCCAAGAGGGCTATTTCACCTACTGTTGAGAACTATTGAGCCTGTCTCTTTTCTTCACCTTTTTCTATTCAGGAAGAGAGAAGAGGTCTAGCTACTGCTTCCTGCTAGGGTGAAAAGATTCTGGTTTGTGTAGCTCCAAACTATGTAATCAGGGCCATAAAATACCAGGAAGGGCCTAAGAGTATGAAAAATTGAGAGGGCATCTGTACAGGCACTTCTTCAGGTTAGCATTTCTCTCTCTCTGTCATCCATCCATCCATACTATGGTTCTTAAGTCTGAAACTAAAGTTTATAACAATTTAAGTGAAGCAGAAAGCAGTTCAGAGGAAAAAGAAAGTTTAATTTAAACAACCAGTTATCATTAACCAGTTTGAAATACTAATAGTTATTGTTTGCAATTGACCTATGTGTACATATTTTCCTGACAAGTTCATTTGGCAATTATATTATTGGACGTCAGTTGACAATGCCTATGACTAGTTTAGGGTGCCATTTTCATTATGTATTTATATATCAGTTATTCAGTCATTCATTTACCTTTTGTGGGTATCATCCTGTGTTAATAACAATCCACTATTCAAGTGGGATTGTTTTTAAATCAGCCTTATACATCAGCATATTCTACGCATAGATTCATCAGATTCAGCCTGCCTCTCTCAACTAGTTTATCACTTTCCTTATGAGAAAGAGCTTATGCTGACTTCTATTTCCCCTTCCTGAAACAACATTGCCTTCATAAAAAGGAAAATAATGACTTGGTACAGCAGGCCATTTCAAGGCTGCATCTACATAGGAGATGGGTTTTGTCATTCAATCGCTGATTGCTAGGCAATCAGTCATACAGCACAGACTTAAGCTAGTTCAGTTGGCTTAGCACCTAGAATAATTGCTTATTTGGTAACTCATCTATTGTGTGGCAATCAGCAAACATGGATTGACCATCATAGTGATCAACCTAATGAACCATATTGTTTCCTTTCCATCCAGAGCTGTTCATTTGTGATTAACAGTTGTGATTTCGTGATTCAAAGCTATTTGTAATCAATAACTATAAACTCATTTGGCTATATGCTTATATACTGTGTACTGTGTTGAATAGTGAGCATACAAAGATAAAGGGAGCAGGTGCTGTGGAAAGACAAGTTTAGGAGTCAGAGAGATAAGGCTTAAAATCACACCAGCTCTGTGGACAAGCCATTTAACCTCTTTGAGCTGCAGTTGATGGACTGCTGTTAGAATTAACTGCACAGCATATACTGCGCGGGCCCAAGAGTATGCATAATTGTCATATCCATTATTATAAATGAGATGTAGCCTTCCGTCCTTGATGAGATTTAATTATTCATTGTAATTATGTAATAAAATAAATTCTAGGTACACAGCATGTCTTATCATAATTTTAAATTCTTAAAAAAATCTAAATTTCAGAATTTAGCATATATATTCTATGTGAGCTACTGCATATCCACATTTTTGTATCTAGACTTTTTCCTTGATATATGAAGATAAATTATAAGTGCCAAGCAGACCAAACATGACCCTGCCACAGCTCTATTCAGAACATTATCTCACAATTGTTCCAAATACTGGGGGACTGAGTCATCTAATGTAGCTTACAGGAAAACAAGCTATGTGTTACTGTAGGCGACCTTAATGATGTGGAGTTATTTAAGAATCCGGTGTTGACCACTTCCAGTTGAAAGTGCATGAGCAAATTAGGAAGACAATATAATTACATATACTAAAATTAGGTTAACGTAGACACTCTAATGGCTCAGTATGACCACAGACCCGGGCTTCAATATCAGAGTGCTGTCCCTCTATGTATGTACAATATCAGGAAGCACAGTATCAGAGTGCTGTCCCTCTATGTATGTATACATAATTTTACACACATACATATATTCAAGGTGTACCTCACAAGTAAAACTTCATGGTAGATTTTATAAGGGTCTGATGTAGAATGGTGATTATTTGGTTATACGGTTCCTTTCTACCATGAAAGGGAAAAACCATCTCTTGAAGTCAGGAACACATCTTATTATGTAATGTTTTGCAACAAACCATCTTAATGACTTATAAAAACAACGATATCTATTCAGCTTGAAATTCTTCAGCTTGAGTAGGGCTTAGTAGGGATAGCTTGCTTATTGCCCACTCCAGCTTCGCTGTGGTAGCTCAAGGATTTGTGCTGGAATCATCTAAAGCTAGAGTGGATCTCAAGTGGGTATGATTTTTGTCTCATCTCCAGGGAATATTTGGCAATGTCTGGAATAACTTTTGGTTGTCACAATTTGGGGGAAGGGTGCTACTGACATCTGGTAAGTAAAGGCCAGGGATACTGCTAAACATCTTATAATGCACAGTGACCACCCCACTCCATCACCACACACCCTCTCCCCCACCCAAAGAATTGTCCCTCCCAGAATGTCAATCAGGCCAAGGTAGAGAAGCCCTGATATAAAGGCTTATTCACTTAGCTATCTGGTGGTTGCATCTATCCATTCATGGATATCCATATCCATGAAGAGAGCTTCAGCTCCTCTTCATATGGACCTCTCTAATGTGGCCTCTCCACTGTCCATGTGAACAGGCTTTCTCACAGCATGGCAGCTGGCTTCCAAGTGCGGGAATGTCCTGATTGAGAGAGCCAGACAGAAGCTGAATTCCTTATGTAATTTAGCCTCAGAAGTCACATAGCATGTTTTATAGAGTAGCCGCAAACTCTTGCTCATATGTGCACGTGTGTGGGGGGTGGGCACATTGACACTGCCACTCCATGGAAAGAGTGTCAATAAACCATGTTATAAAAGGCAGGCCGGGTGCAGTGGCTCATACCTGTAAGCCCAGCACTTTGGGAGGGCAAGGTGGGAGGACTGCTTGAGACCAAGAGTTCAAGACCAGCCTGGGCAACATGACAAGACCTCATCTCTACAGAAAGAAAAAGAAGAGACAGGCTTGATGGTGTGCACTTGTAGTCCTAGCTGCTCAGGAGACTGAGGCAGAAGGATTGCTTGAGCCCAGGGGTTGGAAGCTGCAGTGAACCATGATCATACCACTGCATTCCAGCCTGGGTGACAGACCAAGATTCTGTCACAAAAATCAAAAAAATGAAAGAGCAGAAAATAAAATTTACCAGAGGGACCATGTCTCATTCTTCTTTGTATTTCAGTACCTCAGCAATCAATGAAAGGTAACAGATGCTCAAGCTGTGCATTTTTTATTGTATTATATTAAGTAAACTTAATATATGAAATACATGATAAACAATGAGGAGATTTGGCATTACATATAACAATTTTCCACAGAGTACCTTTAAATAGTGACTTGCTCCACTTCATTATAAAGTATGATTTAATTATGAAAATTTTAATGGCATATTTATTCATCTGGTTGTTCATTAATTCAGTATTCACTGAGCACACACTGTAGGCAAAAAAGTTTGCTAGGTGCTGGAATACCAAAGATGGATCCGACATACAATTGTCTTCAAGTTTCTCACAGTCTAGTGGGGAAGGTAAGCAACATATATAAATCATTTTAATTCAGGGCAGACCTCATTAGAGGTACAAATAAAGTGTTCTGGTGCTATAAGAAAACATGTAGCTTTTTTTTTTTTAATGGAAAGTGAAGATTTTATTAAGGTTGTTCACTCTAATGAATACTAAATCTTTTTACTTCCTCACTCCACACTTCTATAATTGTGAGAGGAAATTGGCAGAATTTCATCCAATTTTATAATATTCGATACAAGCAGTCACCTAAAACACAACGGAGAGCCATCTGCTGTGCAGCTGTTAAGTTTGTCTGTCTCAGTCACAGTCATTTATTGCTATGGGAAGGCATATCTCTTCACAAGAATATGGTGAATCTCCTTGATGCAATCCTAGGACATTCCAGTCTGGGTGATAGAGAAAAGTAGAAAAGTCACAGACATCCATAGGCTGCCTCAGGAAAATGGACCTGTTTTATAACTTAGTAGCAGTACTGCTTACATACCTTATGGAATTACGAGGATCCTCAAGGTTATTCCTGAAAGTCTGTGTGAATTGGTGCCTCTCAAACTTCAAATTCCAAAAGGTAGAATTTTGGCCTCATGTTAAATTCACTAGTTCTTGAAATTGTTAATCAGGTTTATCCCATCTAAAACATTCATATACTTAAAATACCATTCTAAAATATATGTGGTATTTGGAGGAACAATTAATGGTATTTCAGAGAATGCTTATGACATTTTATTAGATTCTACATTTATAATTCAGAGAGAAGAGGAAGTTTCAGAGCAAGGAGACCAATTAGGAAGCTGTTATGTAATCGAGGAAAGAGAGAGTGATCTGGCTTAGAGTAATAGCAGAAAGAATCATAATAGCTAATATTTATTGATTATTTGCCATGTGACAGGGGCTATGTATGGCTTCATGAGAATCGTCTGTATTTATAGACACAACAATCATTTGAGATAGGTACTATTATTTTCCCGTTTTACAGGTAAAGAAATTGAGGCTTACTAAGCAGTAACCAGTAAAACTGGAATTTAAGTCTACCTGAGCCTTTTTCTTCAGTCCATGGTTTTAGTCACTATGCATATTGTATGTGATATAAGGAAAAAGGTGAATAGACCCAAGGAGGAAGAATCAAGATGATTTAGTAATAGGATTGGGTTTAGGGAAAAAAGAAGAGTGAGGCCTCCAGGATAACACTCAGGTCATAGCTTGGATTTGGCCAGCTGGATGGATGCATGTGCAGTTCTCCTGAGTTGGAAACACAAGAACACTGAGATTGGCTACTGACAAGCATAGTTTTGGATGTTCATAAAAATGAGGTTCCTGAGGGACATCTATATGTAGATGATGGCAGGCAATTGGATTTGTGGCTTGAAATTCAGGGAATAGATTAGTATAGAAGATAGATGTTTGAAAGTCATCGGCTTTGATATGAAACACTGGAAGTGAAGGCAAAAGTCCAGTAAGAATGTGAAGCCTGGGAAGAGAAGGTTGTTCATTACAAAGTGTAATGAATATAATATAGCCAAAAGTTGCTCATAATCTAGATATGGAGACAAACAAAGATATGTGAAACAGCTTGAGAATAATTACCAGACAGAATGCAAAGGAGGGCAGCATGCCTTTCAGAATTAGAAAAGACAGAACAGAATTGGAATAGGGTTCATCTGGAAGGCTTCCTGGAGCTTGGATTTGAGCTGAGTTTCCATGAGCATGCAATAATGTGGAGGAGAAATTGGGGAATAAATGGGGGCAGAGGCCTGTGGTGGGGGCAAAGGAACCACTCCGTATGCCTCTGCCCTTCACTTTTTGTGCATGGGAGGAGACATCTACCTCACTTGCAGCTCGGGCTGTAAGGCTGTTGTCTTTGCATCTCCTGCGGAGATTGGAGTCCATGGGACATTCAGTGGGGAAGAGAATATGGGTATAAAGTAGAGAGAACAAAGACAAGTTGAGACCCATAAACAGCATGTGGTTCTCACCGCCTCTGACCTTGAGTATCCACAGGAAAAGATGGTGCCTTTTGTTATGGAGCTGAATGTCTGCCTGGCCCAGGGGTCAGAGAAGGTAAAGGAGAGTTCAGAGTATTGTAGAACAGCAGCACAGCCAGCTGCTGCTCCACACCCAGGACGTGAGTCAGCAGGTAAATGACACCATGTGTGAGCCACGAAATAAATGGCTGCTGCAGCACTTCCGCTCTCCCAATCTTGTACTACAAGCTCTCATGGCCCAATCTATCCAGAAACCTACAGGTCAGGAAATTCTGGGAAATGTAGTTAATCCTACCCAAGTGGACACATTACAGGCTTCCAAACCATGAATAAAGACAACCAGGTGTAAATGAACAAACAAGATTTGAAGAAATCCAGCAGTTTGGTTTAGCTCAGAGCTTCTCAAACATTCATGTGTACCAGAAATACCTGGATGTTAAAACATGGAATTTCTGATTGAGTAGGTCTAGAGTGTCACCCACCCAAGCCTAGGCATTTCTAACAAGTTCCCAAGTGATGCTTATACTTTTGGTCTGGAGACTGCACTTTGAGAATCACTGAAACACAGAGGCCTCATTAAGTTTTAGTGAGAAGTAGGAATGGAGAAGAAAATATTGCAAAGGAATAGTTAAGAAAAGCTACTGAATACTAGACAACTTCTGAGTGAAATCTGATGTGACAGGATGTCATTATAAGTGACTAAAGAGGAGGTTGACAGGCAAAGACGGTGTTTGCAGCAGGATGTGCTGTTTCTGTGTGGGAGAGGCTGTCTTGAGTGCAGCTTGGAAGTGAGGAAATAAATTGCAAGATAGTTTACCATAATCTAGTGATACAGATCCAGAACAGGGAGGTAAGTGAATGTGGAAACAGAGAGAAAGGATACAATGAAAAAACTACTTTGGATATAGCTTCAAATTTCCTCATCCGTACTTTCCCCAATTAGTACAGACTCATGTCTCTTCTCTTTATATCATCAGAGACAGCCTTTAAATTTTGTCTTTTATAATTTTTTATATTATCTTACCAACACCAGTGCATTGCAGGACATTTGGAAATCAGAAAAATATAAAGAGTAAAATAAAAATTTTCCCTAAGCCATATAATCATTACCAAATTTAAGGTTTAATTCTCTTCATTCTTTTCTCTTCTGCATGTGTGAATTCATACATTTTATTTTATTAATACTTGAACCTGGCAGACTTTCCTCTTAGCCACACTGGGTTTGATCTTAACCGGACAACTAGGAGGATATGTTACTAGAGTCCAGCTGAGGTCGCTGGATGGCCCTCAGTGTTTCCATCACTTTCATCTCCCTTGGATGAGCACCACCTTCCCTTTTAAGAAAATTCACTGGAGTAACATCAATGTTGGGCTGCCAGCAGCTTGCTATGGGTTCAGATTGATGTTTCCTCAGACATCAAGTGAGGGATGAAGGTGATTAGATCAAGTGGCTAAGATAAACTTCTAGAAAGGTGAGATATCACCAGTGGAGCCAAGTCCTCAAACATAGAGGACATAAGGGACCTCCATCCCCATAAAGTCCATAGCCACTTCTATTCAAGTAGCAGTGAGCTATTTTTACATCTGTTTCCCAGATAGAGTGTGAAGACAGGAGTCAAGTTTTCAAAACAAATAACTCAACTTGAATTATTTTTACATAAAAATAAATTTAAAATATAATGCTGAAAATCTGACATTTCTAACTTGAACTTTCTTTGTCAAAAACCTCTGTTTTTCAATTTCAACTTTTAAATCGATCGCCTATTTTATTCTCTTTCTTAAATCATGTGTCCAAGGCAAATTTTATTTCACTTTGCGTTTTTGTTTGGTTTGCATTTGCTTTGATTCAGGCTCTATAATTATTACTGATTTGTAGAATTTTCTATCAGTCCTCCTATCAAGGGTTGGACCATTTTTCTTATAGGCAACCCAAGATCTCTGATCTCCGAATCAGTTCATGAAACTGGACATGAAACACATGTATATACTCAGAGTAGACAACAACCACTTAGTGAGATATTAAACCAAACAGAGGATTTTGTTCTCAGTGATTTGTCTTCATGTCAAGGCATATCTTGTAATGTGTGTGTGTGTTGTGTGTGTATGATACCAAGAGAAAAAGCCATCCTTTTTTGGCAGTGAGGTTTCAGAACAGGAAAAGGAGTTCCCAAAGAGAGATTTCAGAACAGGAAAAGGAGTAAACACTTGATAGGAGGCAATGAAAAGGCGAGAGGGTGGTAAGGTAATAGGAGCAGTGAGTATAGAAAATTCATTTGAAAAGCTGGAAATGTGACAGAGGAGGAGGGCAGAGAAAGAGAGAGAGAGAGAGAGAGAAAGAGAGAGAAAATTAGGAGAGAAAAGGGAGAGAGAGAGAGACAGACACAACCAGAAAGAAGAGAGACAGAAAAGTAGGAGAGGAGGGAAAGAGAGTTAGATGTAGAGAGAGAAAGAAAGAAAAGAGAAAAGGAGGTGGACATTAGGCTGAGATATTTTCAAGACTGGAGAAGCTTGTGTGTGTGTGTGTGGTTAAAGGGCAAGACACAATAAGGAGTAAAATATGAATGGTGGGTAATTTAGGGATCCAAGTCCCAGGGGAAACACTGGAGCGCCCAGGCAGAAATATGAGGCATAGAAGGGAAACTCTTTGCCATATACAGAAAGAAAACAAACCAGCATTAATTAAATACTTACTACATGCCACGCCCTTTGCCTATCTCTCTCATTTAAAATGCTAACTCCTGAATAAGCATTACCCTGATTTTGCAAGTCAGGAAACCAGACTCAGATTAAGTCAGTCATGCATGCCCACATAGCCAATGGGTGGCAAAGCTGGTATTAGAATTCAGCCTTGTCTGATTCAAAATGGAAGCTCTTTTCCCTATGCCAGTCTATCCTTTAAAACTATATCCAATGCAGGACAAAGAGAGATGGGTATCTCTGCCAGGACAGAGAGAAAGGGTTTGTCATGTAGTGGGATCACCATTTCAGGAGAAGCTGAGGAAGCCCCTGGGAGTGGTTACGGGTACAGCACTTCAACAGATAAGCTGCTATGGGGAGTTGGCCAGCCCCTGGAGTGGGTGAATTAGTCCAACTCTAGCAATGGTTCTCATGCTACTCTTCGGTATTAACAGGGAAACAAATGGAGTAGGTGAGGACGGTGACACAAGCAGAGGGACATGTCCAAAGGTAGGTGTCCAGGTGTTAAAGGAAGCAGAGCCTGAGGTTGAAGCTGAGCACTGGTTCTGGTGAGTGAGAAAAGACAAAGGCTGAGTGATAGAACTTTCTGATGAAAGGAGAGAGCAAGTTCAGGAGGCGTGAGGACAGTTGACCAGGCCTTTCATGATTTAGCGGCTTGTCTGTCTCACCTCACCTCCTACCACCTATCTTTCGGGGTTGAGCCTCTGGCCAGAACAGACATCTTTTGGCAGTTTTTCCAAAGAACAACATTCTCTATGTTCCATTCCTTTACATGTTCTATTTCCTCTACCTGGAATGCTTCCCCTGCCCCTCCTGCTTCTTTCTTTGGCTTTTTTCTGTTAAATCTTTAGGTTTCAGGTTAGGCAAAAGTTCATCCAACACTTTTAAAGACACCCTTGGACTGGGGTGAGTGCTTTCTGTTGCATGTTGGTCTTTCTTCATCATGCATTTATCATTGTACTGCAATTGTTCAGTGAGTTGTCTATCTTGCTGCTCTAGATAGAAAGTGTCATGAAGACAAAGGCCATGTCAATTGTTGTTTCCTTTGGCACTGGGTAGTTGGTGTAGTTCCTGGTACATGTTACGGGTACCATAAACATTTATTGAAGGAGTGAATGGGTAAATTACATAATACATTACTTAAAAATGTATTTTATTCTGCCTCTTATTTTTCTCTTAATAAAATTGTTGCTCTTGGTATTGTTTAATGTGGGGAAAAGAAAGAGAGATCAGACTGTTACTGTGTCTATGTAGAAAGAAGTAGACATAAGAAACTCCATTTTGTTCTGTACTAAGAGAAATTCCTGTGCCTTGAGATGCTGTTAATCTGTAACCCTAGCCCCAACTCTGTGCTTGCAGAGACATGTGCTGTGTTGACTCAAGGCTTAATGGATTTAGGGCTGTGCAGGATGTGCTTTGTTAAAAATGTGTTTGAAGGCAGTATGCTTGGTAAAAGTCATCGCCATTCTCTAATCTCAAGTACCCAGGGACGCAATGCACTGCGGAAGGCCGCAGGGACCTCTGCCCAAGAAAGCCTGGGTATTGTCCAAGGTTTCTCCCCATGTGATAGCCTGAGATATGGCCTCGTGGGAAGGGAAAGACCTGACTGTCCCCCAGCCCAACACCCGTAAAGGGTCTGTGCTGAGGAGGATTAGTGAAAGAGGAAGGCCTCTTTGCAGTTGAGATAAGAGGAAGGCATCTGTCTCCTGCTCGTCCCTGGGAATGGAATGTCTAGGTGTAAAACCCGATCATATGTTCTATTTACTGAGATAGGAGAAAACCGCCTTATGGCTGGAGGTGAGACATGCTGGCGGCAATACTGCTCTTTAATGCACCGAGATGTTTGTGTAAAGTCAAACATAAATCTGGCCTAGGTGCACATCAAGGCACAGCACCTTTCCTTAAACTTATTTATGACACAGAGATCTTTGCTCACATGTTTTCCTGCTGACCCTCTCCCCACCATTGCCCTATAGTCCTGCCACATTCCCCTCCCCGAGATGGTAGAGATAGTGATCAATAAATACGGAGGGAACTCAGAGACCAGCGCCGGCACAGGTCCTCAGTATGCTGAGCGCCGGTCCCCTGGGCCCATTGTTCTTTGTCTGTACTTTGTCTCTGTGTCTTATTTCTTTTCTCAGTCTCTCATCCCACCTGACGAGAAACACCCACAGGTGTGAAGGGGCTGGCCCCCTTCAGTTTAATCTCTAAATTTTTCCTATGGAAAAGTACTTAGTTAGCATCTCCATGAAGGATACTCTCAGCATTACATCACCATTTGGCATCTTCTCAGATGTTTTATACGTTTTCACTTGGGCAATGTGAACTCACATGTCCGAAATAGAGCTCATCTTATTCTAAAAACTTCTTCCTCCCCTGACTTTCCTATTCATATTGGCGGTAACACTACTCAACTGGTTACCTAGTCATACCCATCTCCTGCCTCCCCATTGCCTGACCACTAATCTTTATTCTTTATAAGGTTTTCCTAGTGGTTCCCATTACTATTGTCAGGACCTTATTATTACACACTTAGATTGTATGTGCAAGTCTACTATTTTAACAAATGGTGATAGGGCAACTGGATATCCACATGCAAAAGCAGAAAGTTGTATCCCTACCTTACACCACGTATGTAACAAAGTTAACTCTAAAAGGATTGTAGACCGAAATGTAAGAGCTAAAATTATAAAACTCCTAGAAGAAAGGTAAGCATAGATGCTTGAGACAGACAGTAAAAGCAAAAGAAACAGAAGAAAAAATAGTTAAAATTTTACTTTTCACCTCAAGAAAGTAAAAATACAATCCACAGAATGAGAGTAAATATTTGCAAATCAGATACCTGATAAGGGACTTACATCTAGAATACATAACTAAGTTGTAAATAACTCTTACAATTCAGTAATAAAAAGACAACACAAGGATCTGAATAGACATTTCTCCAAGGAAGATGTACAGAGGGACAATAAGCACATGAATGGATACTCAACATTATTAGTCATTAGGGAAATGCAATGAGATACCACTTCACACCTACCTGCGAAGATGGCTATATTCAGAAAAGCAGACAATTGCAAGTGTTTTCAAGGATGTGGAGAAATTAAAACCCTCATACTTTGCTGGTAGAAATGCAATATGGTGTAGCTACTTTGGAACACAGTTTCACCATTCCTCAAAATGCTAAAGAAAGCTATCATATGACCAAGCAATATCCTATGTATATACTCAAAAGAAATAAAAACATATGTCCATATGAAAACTTGTGCAAAAATGTTCATGGCAGCATTATTTATAGTTGTCTAAAAGTGGAATCAACTTAAAATGTCAATCAACTGATGAATAGATAAATAAATTGTGGTATATGCATGTTATGGGTTATTATTAGCAAAGAAAAAAAATAAAATATTGATACATGCTACAACATAGATGACTCTCAGAAACATTATGCTAAGTGAAAGAAGCCAGTCATAAAAGACTATATGTCATGTGATTCCATTTATATGAAATGTCCAGAATATGCAAATTTATAGAGACATTAAGTCTCTTGATTATTGGTTGCAAGGGCTGATGAGGTAGGGAAAAATGAGATTGGCTGCTAATGAGTACAAGATTTCTTTTAGGGAGAAACAAAAATATTCTAAATTTAGGTTGTGATGATGGTTGCGCAATATCTGAATATACTAACAATCATCAAATTGTAGACTTTAAGTTGGTGAATTTTATGTTCTGTGAATTATATTGAATAAAGCTGTTTTTTAAAAAGTCTCCTAAGTCATTCTCTTTATCTTTTTCACTTCAAATTAATCCAGTTCACTGCCACAAGTTAGTCCATTATTTTGCTCATTCACATTTTTGCTCAATACCCGTCATTGCTGTCTATTGACTCTAAAGTCCAAATTTCTTCACTTAGCATTCTAGGCCTCTCACATTCCAATCTCAGTGTACCTTTTTGACACCCGAGACTGCCTTTCTATATAAACGCTGCTTCAGCGAGGTTGGCTTACTCTCTGTCTCTGTCCCTCTGTACATACTAGTACCCTTAACTATAATGCTCCGTTTTTCTTTTTTTAATCTAAATCTTACTCTTCTATCAAGTTCTGTCCCTTTGGTGACAATTTCCTTGGCTTGTGCAGTTCTCAGCAATTTCTCTCTCCCGTGATTCAGCACTACTCGTTTTGCACTTAACATTATACCTCTGTGATGAGTAGGGAGGAAACTTATATTCTAAATTATTTAGTAACAAAGGTGAGAGAATCAACATACACTTATTCAGAACCCTTCCCAGAAATAATCCATTTTATGTTTTCATTTGGAGATAATTTGCTAACAACTTTAAGGTGCCAGGAAGTGACAATCCTAAAGTATAATGTATTTAAGCGTAATTTAAAACAGACTGCATTCTTGAAAACTGAACAATATCATACAATAATATTCTAATTGACAAGAGCACTTATGACTGATAATAGATACCGGAAAAGATGAGTTAGAAAGAAAAACCTGGTAGTCTAATTTCTGGGCAGTCTAACCCTGATCTTTTATTCTTTATACAAAATTCTGTTAGTATGGAGAAAGAAATAGCCTTGGCTATGAAGACTGCAGCAATTCAATAAGAACATTTACATCTTTTCTAATAATATCTTAGTCTGAGGAAATGCCTCAAAAATCATAATTTCTGGGCAAGGCATGACAAGAAAATTGTCTTCAATAGGCAAGAAATACAATCATAATATTAACAATAATGATTAACATTTAATTCTTATTATCCAGGTTTGTATTTGCATGCATTTTCTCATGTAATCCTCAAAATAAACCTCTGAGCTATGAACATACTATTATTATTATTTTATTTAACTTGACTACGTTAGTTCAGATTAGGTTTGAATGCAATAGAAGAAAACCTTGAAATAACAAGTAATTTGGAATCTTATTTCTGTATCATGTAACTATGCAGAGATGTTAGTCCAGGGTTTGGACGGCAGAGTGTGGCTCTGTTCCAAGTCCACAAAGACCAAGATTCTTACCAGTTCACCATTCTGACATCTACTGGGTGTGACCATTAGCCTCATTGTTTCTGGAGGGATCTGTGTTTTAGGCAACAGCGTTAAGGAAAGGATGAGTAACAAGGGGCAAAGAGTACACCTGGAAGGTTACTCTTCAGGAAGTTATGAGAAATTGCTCATAAGACATTTTCATTTAAACTGGGCAGAATTAGTCATATAGGACATATAAAGGAATTAGTTGCAAGGAAAGCTAGGAATACTACATTGTCCGTATTTTGGGTGGCAGTGTGCCAAACTAAAAATTCTATTTTTGTAGAAAAAGGTGAGACTGGATACCAAGAAGTTCAGGATGACCTGAAGTTCTTACTATATTCTCTAATGTCATAAACAACTAAGTGGTGGAGATGGACTCAAATCTTATCTGTCTCTTTTAAAGCCCATGTGTCTGAAGGTAACTCCTAAGTTCCTAGGGTTTTCATGGAGAGATGTTTAATTTGGGAAGAGAGGCCAAGGTGCATAGTAGGCACTGAGGATCTTAGCTAAATATACTTCTTAGTAAACCGTGAGGCTGCTTTCTTTGAGCAAAGGCTTTAGGCAACTCATGAACTCAAAAGGGATGGGGCAGGGGTGGGATTGAAATCCCCCAAATTCCTATGCAGGTCAGAGAATGAGATCCATCATGGCTTATATCTTTCTCTTGTTATTAGTCTGATTTGGAGCTAGAGACTAAATAATGGATATACATTTTTCATGTTCCATTATCATTTGTGGTGAATTACATAACTATTGGTTTTCTTTTTTTTTTTTTTTAAGACGGAGTCTCGCTCTGTTGCCAGGCTGGAGTGCAGTGACACGATCTTGGCTCACTGCAACCTCCACCTCCCGGGTTCAAGCTATTCTCTTGCCTCAGTCTCCAGAGTAGCTGGGACTACAGTCGTGCGCCACCACGCCCAGCTAATTTTGAGTAGAGATTGGTTTTCACCATGTTGGCCAGGATGGTCTCGATCTCTTGACCTTGTGGTTTGCCCACAAATGCTGGGATTGGAACTTGACAGAAAATTAAGAAGTAGATTAAAAAAAGAAAAATGGAGCATTATAATTAAGGGTATTTGCCTTCCCAAATGCTGGAATTATAGGCATGAGCCACCAGGCCCAGCCTGGTTTTCTAATTATTATTAGTAAACACAATCGTACTGCTCAATTTCATGCCAAACAAACTGTTCTGCATAGAGACAAACAATGTAACTTCTTATAACTGGAAACTTATATATTATTAAGTCTCACAACAAGAAAAAAATTCCAACTTTAGCTTTATAGAACTGTAGAAGGTGTTTTAAAGACTACTTTTTTTTGAAACTAGTCTTTAACAATAATGATTCCTCTTTAAGTAAAAACTGCAAATTTTAACTTGGTGTTCACCTTATCCTGTTACATGTGCAATTACCTGGTACTTTCTTTTGTTTCTCTGTTCCTTTCCATTTTAAGGTGATTTTTAACCTCCAGGTTAAGAAAGTTGGCTTGGAAATAAGACTCACTATTTCCTAGCTGTGTCTTTAAATAAGTCACTAAGTCTAAAAGCCTCCTACTGTTTACTTTTAACTACAATGAATATAGTGCACACTTCTTAGTGCTATTGTAAGAATTAAATAAGAATATACTTTGTAAAGCGATTGTACAAGTTATCAATTATTTTTAATTATGATTTTTTTTTTCTGACGCTCTTTCATCTGCTTTTATATCCCTCCCCTATCTATGAAAGAGTGATTTTCTAACCGTAGATTTCTCCTACAAAGGATCCTTTTACTGTCTAGCAAACCAGAACACTTACTGACCAGCTTGGTGACAGTATGTGCTGATTAGGATGCATCATTCTGCTCTGTCAGTCTTTTTGCACTGTGTGGCAAGAACAAAGACTTTGACATCACCAGGACCTGGGTTTGATATCTGGCCCTATATCTTATTAGTCGTGTCACCTCAGGTGTGTTCTTATACATTCTGAGTTATTTTTTTTAACTTCATCTATTAAACAAGAATGATAATTGTACCTAATTTTCAAGGTCATAGGGAAAATTAAAGATAATGAATATAATTTCATATTACTGGTACCTAGTTGTAAATATTGTGCAAATATAAAGTCAAATAATATGGCAATAGGTTGCCATAGAAGAATGTTCCAAATTAGAATCCATCCAGGCTAAAGAGAAAGTCTCAGCTTCTCTTGCAAATACTACGGAAATTTGGCATTCACTGGAACTGTCAGCAAGGCTAACAGGAGGGAAACATGTTTTCAGCTTGTTCTTGAAGCTTCCTAGATCCCTGCTTATTTGACTTTACCATTCTTCTCTCTAGAGACTGGGAAGACATTAATCCTGCCTGCAGAAATCCCTTTTTAGTCTACATGTCATAAAATGTATGAGATTATCTACGATTGGATATACATAGAGACTATGTGTTGTGAAGGAGTGAGTATTGGACTGGGAATTAGTGTATTTGGATTTCTGTTAACAGCAAACTGTGTAACATTAGATAGGGCCATCATCTCTCTGAGGCTCCATTTCTTTGTGTTGAAACTGAAAGGCAGAATCAAGGTTTCTTCAGTATTCAAAATTCTAAAGGCATTCAAATAAAATAGTGATATTTAGTTAAGTAATTAAGATTTTTAGTTCATGAAAATTATTTCCTAAATCATTGTGTTTTCTTGTGCAGACACTTATTCTACAATATTTGTTGAGAGGTCATAACTAGGTTTCAGGGCTTACCAGACTGTTCTTTAACTGGTACTGACAGATTTCATTTCTACATGGGCAACTTCTTTGACTAACTCCCTTGCAGTCCAGACTTCAACTTTTTATAAGTCATCACAAAACACTACAAAAAACCTTACAGAAATATGCACCACCATTCACCAAACCCAAATCCTAAATGCCTCAACCCGGTTAACATTTATTTTCCTCTTTTCTTATCCATTCATTCATTTGTTCATACATTCACTCACTTTCAAAAAAATCTATTGGATGGCTACCATATAATTATGTTCAAGGTGTTCTGTGAGCACTGGCATTTCTGTCTTTGTGGGGGTTATAGACCAGCAAAGAGCAGATAAGGCATGAATATAATTATCTGATTAAATCTCTAGTGCTTCAGAGGCAGTGCAACTTAACGGTCAGTGAGTCAGATCTGGCATCAAATCAGGAGTGGAGTGTGTGATCTGGGGCAAATTATATCACCTTTCTGAGTCTGAATGTCTTAATCTGTTAAACAGAAAGGAATCATAGAACTTTTCTCACTGGTTGTTGTGAGGATTAAATTAAATAATGTAGAAAAATGGTTGGTATAGTCCCCAGAACACTGGGGACTTTGAGTATTGAACATTGAGTATTTGCTCAATAAATAGCACTTATCAGTATACTCTAGTAATTTGTAAACTTGATGAAACACTCATTTGAATTTTGTGCAGAATAAGATGAATGCATGAAAGCCACAGAGTGAGTTAATGAGATAATAGATTTTTTTACTCATTACATGTACAGGCACTTTAATTAAATATCTGAAGTAGCCACTTAAATACTTATTCTACATTTGACTGAATTTTTCATACAAATTGACAAGCTGATTTGAAATTTAATAGAGAAATATACAAGACTTGGTGTGGCCAAAACAATTCCAAAAAAGAACAAGCTTGGAGGGCTAAATTCAGATTTATTATAGAGCTACAGTAATCAAAACAATGCAGTGTTGGCATCAAGAGAGACAAAACGATCAGTGGAAAACAATACTGAATCTATAAATAGACCCACACATATACGGACAACTTATTTTTGACAAAGGCTTAGGTAAAAAGGCAATTCACTGGAGGAAGGATAGTCTTTTCAACTGATGGTGCTGGAACAATTGGATATTCATGTGCAAAAATATGAACATTATAAATGAATCATAGACATAAGCATAAAATCTGAAACATAAAAGTTTTAAGAGAAAAAATAAGATAAAATCTTTGTGATCTTGTGTTAAGCAAGAATTTCTTAGATTTGATACCAATGCACAATCTCTAAAAGAAAAAATAATAACTTAAACTTCATCAAAATTAAAAGTTTCTACTCTTTATACAAGTAAGAAAATTAAAAGACAAGCACAGACTGGTATAAAATATTTACACATCATACATCTGACAAAGGAATGGTACCGAGGCTATATATTTTTGAAACCTCTCAAAACTTAGTAATAATATATGAAGAACCAAATTTTAAAATGTACACAGATTTAAAGTTATTTTACCAAAGAAGTTAAAAGAGTGGCAAATAAGCGCATATAAAATTTTTTTAACATTTTTAGTCATTAGGGAAATTAAAACCACTACATACCTAT
This sequence comes from Homo sapiens, assembly GCF_000001405.40. NCBI lineage: Eukaryota > Metazoa > Chordata > Mammalia > Primates > Hominidae > Homo > Homo sapiens. The sequence continues at coordinate 118,532,682 of NC_000003.12, read as the reverse complement.
TAGAAAGGCTAAAATAAAAAATTTTAAAATAATCAAGTGTTGGTAAAAATGTGAAGAAAATGGAATTCTCACACACTGCTGGTGAGAATGTAAAATGGTGGAATTAATTTAGAAAAACAGTTTGGCAATTTCATAAAAAGTTAAATATTACTTACCATGTGGCCCAGCCATTCTACTCTTAGGTATATACCCAAGAGAAATAAAAGCCTATATTTTTACAAAGGCTTGCACACAAATGTTCGTAGTGGTTTTATTTGTAATCAGCCAAACTGGAAACAATCTAAAGGTCCATTCAACAAGTGAATACACAAATGAATATGGTATACCCATACAATAGAATACCACTCAGCAGTTAAAAGGAATGAACTGTTGATACATTGCAGGGTTCATCCCGCAGACCCTGACTCAATAACAGATGAATACTGTACACTGACACAGATATTCTGCCTGTCAGTTTAGCTAAGGGTCTGGACTCCTCACAGACACCAAAGAAGGTGCTGTAAAGAGTAGCAGCCATGGCCCTGTTTGGCCAGAGAAGATTGCATTTATTCAGTATAGATTAAGTGATAAAGGTCTTGAGTAAACACCACTAGAGGGTAATTGACCTGGTTGCCAACCCCCGAAGTAGAGAGCAATTATGTACCTGCGTCAAAGGTTGGTCTTAGGACCACATGACTAAACAAGCTATTTAGATAAACTATTCTACATTCCTTTGTGTCTGCACCTTTAGCTATTAAGTGGATTCAGCTGCCTTCAGCCAAACAGTTTATGCAAACCTCCAGGCCTTCCAAGACGGTTTGTGTTTATTTCCTGTAATTTTACAATTTCTCCCACCATCTTGACTGAACACCCACAATACATAAAACAACATGAATGATCCTCAAAATAATTAGGCTGAGTGAAACAAGCCAGACAAAAAAATAGTACAGTCTATATGATTCCATTTGCATAATTCTAAAAAAATGCAAACAAAATGATAATAACCAAAAGCAAAACAATATTTCACTGGGGCTTGGGGTGGCTCTGAGATGGGGCAGAAAAGAGGAATTACAAAGGAATTCAAGGAGTTTCTTGGTGATGATGGATATGCATATTATCTGAATTGTGATGATAGTTTCACAGGGATATACGCATGTTAAAACTTATAAAATCATTGGCTTTCAAAATGTGTATGTTTATTTTACTTCAACGAAACTTTTCAAAAAGTTCTATTTCCAGTGTGAAAAGAAAATAAATCTTGGGACCCTAGACTCACAAAGCCAAAGTGTCAGAGACTTTTAAACGAGAGCAACTCTACCTTGTATAGAGGCTGGGTAAAATAGGGCTGAGACCTACTGAGCTGCATTCCCAGGAGGTTAGGCATTCTAAGTCACAGGGTGAAATAGGAGGTCAGCACAAGATACAGGTCATAAAGACCTTGCTGATAAAACAGGCTGCAGAAAAGAAGCTGGCTAAAACCCAAAACCAAGATGGCCACAAGAGTAACCTCTGGTTGTCCTCACTGTTCATCATATGCTAATTATAGTGCATTAGCATGCTAAAAGACACTCCCACCAGCACCTTGACAGTTTACAAATGCCATGGCAATGTCAGGATTTACCCTATATGGTTTAAAAAGGGGAGCAACCCTCAGTTCCAGGAATTGCCCACCCCTTTTCCATGAATAATCCTCCCCTTGTTTGGCATATAATCAAGAAATAACCATAAAAATGGCAACCAGCAGCCCTTGGGGCTGCTCTACCTGTGGAATAGCCATACTTTTATTCCTTTACTTTCTTAATAAACTTGCTTTCACTTTAGTCTCTGGACTTGCCTCAAATTCTTTCTTGCGCGAGATCCAAGAACCCTGTCTTGAGGTCTGGATTGGACTGCTTTCCAGTAACAAAAGGGAAAAGGCAAGCTGGGAACTGGGTCATGCAAACCTGCCTCCCATTTTGTTTCCTAAATAAGATGGCTACAAAGATGGAAAACTACATACCTCCCTCATGTTTTGCCCAAAAGGAAATTCCTTGTGGGCCCCAAGATCTTTACCCTAAAGCATTTCTGTTAAAGTTCATCGTGGCAATGTAAATTCATAGCTTATCTTCACAAAACTGAAAGTCCTCCCTCTGCCTACCTGTGCCAAATGCATATCTTATTGTTTCTTCTGGCCTATTGACTATGTTATCTTGTGTAAAAATGCAGATTCACTGAGCCAGATAAAGGCATGAATGACTGTTTTCCCCTGCTCCCTTCTCACATGAAAATTAAGTATTTTTCAATATCCCACCCTTTTCCCTTTAAGTACTGAAGCCCTCAAAATCATCTTTGGAGAAGCGCATAGACCTGTCTTCTGGGCATGCAACCTTAGCTTTGGCAAAGAAACCTCCTTAAATGATTGAGACTTGCCTTGGTATTTTCCTTGACTGACACCAGTTGGATGAGGTTTTTTTCTTCATAAATAGATACTAAAAGTTATCAAATACTTTTTGCTAAGTTTTTTTGAGATGATCATATGCTTTATCTCCTTCATTTTGTTTACATGATGAATGACAAAGAAATGTCCCTTTTTGAAATGGTTATTTTTGTTATTGCATTTTACCTCATTTAGTAGGTGATATGTACTTTCTTACTATTTTTTAGTGGTTATCTTACATATTACATATTTTCTCAATTTATTGATGTCTAATGCAAATCAGGACTTTCATCTCTTTCTGCAAAATGCAAGAACTTACAAGTTTTGTTTTACCTTTGTTCTCCTTTCCAACCTATATGCTTTGGTTTCAAGTATTTTAATTCTCTATGAGTAAAACTCACAGGCATTACTCATATTTTGGCCAATAAGTAGATTTGTCCATATATTCCTTTCTTTTAGTATTTCCTTTAGTGAACAAGTAATGTTGACAATTCTCTTAGTTTTTATTTGTGTGAACATGTCTGAGATGGTTTGGCTATGTCCTCAGCCAAAGTCTCATCTTGAATTGTAATCCCCATAAATCCCACGTGTAAGGGGAGAGACTAGGCAGAGGTAGTTGAATCACGGGGGCAGTTTCCCCCATACTGTTCTTATAATAGTGAGTGAGTTCTCATAAGATGTGATGGTTTTATAAGTGTTTGGTAGTTCCTGCTGCATTCTGTTGCCTTGTGAAGAAGGTGCTTTGCTTCTCCTTTGCCTTCTGCCATGATTGTAAGTTTCCTGAGACCTCCCCAGCCATGCAGAACTGCCTTTCCTTTCTAAATTACCCAGTCTTGGGCATTTTTTTATAGCAGGGTGAGAATGGACTAATGCATGTCTTTATTTCATTTTCATTTTACTTGTTATGCAATTCTTGCTTTGCAATTATTTTTTTCAGAAATTTGAAGATACATTTTTTTTTCCATTGAGAAGTCAGATTTTATATTACTGTTACTTTTTGAAAGTATTTTGTCATTTTTCTCTAGCTACTTTTAAGAATTTATCTTTATCTTTGGGTTTTAGCAATTTTACCATGCTGTGTGTAGGTGTAATTTTCTTATTTATTCTACTTACTATTTATATTGCTTCATGCATCTGTGGTTTAATATTTCTCATTTGTTTTGGAAAATTCTTAGCCATTATCATTTCAAATATTGCTTTTGCATATTCTCTCTCTCCTTTCTTCTAGGATTTTAATTACACTCAATCAATATTTTCTCTCTGTATTTTCTCTATTTTGCATAATTTCTCCTATATTTCCCATCTTCTTCTGTTTCTTACTTCATTCAGGATATTTTCTTCTGAGCTAACTTCCAGTTGATTAATTCTCTAATCAGTTGTATCAGATTTACTATTAAACTAATCTATTAATTTTTAGTATAAGCCAATTTCTTAAATACATGTCTCTATTTATGTCTCCTTTTGGTTCTGTTTCTCTGAAGAGCCCTGACGCATAAGCTTCTAGTTTCTGGCCTTATAATTGATTATTGTTTTGCTAGCTCTCAGATAGTTTGAAAAAGATGATTTTAATAATTTGTCCAGTTTTTAAAGTTGCTATTTCTCTTGGGTGTTTCATCTCAACTACCTAGGCCATCTCACCAGAGATAGAAGTTTTATTTCACTCTATTTTTTTTTTCTTAGACATCTGAGTTTCAGTTCTTCAAACCTTTCCTCCTGTAAAAGATTTTACCCCTAGAAGTAATTTTTAAGATACGCTATGGGAAATGTGAGAAACTAAATGTAGGAGAGAGTCTTGGTTTTCTACCTAACAAATATATTCCTTTTCTTGCTAATAAGACCTCAATTTTATTCTTGCAGCAATGTACTCACCCCAAGGCAATGAGATCTTAATTAACATAAGCCAAATAGAACAATCCTATTTCCTCTGACAGATAACCTAGATTTAGTCAATAGGATACATGAAGAAGTCTTCTGGGAAACTAGAATTATCCCTCCTTCTTTACTACCACCATTAAAATACAGAGCCACGTGAGCTTATACCCTTTATGCTCCAATCCACTTTCTTGCTTTTTGAGATACTGTTTTGTGAGGCTGGGGTACAAGAGTTGCTGAAGCTAGCTTGTAATAATGAGGCGGGAAATCAACAACACATGAATGTCAATAGAGCAGAAAAGCCGCTTAAACCAAGGTTCTTGTTGACATTGTGAATCTGCTGTACCAACCCTTAAATCCCCCAACCCTGGATTTCTTGATTTTTAAGATAGTGAATCCTCATTATTGTCACTTTTAATCAGAAATTCTGTTACTTGCAGCAAAACATAAGCAATGGATAACAGTAAACTTCAAATTTCAATCTTAATGTTTTTAAGGTACACATATTACCTCTCTGTCTGGGCCAATCACCCACATTTTGTGCAGACATCCTATGGCAGAGCTCTGAAGGTTTCTATTCTCAAGAAACAAGTCTGTCTTTGTTCCTTCACACTTACTGAACTTTCCTTTCTCTTCTGTCCATTCTCTCTCTGTCTTCAATTCTAAAACTGTCAACTTAGTTCTCTCCTGAGTTGAGTACTATTATACTTCTGTCAAATTCTGGGCAAATATCTCCCTTGTATGTCAAGGAGGTTTTATTCCTTCCACTCTGGATGAATACACTGTCCCTCTTCAAATATCTTAGAGGCATCTGATCTTTTGACTGAAACAGTGCCTTACTGTAGTAACTAGCCACATTGACCTCCTTTAACCTTGAGACCTGAGAGAGGAAAGGATTCTGCATGTAGGAATGATTTCCACTGTTATTCCTGCTGCTCCTATGTGAGAAATACTGAAGATATGAGTAAAATTGCTTAAGATTGCATAACAGAGTGAAATTAGGTGTATGTTCACTCTTTTGTTTACATCTACTAGGCAGGGCTTTGCTTTTGCTTAAAAAAAGACAGTAAAGCTGCCTTTTATTCTGAGTTTTTTCACCTAGTGGGGTAGGAGAGCTGGGGCTGAAGGGAGCACAGCTGTAGGGTTGTGATTCTTTCACTTTCAGAGTGAGAAACCCTCATTCCCTGAATGAGCTTTGTACATTGATTTTTAAACAGTGCATGAGGACTCCTCAGTTGACCCTGTGAAGAAGCCTGGGGGAGAATTCAAGATGTGGACAGTGACTGCTGGCACCAGCCCAGATACAAGAGGGACAATTTACTTCAATATGTGTAGGGAGTGTTCCTCAAATTATCTTGTTAAAAATCTGTCATTCTCCCTCTTGGGCTGACAGTTGATAAAGAGTTTAATGAATATGCATTTTGATAGACAGACAACCTTTTCTTCATTTGCTGGATTTGTCCTTCATCAGATGAAGTCTAGACAAAGGACCCTTGTCATCATTCTGTGTCTATTTGGCCAGAGAAGCAATCTGAATTAATGTTCCAGCTGACCCATCTACAGAGGCCGTGGGCCAGACTCTGTAGATAGGAGAGAAGGATGCTGGCTATTAGCATTTAGAGTTTCCTGATACACACTTCTGGGCTGCAGGGCTGGCCTTAGGCAGATTTGTTAAGTAGGTAGCTTATTATCCCCAACACATGTATGGAGTATCCACTTAAAATTCTGAGGCAGAACTCCTGATCTGTCCCTAGATCTGCTCCTCTCTCAGTGTTCTGATTTCACTTAGTGGCTACTTCATTCTTCTAGTAGCTCAGGCTAAACACTTTGCTATAGTCCTTGACTCCACTCTTTCTCTCCCACGCCACATCTAACCTACCAGAAAATTCTATTGGCTCTATGTTCAAATGTATTCAGAATGTGACTGCTATTACTCTGGTCTGAGCAATCACGTCTGCCTTGATTAGTTTAAAGTCATCCTGAATTACCTTCCTGCTTCCACCCTTGCCCTAGTTCAAACTATTCCCAAAGCAACAGATTTGCATTTAAAAATACAAGTCAACACAGGTTGCTCCTTTGTTCAATCCTCCAGTTACCTCTCCAAGCACATCTCTTACCATCCTCCTGCTAGCTCTGCCTCAGCACTGTAGCCTTCTTACTGTTCCTCCAACAGTCCCAAAGTTCTGTCTTCCCAGGATATTTGCATGTGCTCCCTTTGCTTGGAATGCTTTTCTCATAGATATCACCAGATATCACCACTCCCTTGATCTTTTCACTTATGTCGCCTTCCAACTGATGCCTTTCCTGACCTGTTATCTAAAATTTACTTCCCTCAGTATCATCCTCCTTTTCTGCTTAATTTTTCCCCATAGCACTTACCATCTTATAATGTTTTACTAATTTATTGTTTGTTGCTGTGTTCTTCCAGTAGAATATGTGGTTGATGAGGTGGTTTTGATATAGACAGGAGACAGGGAAATACTGGGTATAAGAGAGGGGTTCCCTGGCAAAGGCCCCAACCTGGAGCCTGGCAACCTGCAGCCCTAAATGGGAACAGGCATTTCTGTTTTTTGTGCCCAAAAGTTGCATTTTGGCCTGCCACACACCCCTGTCCTGTACCCATATAAATACCAAACCCCAGGTTCCATTAGTAGACAAACAGAAGAGCAGAAGAGCAGCAGAATGGCACGGCGGAGAAGGAGAGAAGAGGCTGGGGACAGTCAGAGAGGAGACTGGCCACTGGGTGGCCAAACTCCAGGGGAAGATTATCTTCCCACTCCATCCCTTTTCCAGTTCCCCATCCTTCCTGCTGAGAGCCACCTCCACCACTCAATAAAACCCCCACATTCATCCTTCAAGTCTGCATGCAACCTGATTCTTCCTGGTCTCCGGACAAGAACCCAGGTACCAAGAGGGCACTGAGCTGGTTAACACTTAAGCCATCTGCAGATGGCAGAGCTAAAAGAGCACTGTAGCATGTCCACTGGGGCTTAAGGAGTCATAGGCACCCACCCCTAAACTCAGCCTGGCTCTTGCACTTGCCCGTCTGCATGCTCCCCCTCCTGTAAGGGGTTTGAGCATGCACAGCAGCCGAACAGACAAGGCACACCCCTGTTGCACTCCCTGCAAGTGGGGTTGGGGAACTCTCCAGTTTCAGTTTCATCTGTTTTATTCACTGAGATATCGTCTGCATCTACAATAGTGTGTGGCACATAAATAAAATGTTCTGATGTTCTTAAGCAGGGGTCAATATACAATGACCCATGGGCCAGCCTCCTGTTTTTGTAACTAAATGTGTATTGGAATATAGTCACACCCATTATTTTACAATTGTTTATGGCTTCTTTTGAGCTACAATGGCAGAAACTGTGTAGTCTACAGGCCTAAAGTATTTACCATTTGACTCTTTAATAAAATGTTTGCCAAATCCTGTTCTTAAGGATTTTACACTGTAGTAAGGGCAAGAGGACTAGTAACTTTTGGAAAACAGTTCTCCATGGGTATCAAATTTCTCCATGTCTCTTGAGCAGAGGCACTGATTGTCTTTTTTCAGATATATCTTTTTAAGGAAGTTTGTATGGCCAACAGCCTTGGAAGAGAAAGATAATATGTCCGTCCAAAGGAAAGGGCAAGGGTGCTTACTGATCATTATAAAACCTTCAGGTTCCTTAGGCTCAGGATTTCTCTTCTGTAGTATAACCCACTGTGTGTGCAGATCTCACATGACCTTCTGCATCATCTTACAGGAACTAGGGCTTTGGGAACCAGTATAAGAAAATGCTGATGTTCTGATTACTGCTTTTGTGGTGAGGGAATAATACTTTGTCTCTAACCTGTGAATCTCTTGCCTTTTGCCAATATCTGTCAAACTGTGGCAGGCTAACTTCCTGGCTTACAAGCTGGGCAAAATCTTTGACTTTTCACCATTCTTGACAGTACCTAAAAAATATAGGGAGAATGCAAACTGGTGGATGTTCAACCCTCAGGTTTGACTGGGGAGGAAAGACTTGATAAAGGGGGTTTTATAGGAGACAAAGGAATGCAGAAGACAAAGCAAGTTAAAAGAAAGCAGGCAAATTGATAGAACATGTTCCCTGAGGATACAGGAGGAAAGAGGCCCAAGAGTATATGTAGGGGAATAGCTGTAGTTACAAAAGAGGGCCATTTATTCCACCCTTAATGGAGGCTTGAAGAGAAAAAGATGAGTGAGGCCGGGCATGGTGGCTCATGCATGTAATCCCAGCACTTTGGGAGGCCAAGGCGGGTGGATCACCAGAGGTTGGGAGTTCAAGATCAGCCTGACCAACATAAAAAAACCCTGTCTCTACTAAAAATACAAAATTAGCTGGTCGTGGTGGCGCATGCCTGTAATCCCAGCTATGAGGGAGGCTGAGGCAGGAGAATCGCTTGAACCCAGGAGGTAGAAGTTGTGGTGAGCTGAGATCGCGCCATTGCACTCCAGCCTGGGCAACAAGAGCGAAACTCCGTCTCAAAAAAACAAACAAACAAACAAAAAAACCCACAAAAAACGATGGGTGGACCGGATACTAAAGGGAAGATTAAGACTTAAGTAAGCAGGCAGGAAAAGAGGATATTTCAGGAAAAGAACTAAGGAAGATGGAGACAGGGATGGTTCCAAGTTCTTTGGGGGCTTTAAATAGCACACTAAAACATGTGAAGTTTGTTTATTTTATAGGTGACATAGAATTGCCAGAGCCTTGAAAATAGAAGACAAAGCAAAATGGTATTTTAGAAAGATTAGTCTAGCCAATGTTCAAGATGGTTTGAGGTGAGCAGAGTCTAGAATGGAGAGATTAGATAGGAGATATTTTAAAAATATATGGTATATACCTAAGTATTTTTGGCAGGTTAAAATCATAAAGAATACAAAATAAAAGCATAAAAAACTGTGTATCCACAACCCACCTGAAGAAATAAGACATTATAAATACAATTGAAATCCTCTGTGTACCCCTCTTTAGGCATAGTGTCCTTCTTTTCCCCCAGTGCTTGTCCCCTGCTGAGTAACTGTTATCACAATTGTGGTATTTATGAATTACACACTTTAAAAAAATACATTTACAGTCTGGGTGCAGTGGCTCATGCCTGTAATCTGAGCACTTTGGAAGGCCGAGACAGGAGGACTGCTTGAGCCCAAAAGTTTGAGACCAGCCTGGGCAACATAGTGAGACCTCCTCTCTACAAAAAATACAAAACGTAGCCAGGTATGGTGGCATGCACCTGTAGTCCCAGCTACTTGGGAGGCTGAGATGGGAGGATCATCTGGCCTGGGGAGGTGGAGGCTGCAGTGAGCTGTGATCATGCCATTGTACTCCAGCTTGGGTAACAGAGTGAGACCCTATCTCAAAAAAATAAATAAATAAATAAAAACTTTTAGTAAATTGTTTTACTAAACAATGATATTATCATTTCCATGTTTAAAAATATTTATCAAAAGAATATCGTGTTAAATACATTATAGTAATGTTGCGAGGTTTTTTTTGCAAGTTTTTTCTTTTATTATTATACCTTAAGTTCTAGGGTACATGTGCACAACCTGCAGGTTTGTTACATAGGTATACATGTGCCATGTTGGTTTGCTGCACTCATCAACTCAGCATTTATATTAGGTATTTCTCCTAATGCTATCCCTCCCCCAGTTCCCAACCCCCAACCAGGCCCTGGTGTGTGATGTTCCCCACCCTGTGTCCAAGTGTTCTCATTGTTCAATTCCCACCTATGAGAGAGAACATGCGGTGTTTGGTTTTCTGTCTTGGTGATAGTTTGCTGAGAATGATGGTTTCCAGCTTCATCCATGTCCCTACAAAGGACATAAACTCGTACGTTTTTATGGCTGCATAGTATTCCATGGTGTGTATGTGCCACATTTTCTTTATCCAGTCTATCATTGATGGACATTTAGGTTGGTTCCAAGTCTTTGCTATTGTGAATAGTGCTGCAGTAAACATACATGTGCAGGTGTCTTTATAGTAGCATGATTTATAATCCTCTGGGTATATACCCAGTAATGGGATCACTGGGTCAAATGGTATTTCTAGTTCTAGATCCTTAAGGAATCGCCACACTGCCTTCTGCAGTGGTTGAACTAACTTACAGTCCCACCAACAGTGTAAAAGCATTCCTATTTCTCCACATCCTCTCCAGCATTTGTTGTTTCCTGACTTTTTAATGATCACCATCCTAACTGGTGTGAGATGGTATCTGATTGTGGTTTTGATTTGCATTTTTCTGATGACCAACAATGATGAGCATTTTTTCATGTGTCTGTTGGCTGCATAAATGTCTTCTTTTGAGAAGTGTCTGTTCATATCCTTTGCCCACTTTTTGATGGGGTTGTTTTTTTCTTGTAAATTTCTTTAAGTTCTTTGTAGATTCTGGATATTAGTCAGATGGGTAGACTGCAAAATTTTTCTCCCATTCTGTAGGTTGCCTGTTCACTCTGATGGTAGTTTCTTTTGCCATGCAGGAGCTCTTTAGTTTAATTAGATCCCATTTGTCTATTTTGGCTTTTGTTGCCATTGCTTTTGGTGTTTTAGACATGAAATCCTTGCCCATACCTATGTCCTGAATGGTATTGCCTAGGTTTTCTTCTAGGGTTTTTATGGTTTTAGGTGTGACATTTCAGTCTTTAATCCATCTTGAATTAATTTTTGTATAAGGTGTAAGGAAGGGATGCAGTTTCAGCTTTCTACATATGGCTAGCCAGTTTTCCCAGCACCATTTATTAAATAGGGATTCCTTTCCCTATTTCTTGTTTTTGTCAGTTTTGTCAAAGATCAGATGGTTGTAGATGTGTGGTATTATTTCTGAGGCCTCTGTTCTGTTCCATTGGTCTATACATCTGTTATGGTACCAGTAACATGCTGCTTTGGTTACTATATAGCCTTGTAGTATAGTTTGAAGTCAGGTAGCGTGATGCCTCCAGCTTTGTTCTTTTGGCTTAGAATTGTCTTGGCTATGTGAGCTCTTTTTGGTTCCATATGAACTTTAAAGTACTTTTTTCCAATTCTGTGAAGAAAGTCATTGGAAGCTTGATGAGGATGGCATTGAATCTATAAATTACCTTGGGCAGTATCGCCATTTTCATGATATTGATTCTTCCTATCCAGGAGCATGGAATTTTCTTCTATTTGTTTGTGTCCTCTTTTATTTCATTGAGCAGTGGTTTGTAGTTCTCCTTGAAGAGGTCCTTCACATCCCTTGTAAGTTGGATTCCTAGGTATTTATTCTCTTTGCAGCTATTGTGAATGGGAGTTCACTCATGATTTGGCTCTCTGTTTGTCTGTTATTTGTGTATAGGAATGCTTGTGATTTTTGCACCTTGATTTTGTATCCTGAGACTTTGCTGAAGTTGCTTATCAGCTTAAGGAGTTTTTGGGCTGAGATGATGGGGTTTTCTAAATAGACAATCATGTCATCTGCAAGCAGGGACATTTTGACTTCCTCTTTTTCTAATTGAATACACTTCATTTCTTTCTCTTCCCTGATTTCCCTGGCCAGAACTTCCAACACTATGTTGAATAGGAGTGGTGAGAGAGGGCATCCTTGTCTTGTGTCAGTTTTCAAAGGGAATGCATCTAGTTTTTGCCCATTCGGTATGATATTGGCCGTGGGTTTGTCATAGATAGCTCTTATTATTTTGAGATACGTTTCATCAGTACCTAATTTATTGAGAGTTTTTAGCAAGAAGGGGTGTTGAATTTTGTCGACGGCCTTTTCTGCACCTATTAAGGTAATCATGTGGTTTTTGTAGTTGGTTCTGTTTATGTGATAGATTATGTTTATTTATTTGCATATGTTGAACCGGCCTTGCATCCCAGGGATGAAGCCAACTTGAGCATGGTGAATAAGCTTTTTGATGTGCTGCTGGATTCGGTTTGCCGGTATTTTACTGAGGATTTTTGCATCGATGTTCATCAGGGATATGGGTCTAAAACTCTCTTTTTTGTTGTGTCTCTGCCAGGCTTTGGTATCAGGATGATGCTGGCCTCATAAAATGAGTTAGGAATGATTCCTTCTTTTTCTATTGAGTGGAATAGTTTCAGAAGGAATGGTACCAGCTCCTCTTTGTACCTCTGGTAGAATTCAGCTGTGAATTCGTCTGGTCCTGGACTTTTTTTGGTTGGTAGGCTATTAATTATTGCCTCAATTTCAGAGTCTCTTATTGGTCTATTCAAAGATTCAACTTCTTCCTGGTTTAGTCTTGGGAGGGTGTGTGTGTCGTGGAATTTATCCATTTCTTCTAGATTTTCTAGTTTATTTGCCTAGAGGTGTTTACAGTATTCTCTGATGGTAGTTTGTATTTCTGTGGGGTCAGTGGTGATTCTTGTTTATCATTTTTTATTGTGTCTATATGATTCTTCTCTTTTCTTCTGTATTAGTCTTGCTAGCACTCTATCAATTTTGTTGATCTTTTCAAAAAACTAGCTCCTGGATTCATTGGTTTTTTGAAGGGTTTTTTTGTGTCTCTATCTCCTTCAGTTTGGCTCCGATCTTAGTTATTTCTTGCCTTCTGCTAGCTTTTGAATTTGTTTGCCCTTGCTTCTCTAGTTCTTTTAATGGTGATGTTAGGGTGTCAATTTTAGATCTTTCCTGCTTTCTCTTGTGGGCATTTAGTGCTGCAAACTTCCCTCTACACGCTGCTTTAAATGTGTCCCAGAGATTCTGATACGTTGTGTCTTTGTTCTCTTTGGTTTCAAAGAACATCTTTATTTCTGTCTTCATTTCTTTATTTACCCAGTAGTCATTCAGGAGCAGGTTGTTCAGTTTCCATGCAGTTGTGTGGTTTTGAGTGAGTTTATTCGTCCTGAGTTCGAATTTGATTGCACTGTGATCTGAGAGACAGTTTGTTGTGATTTCTATTATTTTACATTTGCTGAGGAGTGCTTTACTTCCAATTACATGGTTAATTTTAGAATAAGTGCAGTGTGGTGCTGAGAAGAATGTATATTCTGATGATTGATGATTTGGGGTGGAGAGTTCTGTAGATGTGTATTAGGTCTGCTTGGTGCAGAGCTGAGTTCAAGTCCTGGATATCCTTGTTAACCCTCTGTCTCATTGATCTGTCTAATGTTGACAGTGGGGTGTTAAAATCTCCCATTATTATTTTGTGGGAGTCTAAGTCTGTTTGTAGGTCTCTAAGGACTTGTTTTATGAATCTGGGTGCTCCTGTATTGGGTGCATATATATTTAGGATAATTAACTCTTCTTGTTGAATTGATACCTTTATCGTTATGCAATGGCCTTCTTTGTCTCTTTTGATCTCTGTTGGTTTAAAGTCTGTTTTATCAGAAACTAGGATTGCCACCCCTACTTTTTTCTTGCTTTCCATTTGCTTGGTAGATCTTCTTCCATCCCTTTATTTTGAAGCTATGTGTGTCTCTGCATGTGAGATGGGTCTCCTGATACAGCACACTGATGGGTCTTGACTCTTTATCCAATTTGTCAGTCTGTGTCTTTTAATTGGGGCATTTAGCCCATTTGCATTTAAGGTTAATATTGTTATGTGTGAATTTGATCCTGTCATTATGAAGTTAGCTGGTTATTTTGCCCATTAATTGATGCAGTTTCTTCATAGCATCAATGGTCTTTACTATTTGGCATGTTTTTGCAGTGGCTGGTACTGGTTGTTCCTTTACATGTTTAGTGCTTCCTTCAGGAGTTCTTGTAAGTCAGGCCTGGTGGTGACAAAATCTCTCAGCATTTGCTTGTCTGTAAAGGATTTTATTTCTCCTTCACTTATGAAGCTTAGTTTGACTGGATATGAGATTCTGAGTTGAAAATTCTTTTCTTTAAGAATGTTGAATATTGACCCCCACTCTCTTTTGGCTTGTAGGGTTTCTGCCAAGAGATCCGCTGTTAGTCTGATGGGCTTCCCTTTGTGGGTAACCCGACCTTCCTCTCTGGCTGCCCTTAACATTTTTTCCTTCATTCCAATCTTGATGAATCTGACAATAATGTGTCTTGGGGTTGCTCTTCTCAAGGAGTATCTTTGTGGTGTTCTCTGTATTTCCTGAATTTGAATGTGGGCCTGTCTTGCTAGGTTGGGGAAGTTCTCTTGGATAATATCCTGAAGAGTGTTTTTCAACTTGGTTCCATTCTCCCCGTCACTTTCAGGTACACCAATCAAACATAGTTTTGGTCTTTTCACATAGTCCCATGTTTCTTGGAGGCTTTGTTCATTTCTTTTTACTCTTTTTCCTCTAAACTTGTCTTCTCGTTTTATTTCATGAATTTGATCTTCAGTCATTGATATTCCTTCTTCCACTTGATCGAATCGGCTACTGAAGCTTGTGCATGCATCACGAAGTTCTCGTGCCATGGTTTTCAGCTCCATCAGGCCATTTAACGTCTTCTTTACACTGTTTATTCTAGTTAGCCATTCATCTAACATTTTGTCAAGGTTTTTAGCTTCCTTGTGATGGGTTAGAACATGCTCCTTTAGCTTGGAGGAGTTTGTTATTACGAACCTTCTGAAGCCTACTTCTGTCAACTCATCAAAGTCATTCTCCATTCAGCTTTGTTCCATTGCTGGTGAGGAGCTGTGATTCTTTTGAGGAGAAGCGGTGCTCTGGTTTTTAGAATTTTCAGCTCTTCTGCTCTGGTTTCTCCCCATCTTTGTGGTTTTATCTACCTTTGGTCTTTGATGTTGGTGACCTGCAGATGGGGTTTTGGTGTGGATGTCCTTTTTTTGATGTTGATGCTATTCCTTTCTAATTGTTAGTTTCCCTTCTAACAGTCAGGAACCTCAGCTGCAGGTCTGTTGGAGTTTGCTGGAGGTCCACTCCAGACCCTGTTTGCCTGGATATCAACAGCGGAGGCTGCAGAACAGCAAATATTGCAGAACAGGAAATATTGTTGCCTGGTCCTTCCTCTGGAAGCTTCATCCCAGAGGGGAAGCTGCCTATATGAGGTGTCTATCAGCCCCTACTGGGAGGTGTCTCCCAGTTAGGCTACATGGGGATCAAGGACCCACTTGAGGAGGCAGTCTGTCTGTTCTCAGAGCTCAAACATCATGCCAGGAGAACCACTGCTTTCTTCAGAGCTGTCAGGCAGGGACGTTTAAGTCTGCAGAAGTTTCTGCTGCCTTTTGTTCAGCTATGCCCTGCCCACAGAGGTGGAGTCTATAGAGGCAGTAGGCCTTGCTGAGCTGTGGTGTCCTCTGCCCAGTTCAAGCTTCCTGGCTACTTTGTTTACCTACTCAAGCCTCAGCAATGGCAGATGCCTCTCCCCCTGCCAGGCTGCCGCCTCGCAGGTAGATCTCAGACCTCGCAGGTCGATCTCAGACTAGCAGTGAGCAAGGCTCCGTTGGCATTGAACCTACAGAGCTAGGCATGGGAGAAAATCTCCTGGTCTGCCGGTTGCTAAGACTGTGAGAAAAGTGCAGTATTTGGGTGGAAGTGTCCTGTTTTTCCAGGTACAGTCTGTCATGGCTTCTCTTGGCTAGGAAAGGGAAATCCTCCAACCCCTTGTGCTTCCTGGGTAAGGCAACGCCCTGCCCTGCTTCAGCTCACCCACCATGGGCTGCACCCACTGTCCAACCAGTCCCAATTAGATGAACCAGGTACCTCAGTTGGAAATGCAGATATCACCCGTCTTCTGAGTTGATCACACTGGGAGCTGCAGACCAGAGCTGTTCCTATTCAGCCATCTTGGAATGGGATCAATGTTGGTGTTTTAACTCTTTTTTTTTTTAATTGAGATGGAGCCTTGCTCTGTTGCCTAGACTGGAGTGCAGTGGCGCTGGTGTGAACAGCTCACTACAACCTCCACCTTCTGGTTTCAAGCGATTCTCCTGCCTCAACCTCCCTAGTTGCTGGAATTACAGGTGCCTGCCATCATTTGCAGCTAATTTTTGTATTTTAAGTAGAGGTGGGGTTTTGCCATGTTGGCCAGGCAGATCTCAAACTCCTGACCTCAGGTGATCTGCCCACTTTGGCCTCCCCAAGTGCTGGGATTACTGGCTTGAGCCACCGCATCTGGTCTTAGCTCATATTTCATTGTGAAAATCATGCATGTTAATATATAGAGATTAAGTTTATTCATTTTCTAATGTTGTATACTATTTCACTCTATACATATACGAGAATTCATTTATCAGTTCTCTCGTTGATGCACACATACATGTTTTCCTGATTTTTACTCTTCCACTCAATGCTTAAGTGAAAATTCTTGTCATTTTTTTTTTTTTTTTTGCATGTGTCTGAGAATTCTAAAGGGCATATACTTAGGAATAAAATTTTTGGGTTATGAGTTATCTAAATAGGAAGAATACTGGAATAATCTAGATAATAAGTACCTGGATCATCTAGTAGATCTAGATAATGGGAAAGAACAAAAGATTAGTGAGAAATATTGGATAACAATTGAGTTTTCACAGTATGCGAGGAGAGATAAAGAAGTAAGATTTAAGAATGACACTGAGGTTATACGGCAGGGAATGGCTCAGAAAATGATGCTACCTCAGACAGAAATGAGAATGTATTGTAGGGGCAAAAAGGTTCCTCACCCATTGCAAGGGTCATACCTGATATTCCTGTAACAAAAAACAGGCTAGCAAGTGAATAGCATAACAAATTTATTTTACGAAGTTTTGTATGACATGGGAGCCTTCAGAAATGAAGACCCAAAGACCCAGGGAAAACTGTGTTTTGTCTGATGAAAGAAGAGGTTGGTTGTAGGGAAACACAATGCAAAAAAAAAAAAAAAAGTATTACCTAGTGATAATAAAACTGGGGTGAACTTAGCAAAGCCTGTTTGTTTAGATTTCTTTTGGCCTTTCTGTGTGGTATTCCTTTTCCCTGGGTATGGGGTAGGATCTTTCTGGAATGAGGGTCTTATGACCCACTTTCAGGGGAGATAGAGCAGAAAGTGACCTCTAGGTTTTGTGGCTTTCTTTGAGGGGAGTAGAATTGCAGTTTCTATGACCTGCCATGGGAAAGAGGAATTCTGGTTTCTATGTTTCACTTTGGAGGAGAGGCCAGGAGACAGAAGGGCAGGAGAAGGACAGAATGACCTTGCTTCTGAGACCCTCCATTGGTCTTCAGTTCATAGTACTCAGTATGTTAAGGCACCATACTTCAGGGTATTGTGTACTGAGCCCTGATATGATGGAAAAGTGCTTACCTGAGGAAATATATTTAAGGTATGTCTGTGGGGTGGTGATGGGAATTGCAATTTAGACAATTTAGAATTCCAGCAAATTATTTAATATTTTAAATGAAATCTTGAGAGAAACAAATAGTATCAGAGATGTAAATTATATACTGTTTGCATGGATGTTGTGGTTGAGACAATTTAAAATGAGGGGCCCTAAATAAGAGAAGGTTGGCAGAACAAGAAAAGGTCAAGAGAGCAGTGCCAGCAGAGTTCTGGGGCAGACGACATTATTGCCTACTATTATTCAAGTTGGTTTCCTTCTAGGAGAGTCCTCACCCATTGCCATGTGACTTTGTGTGCCTCCTGTGGGAGGAGTATGCTTCCCAGCCTCATAGATTTTGGGTTTGGATGCAGGATATACTTTGGCTAATTAAAGGCACGAGAGCAAAGGTGAGGAATGAAATAGCTAAACAGAAATGTGGGAGCTGCTTCTTTGCTTAGATCCCAGAGAAGAAGACACAAGGGCAGGGCCCCAGCTTTCAGCAGAGCTACAACCAACCCGCAGTCTAGTCAAGCAAATTTGCAAGTAGTTAAGAATTGAGTGGTTAAAGTTAACATTGATTATGGCCTAATTGCTTAAGAATTCTAGTGGTAAAACAAAGAAGTGAGAAGTGTGGTAGAAACCTCCAAAGCTCACCCATATCCAATTCTCTTCTTTTTCCCCAGAGAGAATCTTTGACCGTGGAGGTGCTTTTGCCAGTAAAATTTCTGCAAATGTGACATGTATCAGTGTTGGGCAGAGCTTGTGTGCAAATCTCCATCCTTCTCTTCCCCTCTTGTGCTAGCCATGGAGGATGTATGCATTAGATGTACAATTATAGTATGGTTGTATAAAGAATATAAAGGGTACTATTATACATCTAATGCATACATCCTCCCCTAGCCATGGAGGATGTATGCATTAGATGGGATTTTGAGTTGCCACATACAGATATTTGTTCTGGAGAGTCACCTGCCCTGTGGTACACCTAATATGAGCACTAAATGAAGCCTTGTTGTTTCCTCTGAGATGGTGATGTTATTGCAGCAAAGCCTAGCATATCTTGACCAGATGGCATGTTATGTTGAAGCATCAACATGATTCAGTGAAACTAAGATTGTTTGAGGATAAAAACAAAAACCCCTAAAGAAAAGGAAAAGATGTCAGAAGGGGTAAACAAATGAAGTAAGATAGCAGAAGAAAGGAGACGGGATAGAAAAGTAGATTAATAGGAAAAATGAAAGTCATCTCTTCCTCAAGGTTATGAGTGGATTCCCATGGTATAGGGCAATCTATTTATTTTGGTGAGGGTTGTGAATTTTCCTAAAGAGTTGAGCTAAGAAGATGAAAATTTTACCAAAAGGAACATTTTTACTTAAAAATAACAAAATTCTCATTGACGGTGAAGGAGAGTTTATTGCCCATGGAGCATATCACAGAAAAGGTGACATTGGCCTCAAGGACAATTGGATCCATGGTCTGTGATGTTGTCAGGGCCCTGTCTCTACCTCTGTGTCACTTCTCAGCTTTTCTCACATATTGAGTTTATTTTTTCTTAATATAGACAAGTTTTATTCCCCCATATGACAGGAAACATGGCTACTTGCAGCCCTGAACTCATTGCCCAGCAGTTCTGCCATCAGAGAGGAAAGACATGATTTCTGCTCCTTTAATCCAGAAATGTCCTGAAGCAGAAATCTGCATGGTTATGCATCTATCCCAGGCCAATCTCAGTTGCCAGACAGTTGGACAATGTAGGGGAAAAAGGATTTCTTACCTATTGCAGAAACCGTAATGCTCATGGCTAAGACTGGTGTAATAAAAGACAGATTAACAAGAGAAGAGCATGTACATTTATTTGTTGTACATGACATGGGAAACTTCAGAAAAGAAGACCCGAAGAAACAGAGAAAACTGGATTTTTATTAAAGGACAAAAGCGTTAGCTCTAGTGGTAATAAACTGGCAGGGATATAGCAAGGCCTGTCTGTTCAGTTTCTTCTTGGTGTCTCTGTGTCTTCAGAGATAAGGACTTTCCTTTCCTTCAGGTACAGGGTGGGCACCTGTCACAAGAGGGTCTTCAGGGGAGAAGGGAGGGAGAAAGTCAGAAAGTGACCTTTCTAGGTTTTATGGCCTGTTTCAGGAAAAAAGGGTGAGAGGACATTGAGAGTGGCCTTTCTGCTTCTACTGTTTTCTCAATATCCAGGGTGCCATATTTTGGGATAGAATTTTGTGCACCTCATCATTAATTTTATTGGCTCAGCTTGGTTCACATACTCATTTTAATGCTGAAGAGCACAAAATCTATTGCCAGAAGAGATGGAATAGGTCCTGGGCAAGGAAATACAATGATTGCTACAGGAATATTAAAGTAATCGGTGTAGTAGAGTTCTCTACATTTTGCAATACAGCTTGATTGCTGAATGGGTGGTCATCAATTCCACAGAAAGCCCCAAATTCTACATTTTGAAATATTTATTCAAATATCATATAATCAGAAACTTGGACTTCAGTTAACGAAATGGCAGAAACTTATTGACCAACAATGACAGGAAATAACAGGGATAATAGGGAAGAATGGCCAGTCAAGTACTTAATAGCATAGCTATCTTCATTTCTTAGCTAGAATAATGTTATCTATACGATATAATGTCAGAAACACTTGGCAAGGCCTTGTTGCAAAGTTTGTCCTCAAACAGCATCTTTCTGATGCCTTCATAAACTCTTTGAGGAAGTCACTGTAACCCCTTAAAATAACACAAATACCCTGAAGAGGCGAGATAGGACATAACATCTGTTGAATATCTACTGGACACATTATCAGTGTTATTGCTATTACTCCTGAGAGGTAAGTAATACATATGCTCATTTAGTAGATGAATCTGAAGATGAGAAGTTTCCTAACTTCCCCAAGTTTAAACAGAGTCCAAACCAAGTTTAGCTAATCTAGGATTGAAAACCAGGTCTGTCTGCGTACAAAATTCTTTCCAGCCTGTTTCCAGTTATTAACATTTTATTATGAACTAATTCATCAGGTTTTTTTTTTTTTTTTTTTTTTTTTTTTTTTTGAGACAGAGTTTCACTCTTGTTGCCCAGGCTGGAGTGCAATGGTGTGATCTCGGCTCACGGCAACGTCTGCCTCCAGTGTTCATGCCATTCTCCTGCCTCAGCCTCCTGAGTAGCTGAGATTACAGGCATATGCCACCACACCCAGCTAATTTTGTATTTTTAGCAGACAGGGTTTCTCCATGTTGGTCAGGTTGTTCTGGAACTCCTGACCTCAGGTCATCTGCCTGCCTCAGCCTCCCAAAGTGCTGGGATTACAGGTATGAGCCACCACCACACCTGGCCTCATCAGATATTTTAAAAGATTATGCAAACTTCTTTTGCAATAACTTAGGTAAACAAATATCAATCTTTCCCATGTGATTTCCCCTGGCCTTGGATCAGCTGAGACAAAATGTAAATGTGGGATTTTAAATGATACATGTTGCCAGGGAAAGGGATTCTAGGAAAAGAAGTGTAGATAATTTGTGCCTTACCATGCTAATGCTTGTGGCAGTTCTCAGTTAAGTGGTATCCAGGTGGGCTACTGATGCCAGCTGGGTTATTGTGAAGGAACAGTGGGGGTTAGAGAGAACCTGGGGCTACCTAAAGAAAAGTGAACCTCTGAGAAGCCAATTAAGAGGGGAGGACCTTTAGCTAGCCTATTAGGGGAGGCATTTAGTGAAAGAACCAAGAGGAGAGACAGCTCATCATAGAGATACTAAGGGAAACTCAGAGATTGGAGGCTGAGCTTAGTAGTGCCATATAGGAGGCTGCATCTCCAGGACAGAGAAAAATCTATTCAGATTTTCTCTGGGCAGATTCTGGGACGTACCAGCTAATGATGAAATTTGGGAACCTGGGAATAAATCTGAGATGGCACAGAAAGAAGAGATCTGGCGGCCCATAGAGGGAAGATTGTTGATTTCTTTGGTTCAAAAGGGATCTAAAGGAAACAGCCTGACTGAGCACAAAGTATAGTGTCCTTGAGTAGGAGCCTACTGCTGGGAAGAAAATGTCATGAAATAGAGAGGCTGGTTTGTGTTTAAATGAATGCCAAGATAAATTAGAAACATGACACCATCCACCTAAGGCATATAATCTTTATATGGTTAACACAGAGATCCTAACTCAATGCTGTAAACATAATTTATGCACCTGAGCTGATTATACTTTCGAACACTGCTGGGAAGGATGGAAGCTGTGAATCTCATAGTTGTTGTCTTCAGAGGAGTAATCTGCACACCATGACTTCAATATTTCTGCGATCCAAAATGCCAACAGAGCCATGTTGAGGAAAACCTCTGTTGAGTTTGTTATATAACAAATAAATTTTGCAGGGAGGAAAGTAGACAGATGTCTCTAGACCCTAGTTACTGCCCTGGGAGGGAATGCAGGCTTCCCTGACATCTTACAGAGAGGGACCCTGGTCAATCCGGTGCAATAGGAGGGTATTGTGTTGCCTGGATAGAAGGAGAGATGCAAAGAGAAAAACGAAATTTAAAAAGAGGGTTAAAGGACATAATTTTCTCCAGGGTTTGACTTGGTAAGAAGTTCCATAGGGTCAGCACAGGTCAGGTAGCTGTGAATATTTCCTTGGCCATGGCTGTAAGATGACTCTTCAAATACTATAGTTCATGTAAGACCCATCAGAGTAAAACCATGACTATTAAAATGAGGGGAAAGAACAGCATAAGTGAGGAAGAATTTAAAAGGAAAGAACAGGTACAGCACTGCCCAGGGTCAGACTATTTCCTCAGAGCAGACAAAGAAACTTATGCAAAATTTATGACGGACTTAGATCTAGGACAGTGCATGCTTTGAAACTCCAATCTATTTAAATGATGATAAATGTCACAGCTGTCCTCCTTTATGGAATGATTTGCCCAGTAGAAGAGAAAGATTTCAAACTGTCTTTTCCAAAGAGGGGATAAAAATCACTTAAAACTGGTCATTCAGACTGTCTCATGAGTCTTTTGAGCTGCAGGAAGTTATATTCCTTTAAAGAGAACCTACAAATAAATGATTATATAACTATAAATTAATGGTCCATTTAGTCCTGGTTTTGGTTATAATTAAAATAGGATATTCTCTTGTTATGCCAACCACAAAAGTTTAGTGGTAAACTCTCTATTTCTTTTTTCAATAACCCATCATTTAGTTGTCCCTTTGTTGTTTTAGTAAAATGACTTGGAACCCAGCAGTCATACCTTATTCTATTTCATATGGTACTGAAATTCGCAACTTGTGTAAAGAAATACAGTGCTTCAATTTTCTGGACACTCTCAAGAATGAAGATTCACACCCCTAGGATCTAGTGAGCAGCTAGATATTTCACCCTTCTACAAAGTTCAATATTGTATTTTTGCCCACTTGAGCTTCCTCCTTTAGACCGACTGCTGTTGGGGTGAAGGCAAAACAAAGAAGCACGTCTGAAAGATACCTCAGGAAGTGTTTTTCCCTGTTCAACTGTGGCTATTTATGTATTGCTCCTAGGTGGATGTAACTAGAAGATTTAGTTCTTTAGATTACATATGCATCATTCCAAGTGGTAAGAACAGACATGTTTTTACATAAAAAAGCAAAGAACAAAATAGTATGCATTTTAATACTGGCATTTGTATGAAACTTTTTATGTACACATATCTTTATGAATGCACAGACAGTCTCTGAAAACATATTCAAGGAACTTTTAAAGAGCTGTGCTATTAGGGAGGCCGACTGGTGGCTAGAGGAAAAGGCAGGGATAGGGAGAGATTTACTTTTCACCATGAACACTTTTATAACCTTTCAAGGTTGTGCCATGTGCTTGTATTGTCTATCAAAATGATAACCAACCAACAAGCAAGGAGAACAAAACAAAGTGGTGGGATTGACCTTTCTAGGACATTGGGGTTCTTATAGTTGGCTGATATAGAATTTGATTATTGAAGCCTTTGAAGTATTAATACTTCTTTCCTGCACTTTGTTGAGATTGGTGACCCATCACGTGCTTACTTGCTATTTTGTTCTCTTTATGTCTGAGGGCCATTGGGAAAGGAGTGCAGACTAAATTCTTCTTATAATACCCAAAGTCTGTAGATCAAGAGTTTTCTGTCAAACTACAAAGATGCTCACACCACAGAAACCCTATTAGCATGTAGGCATAAGTATAGAGTATGATTGATGCATGCTATACAGTGGCAGGGAATTTAACTTTTCCTCAGTTGACAGGATTTGGGATAATCCTAGTGAAGGAAAGGAAAAAGGAGCTTAAAAACATAAAACAAGAGTACAGATCTGGCAGGGGGCAGAGGCTTGAAGAAACCTAAGAGTTATAGGGCTGTATTTTTTAGACATATTTTGGTTACAAGTGGCGAAAATACTATTTGAATTATTCTGGGCAAAAAGTGAACTTTATTAGGATACTGAAGGGCATCCCCACATTCTGAGAAGGTAGGGGCACAATATTATTGAGAATCTCTCTCAAATCCTATCTCTTCTCTCAATTTCTCACTGCATTCCTGCTTTATTCTTTCAGATCTGCTTCATCGACATGGCAGGGAACGTGGCTGAACACAGAGGACTCATTTTTGCAGCTTCCCTACCAGAGAGAGAGAGACACCCTTTTTACCCGAGTTCTGAGTTGAAATATCCTAGAAGAGAACTCTGATTGGCCTGGCTTGGGTCACATGCCTGTCCTTGAGTTGATCAACTGTGATTAGTTATAAGTGTACTCATTAGTAACTTCCCCTGGAACCTTAGATTTGATGTGGGGTAAGACTTCCAAAAACAAACAAAAAAATAAAACAGAAGAATGCTATTTCTGGAGAAAAGAATCTGAAAAATAGATTAACAATATAAAGGCAGCACAAGTAGCAAAGAGTTAATAAGCTGTAATTTCAGGAGCACTCCCTTATTGTCTCATAATTCCTTGGACTACCTCCAATAGTTAAGAATCTTAGTAATAACACTCTGAAAAAGGCAACTTGTGAAACTCACTTGAGTTTAAATGACTGGTAGGCCATCTCTTTTCTGAGATCAGAACCTTTTGTTTGCAGAGGGAGAAAGAAATAGGATGGAGAAGGCAGACTTAGAGTGTCTGGAGGAAGTAGGATGCAGGAATTCTATGCCACTGCCACTCCTTTGTCGTTTCTTGGTACCAATTTCTCCCTGTCAAGCTGGTAGCGTTACTGAGGTATCAATACCACCAATAGGGCCATAGAGGTTGCATATCTCCATCACTCACATTATACCCTATAGATTTCTAGAATGTTTTACAACGTCATTGTGAATGGTGGCTTCTGGAGTTAAATAATGGGGCAGTCTACATTGATTATCAAATGTGCATACTTGCTTCATTTCAAAAGCTTTATTTTATTCTTATTATGTATATAATACATACATCTGTGGGGATTAGTCCTAAAATATCAAAATAAAAATATTCCATTAAATGACACTATATTTATTTCCCATACTTGAGTTGGCAAACTAAAGCCTATAGGCCAAATCTAGCCTGCTACCGGTTATTATAAATAATGTTTTATTGGAACATAGCCAACTCATTTTTTTTTTACCTATTGTCTACGGCTACTTTCATGCTACAATGACAGATATCGGTAGTTATGACAGAAACCATAGGGTTCACAAAACCTAAAATACTTATTATCTGGCCCTTTACAGGAAAATTTGCTAATCTGTGGACTGGAGCCTACACTAAATAGAAGTTTTTCATTGATCTGGGAAACACAACGCTTCACAGTATTAGTAATTTTATTACAAATGAAATTATCTGCAAGTAAACAAAAGGTGGCAATGATTCTGTTGGGATCATGAAAAATTAAAGATCATGGAAGGGTGCTGAGAGATTATGGAGCCCAGCTCTTGTCTTTACAAGTAGGGAGACTGAGGCCCAGGGAAACTAGTGACCTTGTTCAAAGTCACATATCAAGTCCAATTTAAGTCTTGACTGACGTTCTTCCATGACAATGTTTGAAATAGCTCCACATTCTCTTCTGTGTGTACTTTATCATTTTTAAAACTAATTTTCCTCCATTTTCAAGTTTTTAACTTGCACAAGTCCTCCAGTCAGTAGTATTGGTGTGTTCACCTTGATTTTAAGTATTTCATTACTGTGACTGTACCACAGTATCCATAATATGCTCATATTAATTATTCTCAACTTACCCACTCTTTCTGTTCTTTTTCTTAATAACTCCATATGCCCTTTCCCTATGTGATGAGTTCTTTATGAATGGCAGTTTCAGATTGGCTGCTGGGTATTCCCTGTACTTTTTCTTTATTGAGCCATCCCCTACCAGATGTTCTCACATTCCTCTTTTATTCCAGAAAGTCACCTTGGATGATGTTGATATCAGGAAGCCTGGGCTTTTGAGAGATAAAGTTCAGAATACAGTAATTAAGCAACATTGTCCAGTGATTATGTCTTTCCTGCACCAGCAACCTTGATGTGGGCATTCATTGTCTCCTCTCTCATGTCACCCAGCAAACACTAAGCTGAAATACATGGACTGAGTTTGTCCCCAGGTACCTGGCAATTTAGGATATCAGAGATTCTATATAAATCAGAAATGGAAAGGCTAGCAGTGGAGTATTTTGGCAGGACAGTGTGTCCTAGCACAGGAAAGGATGCAATAGTATGAGCAAGATATCTGTTCAGTTGCAAGCAAAAGGCTTTCAGGGAGTCACGTTAGCTTACAACATGAAATAATACAAAAGTAACAGTAGATCAGAAGTCTGGAGACCTAGATTTTGTGTAATTAATTTGCTGTGTGACCTTAGGTGAGCTGGTTAGTCTCTGTGGACCTAAGTTTCCTTATCTATAAAATGAGAAGGTTGAGCAACAATAAATTCAATGCACCTTCTACTTAGTGACTATATTTTCTGAGCCCCAAATTAGGACATATGCTCTGACAAGTGCAATTACACTTATGGGGACAATGAGACAGGAGATTTGAAATACGGATTATCCTAGAAAATGTGGAACATATGGCTGCTATATTTCCAGTTATAAAATTCTTTGAGATTTAAGGCCCTCTTATTGCTTTTGTGTATTTAAGAACTTTCTAAAATTTACGGGTTGTTAATGATGCTGGCCACAAATTCTATTAATTTTTATGTCTCATACTTTCTCAGCCTTTACATTGTCACTATATTCTTTACATTCCAAAGCAAATTCCTTTATGCTCTATTCACTCATTCAAAAAATACTTAAAATTCCTCTTATGTGCTCCACTAGGATTGCTGGATACAGTTATCCAAGTTGTTTCCCGCACTAGGTGTCCAGACCATAGGACTAGGAGAGGTAAAATGTGGTCCACACTCTGCCCACCAAGCCCAGGCCAAGTTCACCCTGAGGAAGTGGCATAACAACATCATATGTGCTAGTGGTCTTCCTATGTTAAGCATTGGACATATAATAGGGCTACAAGATAAACACAAACTCTACCTTCTTAAAAATAATAAATTAAGTGGGAAAAATAGATATTAAATAAATAATTACAGAAAATTGGTAAGTACTTAGTACTGAGAGGGATGAACAAATTATTAAGAGAACACATATGAAGGAACAAGTAATTCTTATCGAGCAGAAGGTGCAGGTGGGGAATGGAGAGAGGAAAAAATTTCAGGGGGAGTTATTATTTGGTATCTTCTTGGCATATCACTTGATCCCAAGAAGAAGGAGAACTGGTATAGATTAATTATGTTCAGGTATATTTATTAGAACAGGTTTTCTAGAGGATGGAGCTTTGGTTTCCAGTATAAAAAAATTAAACTTTTAGTAAGTTAAATAGCCCTATTTCTCTTCTTCCATAGGTCGTGGAGACAAGTCAGGGCCTGTGGCCTTCCTGCTTAAGAAAAGTGATCTTTTACCCCAATTCTCACTCTTCCTTTTCTCTTGGACTTTTAGAAAGACATTTAGAAATTAGAATGAAGTCTCACCAAAAAGTCCATTACTGTGTCCAGGGGAAATAATTGAGTTCAAGGCAGTCCTTCTCAAGTTAGCCAACACAGGGCTTCAGCTTGGGGTTCAAACTCAAAACCAAGTTATAAACTGTTCTTTTGCTTGGCCTTAATGTATGTAGTAATAGTTCCCTTAGCAACCGTGCAAAGTAATAGGTGACTAATAAGGGCAGAACTCTAGGGTTCAGGAACCTATCCTCAATATCATCCTGTTACTAATAATTACATTTAAGCTGAATTTTAAAGGACAAGGGATGAGTAGGAGTTTGCCTGGCAAACAAGTTGTGGAAGGGTATTATATGTGAAAGGAACAATATGTGCAATTACTTGAATTAGTAAATGATATTGCATATTTGGGAAACAGGAACAAAGGATGGGCTGAACAGCTAGATTGGGAATATAAAGAGACATGCTGCTCAACTAGAAAGTGTAGATTTTATCCTGTGGGCAATTGACAGAGCTAATGGAAGTTAGCAAGTGACAGAATGCCATCTTTACATCTCTTACAGTGTGATGGGCAGATTGGAATAGAGAAAAGACTGGAAACCAGTTAGAGGTAGAGGGTCTTGAACAGGGCAACAGAATGAGAATAGTGAGAAGAAACCTGATTCAAGAGACAGGACCTTTTGGACGTGACCAGGAGGAAGAGGAGGCAACATGGATGCTAGGATGCTTGCATGCTGATATCAACAATATTGTATGTTAGGGGTAAATTTGGTTGGTGAAAGTGGGGGTTGGGGATGAGGGATAATGGTTACATAAAAGGATTTAGAAATACTTCTGTGGGAGGTTGATTTGATTTTCTGAGGTAGAGCAGGGTGAGATTTGATGGACAATTGCTATTTGATGTAAAAACAAAGAACCATTCTGCTCTGCCTCTCAGTTCAACTGTTCCCATCTATTCCTCTAATGAAAACTGTATAAGCATGCATTTGTAGTGGAGAATTACTGCTAGGTGGACAGGGTCAGGGACTAGCACTGCAGAGAATGTATTGTAATCAGACCAACAAAGCTCTGTTACTAGAGACAATTTGCTAGGATGTGCAAATAGTTTACTCATTTAGATACTTAGTAACAGAGCTTGACCCAAAGCAGGGAAAGAGGTGTTAGACTAACAAAAATAAAAAATATGATAATAAGTGTATTGTTTCAGGCACTTGATGCACATTAATTTTATTTAATCCTTACAATAACACCATGAAGGGAATATTATTCTCCTTGTTTTATAGAGAAGGAAACTGGAACACAGAGATATAAAGTAACTTACCCAAGGACTATTATTACCATGTAGCAGAGGAATTAGAAAACCAGGTCTCCCTGGTTCCTTGCTCTCTTCAGCATGAGATACCTCCTCTTTAGCCTACTTAAGAGTGAAGACAATTAGCAGCATCATTTGCATTTAAATAATATATTTGCTAAGCACAACTGATTCTTATCTATTTGTTAATGAACTGCTGGATTCTATAAAACGTTTGTGGCTTCCAGGGCCTTTTTCTCTTCACTCTCTCCCCAGTTAGTTTTTTCTTTCACAAAGTCTAGGACACATTAAGGTGGTTTCAATTCTGGTGAAATCAATTTACCCATGGTAGGTATTTGTCAACTTTTCAGGCTCAACTCAAGATACACCTCTTGCTTTTTTGGCTGCTGAAATTTTAAAATCAATATCCTATTATTTAGGGTCATGCTTCATCTCATTGGCATATAGTTAGTAGGTGCTTAATAAATACTTGCAAGGAAGTAATGGGCTTTCAGCTCCTGGGCTTATGCAATTTTGCCCCAAAATGTATTCAAATGATCTCTCATCTTCTATGCTTTCTCCCCACTATTGCTGCTATATTCACCAATATCCAAAACTGAATATGAATAAAATCAATTATATTCATTTCTCTCTTAAACAGTCATCCTTTGTCGTCTCCCACCCTTGGTTACTGGTATCATCATTATCCTAGCCAATCTGTCTCATTTCCAATTCCTCGTCTTCTTCCTCAAGAGATTCTACCATAGATATATTGCTTGAATCAAATCCCTTCTTTCCACTGCCATCATACTTATTAAAAGAAGTCTCTATCGTCACTTGCTGAGGGATTGCAGTAGCTTCCTAGTTGGTCTTTCTTCATCCAATATATTCCCTCTTCAATAGATTTGGCACAAAGTTGGTTCTATCTTCCCCTGCTTAAAAATCTTGAATATTTGACTCCTATACATGATGTTCAAAGGCCTCCACAATATGGCACCTGCTGATCTTTCTAGTCTCACCTTGGTTGCCTCCTTTCACAACCTGCTCAACAGCCACACTAGCCACTCTTCTGCCCCCTTAATGTCCCCATCACTTTCCTACCTCTGAACCTGTGCTCATGCGTGCAGAGCTTTCTCCCTAGCACAAGAAGTCACAAGTGGGACATGCACGATTCTACTGTCCCACTTGGGTCCAAGGGAGAGACTGCTAATCAGTCACAGCATCACAGCACAGTACCCCAGCAGGCCTGGACTCAGCCTCGGACTCCTCAGACAGGGGATCCCAATTCTCTCATAATGAACAGAACCTGGCATTAAGTTTATCTGGCCCTTGTAGGGCTTTTACCTTTTACTAACTACCAAATCCAAACCATCTGTCAAGGTCCAGGTGAAATGACATCTCTGTCATGACAGCATCCCTATATTCCTGCTTAAATTAATTATGTTCCCCTGGATTTTCTCTTGACCTTTACTATATGGATTTTATTTGTTTGTTGTGTTTTTTGATTTGCATAGTAATTATTTATGTATAAATTGATCCTCTATTAGAATCTATGTGTCCTGAGGGTGAAGTTGATGTCAGATTTACATTTGAGTGTTCTACAGCTCTAACTACAGTTTATGGGATTAATGTTTGTCAAATGAAGCGGCTTCTCACACACTGTGCCTTTATTAAGGTAATACACAAGTGTGCTGTATTATCTGTACTATAATTTACTCTCCTTGAGAGCAGGGATCAAGCCTGTTCATCTGTGAATCACCCACAGCCCTGAGAACTTAGTAAGTTGTTATTGGTAGTTCTGTGAATAGCTTTCCTTATTTTCTGTCAATAATCATATTGTGTTCACTTAATATCCTTCAACTGGCAGATTTCTGTAAAATATTCTGTTTCTTGGGCTTATTACTTCTGATTGACCTTCTCTCCAAATTAGGGCAAACTATCAAGGATTTACTGAATTTTAAAACCTTGAAAGTAGCACCTCAGCAAAAAGTCAGCAGAGAGGAAAGCAGCAGCATGGTAGGGGTTGGAGAGAATGCAAAGGGGTGACTGTCTCAGAGGGGAGGGACATAAAAAGGAAAGAGAGAGATGAGGAAAGGAAAGGGCAAAGAGAAAGGCAACCCTGAAAGGAGGCAAGGAGACAGAGAGAAGGGGGAGGTGGGAAATATCGAATGAGAGGGGCAGACAGGAGAAGAAAACAAAACTGGAACTTGATAACATATGCCACTATTACAAACAAATTTGGCTGCTGAAAATAACTTCTATGAGGTTTAAAAAAATGTTGGTATAATTTTTTTTTCAGGTATGAGGATGATGAAATGGCAGTAAAAGCAATTTTATCGTTTTAACCTACAATAGAATATGAGTGAGAAAACGGAGAGATTTTAAAGAGAAATGAAAATGAAAAGGTCACAACAAGAGAGGAGAAAGAAAGAGTAAATAGCAGGAGGGGGCATGGAAAGCGAATGAATATATTGGGAAACGTAGGAGAGAGCAAGGGAAGGGAGCTGCCAGCAAGGAGACAATAAATTAACATGTTTGTTTGAATACAGGGGCTCCTTTGTGAAGCTGAGAGCTCACATCTGCCTTTGATCAGCCACATGGCAGCCTGGGATCAGATCAGAAAGCAAATGAGATGATAAAGTGGATGAAACCACAGTGAGTTTAATATCCAGGAGGGAGTGAGGGAGGCAGGGAACAAGGGAAGTAGAGAGGGCTGCCTCATCAGGCCAAGAGCCTGCCTGAGTTTTATGCCAAGTAGGGGAGGGCCTGGCAGTTGTCCCACTGCCCTCTGTGGCCTTCAGAAGTACAGCAAGGCAGTGGCATCAGTGTGGAGAATGCTTCAGGAAGACTCTTGGGCTCACATTTCCTGAAAGCAGACCTCGCTTTGCTGATGCAGCCCAGGAGCTGATGGTAGAGAATTTGCTTAGCTCCAGGGACTTTCTAAATTGGCATTTCTTTACCCCAAGACAGGCCGGAACAAAAGATGAAATCGTTATTTCAAAAGGATTTTTTTCTTTTCATATTTCCCTTCCCCTTTTTAGAGCACTTTTTTTTTTATTGCTGAATTGCCAAAAAGGCTGCTTAATATGTAAACATGACCATATTCTACTCATGAGTTTCTTTGCAGATTTCTAGATTGTTTGGAACAAGAGCCCTATAATCATAAAGCAACTGTTGGGAAGATTTCTTAACTATATTTAGGGCATTGGAGAGTGACAAAAGGATCCATAAACTTTGGTATACATAAATTATAAAAATAGCTAACATGTTTTGAGAGCCTAGCATGGGCCACGCACTGGCTTACATTATCTTATTTAACTCCTGAGGGAACTGGGGCTCAGAGATGTGGAATAACCTGCTCAAGGATATAGGGCTAGGAAGGGGTAGAAGCAGGATTACAGTCTAGATTTCCCCACTGTCTGCCAGCATTTCTGAGCATGATTCTATGGGTGAATTTTAAAAAAATTACTAGAAAAGAGTTGTGTTTGAGGTAGGTGACAGTTTAAGGCACTTAAATCTGAGAAAACGCACTAGCTCAAATTATTTCCTTTTTTTTTTGAGACGGAGTTTTGCTCTGTTACCCAGGCCGGAGTGCAGTGGCACGATCTTGGCTCACTGCAACCTCTGCCTCCCGGACTCAAGCGATTCTCCTGCCTCAGCCTCCTGAGTAGCTGGGACTGCAGGTGCACATCACCATGCCCGGCTAATTTTTTATATTTTTAGTAGAGATGGGGTTTCACCATGTTGGCCAGGCTGGTCTCCAACTCCTGATCTCAGGTGATCCACCCACCTTGGCCTCCCAAAGTGTTCAGATTACAGGTATGAGACACCGCTCCCAGCCCTCAAAGTATTTCTTCTTCCAAAGAGGATGCTTGTTGTTTGAACCATAGCATTACATTTAGTTGTATGCACAGTCTGGAGGTGAGGCTCACCATTTCATCTGATTTTCAAGTCAGCTGGGTGAAGAAAGTCAGGAGAGTTCAGTGTGCAGAGAGCCGCATCTTGGGAAATAGAAGGAAGCTCCAACAGAAATCATAGACACTGTTCCTATCTCAATGATTATTTAATTTAATGGGGGTATTTAAAGTGCACATGAATAAAAGATGTAAACGCACAGAGGAATCAAGATATAAGCACATTCAAATGAACATCAAAGAGAACTTCTCCTTCCTGCCCATTTCAAAGAGGTTAGAGTCTGGGGAGGAAGGCTGGGGAAGGGTACCTTTCCAAGCCTTTGCCACATTGCGGGAGTGGATACGTGTGCACATGTACCTTGAGGGAGAGGAGAGAATAGAAAAACAATAAATCTAATTAAGAAAACAAACATAAGAAAAGAGAGGGGAAAGTGTTTATCAATCATCTCCGTGTAAGAGCCACAGATTATTCCTCTGGAGGTTAAGTGTTGCACCTGATTTTAGTTTTAAGATCTGAAAGTCACAAAGAGTCAGGAGGATGGAAGCCAGGCACAGAGGGTAGGGGCACTCTGTAAGGTTCCATGCCAAATGGCTCCAAGGACAGCTCAGGATATCCTTCTGTGGGACATTAGTGATTAGTGCGTCCTACGCAAGAGATAGGAGAGACCATCTTTAGAGGAAGACAGTGAACTGGTAAAAGACAAACCCACTTATAGTCATAAAGCTTTATGATGGCGATGGAAAATAACTCTGTCCAACCTCATGTGATATCACTGTGCCATTCAATGACCAGAAATAAAATGAGACAAATCAATGAAACACTAGAGCAGCCTCTGTTCTAAGTAACATTTACTATATGAATTGTGAAAGGTAATAACATGAAATAAATAATGGAGATTGGGATGGGTAGGTGATTGCAGAGAACTCTCTGGATGTGAATTATGAAAGGGGTGTTAAAGGGAATCAGGAAAGGGAGTCTTGGAAGAAGGAAAATCCAGAGAGGCAATGATTACGGGAGAAGGAAGAGCCAGGTTGCACTTCATAGACAGTATTGCTTTAAGTAGAAAACCATGAGAAATGAGATTATCGAGGAAAGGGACTTTAGCCCACCATTCTTGGAAGCTCTAGCAGAACCGGAAACTCAGCAGTGAAGTTCCAAATGTAGTCATGGAGCAGGAATTGAGTCCTGGTTCTTAGAGGAAAATCAGAAATACAGGATACATGGAGTGAAGGGATGGGATAATTTTAGGGTCCAAATGCAAATAAAGGCTCATTAAGTAACTAGGCTTGAACATTCTTTTGTCGAATGAATATCTATTTTTCTCATTACTTTTTATGTAATAAAAAAGGAGAAATTGTGCTTAAAGAAAAAGCCAGGGTCTCGAGATATTATACATCCAATTATAATTTAAAATTGCACATGAAGGAAATGTGTTTTTTAAAATAAAAATGACAAACATTAGGCAAATATGTTGTTCTCATGTCAGTGAAGATATTTCTTTCCAACTTCCAGGGTGGACCAGTGTTGAAGGGTGTGAGTTCTGAAATTAGAAAGCCTAAGTCTAAATTCAGATTCCTTTTCTAATTGGCTGATGATTAGAAAGCTACTTTAAACCACTTTAAACCTACATACCTTATCTGTAACATGTAGATAGTAAATATGAACCTCATTGTATTATCGTGATAATTATATAAAATAATTCATTTGCTAGCATTGTTTCAGCCTATAGTAAAAGAATTAAAAGTATTAAGTATTTTTATCACTATTCTAATCTGGTATTGGCTTAACATGCAGGTCTCTTTAATTATTTTCTTGGATTCCATATTTAGATGTTTCATGAAAATATCTGAAGAAATGTTTTGTAAAGTTTGTCATATAATAATAAATATAAATTTGTGTTTGACTTACAATTTCTTAAAGAGCAATTTGTTTCAAAATGGGTTGCTAAATAAAAATACATACTTGAACACATTTACATTTTGTAATTCAGTGATCAACCATAGTTAAATATGTAACAGCCCCATATTTTAACCTACTAGAAATCAAATATTAATGAAGACCAAACCCTCTACCCCATCTAGTTAGGCCATGTTCCATATTTAAAAACTGCATACCTGATAACCTTATATATACACTTTTCAGAATAACCTTGAAAACACGGAAGCTTGAACTGAATGTGCTTTTCAAAATAAATGGACTCAAATGCAGGTGTTGGCATCTGTGTCACTCTGCTTTAGGGATCAACACACAGGCCGGTCAATTGATCCTCTACCATCTCTTATTTTTGATCCTTCTGCCATTATTTAAATCTGGCCAGAGCTCCTCTCCAGTTCTAAATCTTTACTCTCAGAAGCAAATTGCCCTTTCAGTACTTGGTCTATTGTATTATTTGTGACTGCTTTGGGACTTTTAGGGATAAAGTTTTTAATCCTTGTAGCATCACATGTTTGTTCTTTCGGAAAGATTTATTTTTTGCTTAAGTTTGTGGGTTTCCTGCTGATGTCAGGTTGAGCATTCATACATACATATTCAGCATTTTGTCCCTATTCGAGTTGGTACTAAGAGTCCTGGGTGTTTGCACTTTCCATTATGATGGCTATTGTGATCAGGATCACTGACATCAGCACATTATCACACTGATGTTTCATGGTCATTCATTCAGAATCAGGCATGTGCTATCGCTGTGGGAAAGACCCAGACACATAGGCTATAGTCCCTGTTTTAAAAGATACTCTAGCTTAACTGAAGAAATAGGACACATAAATGTCAAAATTTAAGTAACAGCCCAAGATATTAGAGGCATTTTGGGGCTGAGTTTGCAAGGCCCACATATGTGGAAAAATTCTTTCAGGCTTATCATTAGCAGAGCTGATACGGGATAGTAGTGTCAATTATGAAAGCTACATAACTGAGGCAGGATCAAGTGACTATAGTTTCTCTCCTTCTGACTGAGAAACATAAAGCCAGTCCTTTGGTGTGTGCATAGTATATTTCTGAGAATGTGTTTAGAGATCTGATGAGCAGAAGTACTGCATATTTCATGGTTGATCTTTGGTTCTCAGAGGGTTGCAAAATATTATAAAATTGTTAATTTTACCTTGTCTTCTAGGCATAATTTTCATTGAAATATTTTCAGCATTTTGTATAAAAAACCCACACACTTTTCTTCTTTCATTGGCTTTACTCTCCACTGATGATATTTAATCTAATAAGCATCCAATTGATATTAAAGAGACACTGCTTTCAACATATCTTATGATTTATATATTTGTCTCAGTATTTTAATTAATTTTATGAGAATAAAGATTACGTGTATTTTTGAATAAAGATTCAATATGTGTATTGAAAAAAGATTCAATATGTGTATTTCATATTTTCCATGCATTTTTGTAAATTGCACATTTTTAAACCCCTTTTCAGGTAACATCAGGAAGCATACTATGTAAGACAGATACAAAGGGGAGCTGCTGTATGGGTGAGTATGGGTTGGGGCTGCCTGGAACTCTGGTGCTAGGATGCCTTCTCTGTTCTTCACCTTAATGATGGCTCCCAAGAAACCCTAGATTTTTGTAGAATAGAGTACAAGTATTAGAATATGTCATTGCAGTTTTTTCCAAACTTTATTGTGTAGACATAGACATGACACTGCCAAAACAGGACTGTTAGTGGATAAGCATCACTTCTATGTTGATATTTTAAAATGCTTATTTCTCAACTAATTTAGAAAAGTCCATAATTAATATATAAAGAGGGTTAAAAACCAATATAAATTTTTAAAGTACATCTGGCCAACATAATTTTATTTTTTCCTATTAGAAAGTATCATTAGAATAGTATAAATTTCAGTAAGCACTGATCTGATCATCTCCATTTGCATATTACCTTACAGAAGGCCGGGTATGTTATGAGAGAAACAGAAATGCCATGCTTAGGTATCATTGATTGTCATTGCTCTGATTTTAATTGCTCTTTATTTCTATTTTCATTCTATTTGTGAGTATATTTTTTAGACTCATACTGGAACTTCTATGATTCTCTTAATCTCGGTTCTTTTTGGACTTTGCATGTGCTGAATCATGTTTATGCTAAGAAAAAGGGGTATAAAAATGTGCTATGTTTTGCAACAATATAGGCCTAAATGCTTATCAGAATTTCTCTTAGTGTTCATCGTGGAGAAGACAGTGTTATGTGTTACAAAACAGATAACATAAAATTGACCATCTTAAAGTAACAATTTAGTGATATTTAGTACATTCACAATGTTTTGCAACCACCACATCTATCTAGTGTCAAAACATTTTCAGCGCCCACAAAAGAAATCTTGTATTCATTAAGCAGTTGCTTCCCATATTCTTCTCCCTCTGTTCTCTGGTAACCACCAATCTGCTTTCTGTTTCTATGAATTTGCCTATTCGAGATATTTCATATACATGAAATTCTACAATGTGTGGTCTTTCATGACTGGCTCTTTTTACTTCAAATATTTTTGAGGTTCATCCATGTTGTAGCATGTATCGGTATTTCATTTCTTATAAATGAATAGTATTCTATTCTATGTATATGCCACAATTTGTTTATCTATTTGTCCATTGATGAACATTTGGGTTGTTTTCACTTTCTGGTCATTTTGAATAGTGCTGCTATGAATATGAGTATATATGTATTTGTTTGAGTATCAGTTTTCAGTTCTTCTGAATATGTACCTAGAAGTAGAATTGCTAGATCTATGCTAAATCTATGGTAATTTGAGAAACTGTCAAACTGTTTTCCATAGTGGCTGAAACATTTTACATTCCCACCAGCAGGGTACATGGTTCCCATATTCTCCACATCCTGGCCAACATTTAATTCCCATTAAAAAAGTTATAGCCATCATAGACGGTATAAAGTGATACTCACTTTTGTATTATCAGCTTAGCTTCTTTTGTGTTTCCCCAAAGTATTCTATACAATTTTTAAGCACATTTGTATTGATGTTTCTTCAAAATATGTACCAAGTAAATATTGTCATGCCTGTGAGTGGCCATCCTACAGAACAGAGCTAGCTAGGAAGGGATCAGAGATAGAAGTTCATCTAAACATGAGTGGTTTGGATGATCCTAAATGTTTAGGCAGGCAAGGAATCAAAGCAAGCAATATAGTAGAGGGTGTGGTAGGTAGAATTCTAAGATGTCCTCCAAGATTCCTTTTCACTGTTGTATGTGCCTTGTACAACCATCTTCCCTTGAGTGTGGATGGGAGCTGTGAATGTGATAAGATAGTCATTCCTGTGATTATATTACCTTGTAGACTACGTAGAAATTATCTATATAGTCTTCTTACTAGAGATAGAGATATATTCTGACTAGAGAGTCTCCTACTGGCTTTGAAGAAAGAAGCTGCCATGTTGTGGGAGGTCCACATGGGTAGGACCTGAAGGTGACCTCTAGGAGCTGAGAGCAACTCCCATCAGATGGTCAGCAAGAAAATGGAAACCACAGTCCTACACCACAAGGGACTGAATTCTGCTAACAATCTGAATAAGCTTGGCAGAGAACCCAGAGCTCCAAATGAGAGCTGAATCTGGCTGATACCTTGATTTAAACCTTATGAGACTCTGAGCAGAGAACCTATTTAAGCCCACCCAAATTTCACCTATAGACATATTGGGTACTATTTCAAACTGTTAAGTTTGTGCTAATTTGTTATACAACAATGGAAAATTAACACAAGGAGCTATCTAAAATACTTAATAATTAGAATAATGTGGGCACTGGCCTATCTCAACAGATGCTGGTCACAAGCAATGGTGACATAGCACTGTGACTAGCTATGTCACTAGTCACTAGGTGACTAGCTGTCACCCCAAGACTGATAACACAGGCTTCATCAGCAGAGCCCACCAGAGGAGAAAGCTCTGGCTAGGCTATCAGTTCACACACTGTGTTCACTTTGCTTCTGAATAAATCTAGCCTGGTGTGGCCCTCTTTGCAGGGGGATGGTCTGTATTTTGTCTAGCATAGTAAAGCAGGGCCTCTAGAAGCATGGTATGTATGTTTTTCAGGGCATGATATGAAATGTCCCCAGAGCCCTGCCACTTAATCTAATCTTTAACCTGAGCTTTATCTTCCCCAAACCTTGGAACACCTACAAACATAGTGGCAAAAATATTAGACTTAAATGTTTTGTCTCTCAACCATGTCCTGCTTTTAGAGTCATGTGACTGTAATAGAGCAAAACTGCCCAAATGATAGAACACAGGAAAGAACAACAACAAAAGTATTTGTAGATGTAGCTCACTTCACCGCTTACTCCTTGAGCTATGCTGTCTTCTGAATTGGGTTCTTGAGCTGTCTCTTTTCATCCACTTTTAAATCTTTGATCACTGTGATATATTTGAATAGTTTCCATTCAAATTATTTTCTTCTTGCTCGTGCTTAACATGGGAAGCTGTGTCTATACTTCCCACTTGCTCTAACACAGTGCCCATCAATTCTCAGAGTTCTTTGATGATAAAGAAAAATTTCCTCAGGCATAAAGATGAAAAAAAGGGCAAGTTCAGACTTCTCTAAAGTAACACTAAATACAAAGAAAGAGAAAAAAGAAAGAAAGAAAGAGAAAGAGAAAAGAAAGAAAAAAAATCTATGAGATTCTAAGAAAGAAAAGTGATTTATGATTTTTATAAATTTCAAGTGGTTGTTTATGTATGAAAGGACTAGGCAGATATCCCTAAACATGCAGGAACTTGAGGACTATATTATTATTTTGTAAAATGTAGTTGATGAAATAGAGCCAATTGAAATATAAATTTTTTTAAACTTAGAAATGGGAGAGTTATGGTGAGGGTATTGGTATGAATGCTAAATCCATACTAATACAAAACTAAGAGAAAACTGGCAAATATTTCAGAACAGAAGGCA
This sequence comes from Homo sapiens, assembly GCF_000001405.40. Taxonomy (NCBI): domain Eukaryota; kingdom Metazoa; phylum Chordata; class Mammalia; order Primates; family Hominidae; genus Homo; species Homo sapiens. The sequence continues at coordinate 118,493,198 of NC_000003.12, read as the reverse complement.
AATGATATATAACTTGATGTTATTAAAATAACATAATAAAATCTGGAGATGGGGCAGGATAGGTGTGTGGGTGGGAGTGCTAATTTCCTCATTTTTCAGAACAAGCAATCAATCACTATTGACTAAATTTGACACATTTAGTTAAAAAAGAACCATTATGACTCCAACTTCTTAATATTCCTCTAATTATTTCTTTCTTAAATTTATTTTATCTTTTTAGAAACAATATTTCCTATCTTAAGAATATTTATATAAAATCCAGCAGTTTTTCCTATATCTTTTTTAAGCTCATTTTAGAATACAAATGAAAAAGCAACATATTATGGTATGATACGATTTTTGTAAAATTATTTCTGCATTAATTTATCTATATATCTATCCCTCACCCATCTTTCCATTCACTCTTCTCTCTGTGTCTGAAATGAAGTTTACCTAATGTTAAAAATGATAGTTACTGGATGATACATTAAGTGTAAATCTTAAAATTCTTATCTGAACTGTGCTTAACTTCTTTAAAAGGTGTATATATCATTTTATGATAAATATTATTAATCTAAACAAAGAAGAAAAGGAAACTTACAAAGTGCTATCTCAGTTGTAATACAGCTATTTACTCAGTTAAAGGATACAACTTTACATAACATTCTAGAGTAGTCTTTACTTTTAAATCACAAATATTATTTTTTAAGGGACAGGAAATTAAGTTTAATTCCTATATTTGGCAAAAGAGAGAGACAATTTTGCTATGAAGGGCAAATCTATGATGCAAATGTTGTCCCTGCCCTTAGAATTTACTACATTCAATTTCTGTGATAGACACTCATACTTTAATGCGTGGGGATACAGAGTTCAGCTTATAGAGAACTTTGAAAGACTTCATAATTCACCTGCGTAACTGATGCAACAGTGCCTAAGATATTTTGGGCACTTCATGCATATTTGTTACTTGCAATTCAGAAAAATTAATGACTAGCATAAAGTCTTCCATATTTGAAACTGCAAACATGCCAGGAGTGGTGGCTCATGCCTGTAATCCCAGCACTTTGGGAGGCTGAGGCGGGCGGATCACTTGAGGCCAGCTGAAGACCAGCCTGGCCAACATGGCAAAACCCTGTCTCTACTAAAAATACAAGAATTAGCCAGATGTGGTGGTATGTGCCCGTAGTCCAGGCTACTTGGGAGGCTGAGTCAGGAGTATCACTTGAGCCTGGGAGGCAGAGGTTGCATTGAGCCCAGATTGTGCCACTGCACTCCAGCCCATAGAGCCAGACCTAGTCTCCAAAAAACAAAACAAACAAACAACAACAAAAAAGTAAACATATCAAATCGCCTCTTCTTCTCTCAAGTTAATATTCTTTCAGTTTTTATCTACGTTCATTCTATTCATGAATATACCTTGTGTTAGGCATCTACTGCTAAGTAGTAAATTGCCCCAAAATTTAGCAGCTTAAAATAATAGCATTTATTATCTCACACATTTTCTGAGAGTCAGGAATCTGGGAATGACTTTGCTGCATGGTTCTGCCTCAGCATCTTTCACGACATTGCAGTCAGGCTGTCTGCCATCCCTGCAGCCTCTGAAGGGGCTGTTGTGTCCACTCTGAGCTCACTCATGTGGCTGCTGTCAGCAGTCTTCAGTGCTGCCCCATATTAGTCTCTCTATGAAAAAGATCAAGAAATGGCTTTCCTCAGAATGAGTGATAAGAGGAAGAGTGGGGAAGAGAGAGAGAGAGAGAAAGACAGAGTATAGGCAAGTCAGAAAGTGCACCCAAGCCAGCAGCTGCAGTCTTTTTATAACCCAGTCTCAGATTTTTCCTCCATCACGTCATCTATATTCTGTTTGCTAAAAGTGAATCATTAAGTCCAGTCTATATTCAATAAGTGGATTAAGAATCACTTTTTAGAAACTTTTTTTTTTGTGGGTACATAGTAGGTGTATATATTTATGGCGTAATGAGATTGTTTGATACAGGCCTCCAAGATTCCTTATTTCAGTGTGAAATAAGCACATCATGGAGAATGGGATATCCATCCCCTCAAGCATTTATCCTTTGAGTTACAAACAATCCAATTATACTGTTTAAGTTACTTTAAAATATACAATTATGTTATTATTGACTATAGTCACCATATTGTGCTATCAAGTAGTACATCTTATTCACTCTTTCTATTTTTATGTGTGTGTGTGTGTGTGCCTGTTAGCCATCCCTACCTCCCCTCAGCTCCCTCACTGCCTTTCCCAGCCTATGGCAACCATCCTTCTACTCTCTATTTCCATAAGTTCAATTGTTTTGATTTTTAGATCCCACAAATAAGTGAGAACATGTGATGTTTGTCTTTCTGTGCCTGCCTTATTTCATTTAACCAGTTCAACCATGTTGTTGCAAATGACTGGATCTTATTCTTTTTTTATGGCTGAATAGTACCCTAACTCTATTTTGTGTATGTACCACATTTTCTTTATCCATTCATCTGTTGATGGATACTTAGGTTGCTTCTAAATCTTAGCTATTGTAAACAGTGCTGCAATAAACATAGGAGTATAGATATATTTTCAATATACTGATGTCCTTTCTTTTGCATATATATTCAGCAAAGGGGTTGCTGGATCATATGGTAGCTCAATTTTTAGTTTGTTGAGGACCCTCCAAACTGACTTCCATAGTGGTTGTACTAATTTACATTTCCACCAACAGTGTAAGGGTTCCTTTTTCTCCACATCCTCACCAGCATTTTTTATTGCCTGTCTTTTGATTATAAGCCAAGATTCACTTTTCAAAGGGAGGGATATCAGAGAATTTGTGGACATATCATTAAAATAACAATATTTGCCTAATCCTTCAAAACTTCTCCCTCAGTTTTTCATTTCTTTGTTTCTGTCCCTTCCTCTCTATGAAACTATTCTGGAAGATTCCTATTAATGTTCTTCTTAATTGTTCAAAGTCCTTTACCTACAATCATAATTTTTCATCTGTCTGAAGCACTAACTGCTTTCCAAATATTTGGCTCATCATTTCTAAGAGATTGCCAACTCCCTGAAAAAGTGGATAATTTCCTAAACAATGTTGTCTTCCAGACAGTATCTAGTAGAAAGAATGTTCTAAAACTCTTTAATATGAATAAATATGCCCAGTTGACCTTGAGAATACTCTTAGTTTATATTAGCTCTGTTCAAACATAAGTCAAATTATATCACATCTGTACTCAAATATGCAATGGTTCCCATCTCACTCAGAGTAAAAGCCAAAAAAGTTCTTACAGTGGCTCCAGAGTGAAACCATGCCCTAAAGAGTTAAATAAACCAATGAGTAACAGAAATTCCTGAGTTTGCAGGATGACTGATAAGAAAAACAAAACCAAAAAAAAAACCCAAAAACAAACAAACAAACAAAAACAACAACAAAAAAAACAGGGTCAGGATTTCAAGAGCAGCCTGGCCAACATGATGAAACCCCATCTCTACTAAAAATACAAAAAAAAGTAGCCAGGCATGGTAGCGGGCACCAGTAATCCCAGCTACTCGGGAGGCTGAGGCAGGAGAATCACTGGAGCCTGGGAGGCAGAGGTTTCAGTGAGCTGAGATCATGCCACTGCTCACCAGCCTGGGTGACAGAGCAAGACTCCATCTCAAAAGATAAACAAAACAAAACAAAAAAAAATAAAAAAAGAAAAGGAAAAAAAAAAACCAACTTGCTGAAACACTGAATCTCCCTCTGCTTATGAGATTAAAAAAACTGGCTGAAATCCTTTGGAACCAATGTGGCCTACTGGAGTCTGTGCAGAGCGAGCTTGCTGATGTCACAGCCCAAATTTACACCACGTTTTCTACTAACTCCCCCTGAATTTGCACATGCAACCCAGAAGTAGCATGAGGAGATAACTGCACGTGCCCAAGGCCTTTCCAGAGCTCTCCTTTCCTTCCACCAGTCACTTACTAATCTCAAAATCCACTCCCTGAACCTTTTCTAGTTAAAATATACTGCCTTGAAGCCAGCATAGGGAGATTTGAGCTTGGCTCCTATCTCCTTGAGAGTTGACTTTCAATACACAGTGTTTATTTTCTCAAAACCCGGTGTCATAGCATTGGCTTCTAGTGCATATGGCAGCAAGCTCCTTTTGCTCAATAACAAGAGGCCCTCTATTATCTGCACCCCACCCCCTCACCTCACACACCTTGTATCCGACTGCCTCACTCACTCTCAATTCCATTCATTCTGCATCTCCTGTTTATTCTTGAACACTTCAAACATTCTCTTGCTTCAGGGCTTTTGTAGAAGCTGTTTCCTCTGCCTAGGACACTCTCGCTATGTAGCCACTGACTCATTCCCTCCCTTGCTTTACATCTTTGCTCAAATGATATCTTCTCAATGAGATCCTCCTATACAGCATTTAAGATTGACCTTCCAATAGAATTGGGAGAAAATTGGAATGTCACTCTCCTTCTAGAGCCTATAAAATCTATGAGATTCTTTTTCAGAACAAAGCTTGCATTGTGACACTGACTGACACCCACGGCATAGGAGACATGTTGCAAACACTCTTAATAAAAGGCCTATCAAACAAACAACAAAAAAAGAATTGACCTTACCATTCCATTATTCTCTTCCTCCTTTCATCCTTTATTTTTCTATATAGCACTTATCACCAAAGAACATACTATATGTTTTACTTTTTAATTCTGCTTTTATGATTTCCTCACTGGAAGGTTACTCTCTGCTATATCCTCAGTGCCTGGAAGAGTGCCTAGCATGTGGTTAACATTCAATAAATATGCTCTGAATTAGTTAATTCGAGTTACAGACATAATTAAAGCTGCTTTTTAGTTGGCGAGGGCAACAGCTCCATGTCACCCAAGCCTGTTGCCATCCATCTAATCCCACAGGGGCTTTTGTCGGAGAGGGTGGAGACGCTTAGGTGGGTATGGGATGACTCCCACTCTCTTCCAGGAAGGAGTTCACCCCTCCCCACATAAACTTGTTTGTTAAAGAATAGAAGAGAATTCCAGAAAGATTAAAAGGTAGAACAAGAAGAGTAGGAAATCAGTAAGAAATATCACAGCTGGGAGCTTCAGAGAAAACGTACATAGGCTAAGGAGAGAGTGCAGAGCAATTTCTATTTCTATTTATGCACCATCATCTCTTTACTCACTGACAGATGCTGAGTGTTCCAGATCACCCCAATTAAACCAGAAGTTCCATGATCTCCCTTGGAAGTGGCTCCACATAAATTAGATTATACACAAATTCCCCAGAGCACGATTGTGCTTGAGCCTTGATGAGAATGTATGATTGCCTTGCTGTGCCCCACCTCAGACTAGGGAGGACTGAACCAGTACAGATAGGACTTGGTTTCCTCCTAAGGGGAAAAATGATGGGGAAATGGCCCTACATCTCTCCTTATTTGTGGGGTAATTGTGGCAGTGATGAGCAGGCTTTCAGAGGTTTCACCTGGGGAGGACTCCTGGGAATACGAGGCTCTGGTTGAGAACAGGAGGGGAGAAAAGGAATATTCAGCAAGGAAATGAATACGTAAGTATATAGACATGATTTGTAAGTGAAATGAGCTTTGAAAAATATCTGCTAGAAGGATTAGAACCTGTTTTTATGTTATTCGTTTCTCTGTATGACACAAACAACCATATTTGACATCAAGAGATCCTTTCAAGTGAGACTTTAGGGAAGAAATAGAAAAGAAATCAATCATTGAAAGCCTGAATTCTGAAGTACTTATTTAAAACTTTCTAAAGATTTTCAAAATTACTGTAAAAATTGACTACAAATTAGAGTTTTAAAAAAAACCCAAATGTGTTTTATTAAGTAATATCTATTTACTTACTTGTCTTTGGTCTGTAATTTTCCTTGTGCCCAGTCTAACCTATTCCCATCTCCTAGCTGACCAGGTTATTCTTACTGATTTCCTTCCCCTTGACACCTGTCTTGGAGGTCAAGCCTGGACCAATTAACTTGCATTTAATTATATTCAGGAACAGTAAAGAGTATAATTGTGAAGACTGTATTCCCGGCAGTCAGACAAATCTCCATCATCCCCAACTGTGTGACTCTGAGCAAGTCATTTTTGTCCCTCCGTTGCAGTGTCTCGTCTGTATAATGGGGGTAATAATGTTGCTTACCTTACAGTGGTGGAATTTCCTTGGTGAGGGAGATGGAATGGTGAGGCTTAAATGGCACAGTGTGCTTACCATGAGAATTTATGAAATCAATACAGTTCTGTGCAACTGAGGTCCAGGAAAGTTAAATGAAAAAAAATTTAATAGGGTCTTTGGCTCTTTATAAGCATTCAAGAATGTATTCTTTATCTTGAGGAATGTCACATTAGCCATCCAATTTTTATAAGCCTCAAAACTAGTCTCCTTTGACATGGCCTTTTCTTTTCACCACACCGTTTTAGCTAGACATCAAATTCTACTGAGTTTTTCTTCTCAATGTCTCTGAAATCTGTCGTTTCTTTCCCTTTCAGTTAGCATAGGGATCCCTCTGGTCTTGGCTGCTGTCACCTCTCACCTGCATTCTTCAGTAGCCACCCCCATGATTCCTGCACTCAGGCCCTCCTCCTGTCCTTTCTCTATATTAAAGGAACACAGATCTTTTTGATACTTAAGTTTGAATACATTGTTCTGATGAAAATTTTTCAATCACTTTCCATTGCTTTTAGAATAAAAAGTGAATTCCTTAATACGGTCTCCAAGGCCTTGTATCATCTACTGTCCAGCCACATCTCATATGGCTCTCCCCTTCCTTTGAGCACCAGCTACAAGGCGGCCTTTTCTTCCTTAAACCTGCTATGCTTCTGATGCAGGATTTCTGCATGTCATTTCACTGCTTGTATTGAACAGAACTTCTCAAAGCTCTGCTTGAGAAGTTGTTTAGTTTTGACTTCTCATATATCAGGGGCCCAAAGAGGAATATTTATCCTAGAATTTGGGGATAGTTACACCTTCAAATATTCTGCCCAGACATTCCCATTGAACTTTTATATTTGTCAGAATGAATGTCTCCTTCTTAGATGAGCATTACATTTTCACTAGAACCATGAAATCTTTAATCTGTTTGTTCTTACTCATCCCTTTGTCCAGAACTTTAATAGCCTCCTGGAAAGCCTTCCTGCCTCAATCTTTAAGCCTTTTCATGAATTTCTCCTAAAATCACTTAAAAACTGCGTAATTTGGGTCCTTCCATATCTTGCTCAAAGTTTTAAAGTAGCACACCATTTATCATCATTACAAATGCCAGCTCCTGACCACGTTTCATAATGAGGTATGCTATGCTTCATCTACTGCCCCTGTTCCTGCAGAGAAACAAGACTGCCAGCTTCCCCTCCTGACTCAGAACAGTCTTCATCGCCTTGAGTTTGGGTCATGCTATTCTTGGATTTTCATCTTCCCCTCGACGCCCACTCCTTCTTCATTAAAGAAAGTCCTCAAGTATCCACAAAAGAATTCTTTAAGCCCTTCTCCCAAAATAAATGTGGTCATTTTGAAAACAAACAAAAAATGGAAAAGCTCCTGGAAAAATGAATTAATCATAACAAAAATAAAATTTGACATGAGAAAGAAAATTTAAAAAGAGAAGATAATTTTGTTTAAATTAGCAAATAATACCATTTCTAATAAATGCAAATAAATTTAAAAATACAAATGTAATGAGCAATATCCAAAAATGTTAATTATCAAAATGGCCCAGGAGAAATCTGAGACCCTTTAAAGTAATTGGGAATTAAATTAATTAAAGAAATGTATTTTTAAAATTTGGGGTTTCCATGTTTATATACAGACCAATTTTTTCAAAGATTTAGTGAATAGCATTTAGAAAAAGATGTAACATTATTGACTTAATGTAGTAAAATTACTAAATTCACATACAAAAACCTCATAATGGCAGCAGAAATAAAATATATCGAAACCGAATTGCTATCTGTATTTTTGTCTTTAAATAAAATCTCATTTAAATAGAGAGATAAAACGTAAATAACCAAAGAGTAAATTGAATCCTATTATACTTTTAATATAATCAAAAAATACAATATGGAATTTATCGAGAGAATATAATGGTGAATTAATATTAAGAAATGTACTAATTAGGTCAAATGACCAAAAGAGAAAAATGGCTACTCATGAAATATTAAACAGGCTTCTGATTACATTCAACACTCATTCCATCACAACTCTTACAAAACATTGCTAAACATGATAAGACACAACATTATACAAGAATACCTCATTTTATTGCACTTTACATGATTATGCTTTACAGATACTGGATTTTTTACAAATTGAAGATTTGTGGCAACTCTGTTATAAGCAAGTGTATTGGCACCATTTTTCCAAACCAGCTGTGCTCACTTCATGTCTCTGTGTCAGCAATAAAGTATTTTTTAAATAAGGTATATATATTTTTTAAAAACAGGCTATTGTACACTTAATAGACTACAGTATAGACACAATTTTCATATGTACCAGAAAAACAAAAAATTTTTATGACTCACTTTATTGCTAGGTTAACTTTATTGTGATGATCTTGAACTAAACCTACAATATCTCCAAGGTATGCTTGTACTTAGTGGCAAAACAGTAGAAATAGTCCCACCTTTAATCAAGAATGAGATAAAGTTGTTTGCTGTGAAAGTTCTTTCCAATAAAACAAGATGATATCTAGGAACAAGAGACAAAACTATTGGAACAAAAATTACAATTAGAATTATTTTGCCTAATATTTGATTTTATTCTGAGGAAAAATATCAACTTACAAGAAGTTTTGCAAAGTGACTAGATAAAAATAGTTTTATAAAAACCAATACCTTTTCTGTAAACCAGCAATAGCCCACAAAAAGTTATAAGAGAAAAATAAATCCATTCACAACAGCAAATAAGAACAATACAGTGCCTGGGAATGAGCATAATAAAATCAGTAGACTATTATGGAATAAAATAACTATGAAACATAACATTTTTCTGGATGAGGGTGTCTTTATTTTGAAACAGTGAATCCTTCTCAAGATAATACATTGATTTAAAACAATATCTATAAAAATACCGTTGATTCGCGTTATTTGTGGTTGTTATGTTTTATAAATTTGCTGTGAACAATGAATTTACCAATCCTGAATCATCACTTCTAGGGGACATACAAGATTAGGATCCTAGGAGCCTCTGGTCACAATATTTTCATCAACCTGTGAAAAGAATTATATTTCCTCTCCTTCCTGAAAGTTTGATAATTTGAGTCTATAAAACAAACTGACAATAGACATACTAACAGAAAAGAAGGCACTAAAGTTTATTAATGTGCATTAAACACAGGAGCCATACACAAAGTATGAAGCTCAAAGAAGAGCCAGATGGTTAAACATCCACTTCATAGCAAAGAGTGAAATGGAGGACTGAAGACAATTTTAGAGGCATGGTAAATAATTTTAGGAGAGATGAATGCATTGATCAGGGAGACAGAAATTAGCTTGTAAATGATGATTCTCTTTGTAAATGAATGGGACTGGGGAATAAACAATAGTTTGGGATGAAGTTCCTTTGGGCTTGTAGGTGTGATGGTTAATTTTCAGATTCCTCCTCTGTGATATGAATTTTAGTTTTCTCTTGTTCATAAAAATTTAGGGAAGGGATTAGAGGCAATTGCGTCCTCTTTTGGTGGGAATGGTTCTTAGATAGGTAAGGGAATTTCAGACAATATGCTGTGGTTTGGGAGAGACATTGTTGAGAGACAGGATCAGGGAAGGTCAAGCTTCTTTTGTTCAGCATATGTAAGCACTATATTTTAAGGTATTGTTTTCAGAGCCCCAACAAACCAATCAGTACATGACTTTATTTTGTGTTTCTGTTTAAAGACATCTTATTTAGCATATATTGTTGATTAATTCACATTGAACACATGACCAACAGTGATATAACTCAAGCCTGAGGGAAGTTTATCTAACACAACTGTTTTCTCCGTATGGCACATCACAGCCTTATGCACTAAGGAACATTAGACAGCACTTCAGCACTATACTTGGGGCCATTTTAAACAGTAATATCCACAAGAAGCACAGAAATGTGAAAAAAAAAGGCACTAAATTAAGACCAAAAAGGACACTTGTTTATAGTATGAGAATTGAAGCAAGAAAACATTGCATCACCTAATTCAATATGCATTTGGGGTGGCAAACTTTTTGCTGCTCTGCTCAGGTTTGTAAATGACAAAGAAAGCTCCATAAATATTGATTTGGGGTCACAAATGTATTTTAGAGAATAGGCAAATTTGCAAATATAGAATTGCAGGTAATGAGTATCAGTTGTATTTATTAATTTTTCTTTTTGTAGAAAGACATAACAGAGTAATTTTAAAATTCATCTGGAAAACAAACTGGAGGGAATACAGCTAAGAAAAGTAGGAAGATGGAGAGGGGGATTTGTCTCCTACTGGACGTTAAAATTGATTTTACAGCTAGAGCAATTTATATCCTTTGATGTAAATATCTCCAGACAGATCCATAAAACTTATAATCTTGGGATAAATTCTAGCATATTCAAAAACTTATTATTTGTCAAATAATGCATTATAAAATAATGAGGAAGCTATGTGTGAGTCAGGAATAGTTATTTTAACTTTGTTTGAAAGACTAATTTATTTTTTCTCTTATTTACATAAAAATAATGTTCACATGAATTTAAAAAGCAAATATAGAAATGTAGCAACAACAACAAAAACAGAAGAAAATATAGGTGAATAGTTAACAGACATTCGGGCAAAAAAACTATTTTCTTAGATAAAAGCCATGGAAGAGAAATGCCAAAAAAAATTAAAGGATTCTGATAGGTGTATGAAAAGATGAATAAAAATAGTACTTTTGTTTATACAAAAATGCAATTTAAAACAAATATCAAGATGAGAAAAAATGCTATAGCTATTGTAACAGACACTGTTGTAGCCTTAATGTGAAAAGAGCTTTTAAAAATAAATAACAGCATTGATATTCCAGTGGAAAAGAGAATCAAGGGATTTCGAACTCATGGAATAACTGAAATTGAAAAAGTGACAAAGTGTTTAATTCTACTACTAAGTACACAAACAAAGTTGAACAAAAGGATGACATTATTTACTTTCAAAATAATAAGAATAAGGAGGACAATACAGAATGTTGATGAGAGCATCAGAAGCAACAATGCCTAATCAATTAGAGATAGAACTCTGGAGCTGGTCTGCCTGACTTCAAATCTTGACACTATTATTTACTACTGTGTGGTCTTAGACAAACTACTCTGTGCCTCAGAATCTTCAGCAATAAATGGGGTTAGTAATACAGTATACTTACTTTATAGGGGAGAGTTAAATGAGTTAATCCATGTAATGAACTTAGAACAGGATCTGGGGGCACAGTCAATATGCTTTGAATATTAGCTATTTCCAAGAGGACATTCGGTTGGGAGCATAGGTTAGTAACTTTTCTCGAAAACAATTTATCAATTTGCATCAAGAGCCTTTGAAATGCTCATACCTTTCAACGTAGTGATTCTGCTTCTTAGAAGCTATTTACTCAAACTAATGAGAAATGTTGGCAAACATGTATACAATAGATGGTCCTTGTTATTATTTACAAATGTGAATAATTGGAAACAATTCAAATACCCCCCAAATTAAAAGACTGTATGATAGAATTCATAAATTGATAAATTAAGGTTTATTAAAAAGACAGACTATCCAGCCATTAGAAACGTTTTCCAAGAATATTTAATGACATAAGCTCATTCTCACCACTTTTAAGTAAACAGAGCACAATGCAGAGTGGCATATGCTATATAATTCTGATTTCTCTGAAGACTTTGTAAAGTTGTTCTGGCATAACATTTGCTTGCTAGCATGCATCACAAACTGCATGTATTTGATTTATTGTCTAATTCTCCCAATAGAATATTATTAACTCCAGGAAGATATTCACCATATGTATTATGTTCACTAGATGTCTTCATTTTACATTGAGCAGAACAGTGCTTATTGCATAGTAGATACTCAATGAATAATTGTTAAGTAAATGAATGAATGAATAAATAGATAGTTTTGTCCATACATTAGATAGAATCATTAAAAGATATAGAAATAACTGAAATAATAACAGAGGTGGTTTTTATATTTATGTGAAATGTTTGAATATTCTCCAGTAAGTCCAAATTATATCTACATGAAAAAAATAATTATTAACCACACATGGACAATTATCTTTCTTTAGTATGTATCTTTCCCAACCACAGTTGGTTTAAAATTTTCTGTATTTTCCAGTTTTCTGTGCATGTGTCATGTTTCATATTGTCCTTTTTATTTTAGGCTTACACTGTCATTTTGATTCAAGGAAAGTTAGACCAGCCGTGTATACTATTTATTTTAGATACTGAACACATTCCTCCTTGATTAAATAAGAGACAGTTCTGACTGAATGTATTTGTTTTAACTAACCAAAGTTAAAGGGCTGTTGGATGCACCAACCCACCACATCCTAATCTTTCTTACTCTATTTCATGGGGCTCAACACCTGCAAACCACAAATCCTCAAAGTGTAGGTCATCATCTGGCTGTGGCTGCTCATTTTTGCCACTTCCTCTTTTTAAAAGAACCAATCACGCCAAAGAAAAATATCTATATATGATTTTCCCCTATTTGAAAAAAAAAATTGGAAATTAGAATTAGCTAAATTCCGAAGTAGGTGAAAAATGGAGTAATGGTTTGGAAAGGTTAGTGTGGGGGGAGCCACCCTCCTATTCACAATGGGAAATATCCATAACAAGGCCATTTAGCCAATACATATTTTCCTCTTTAGAACATAAGGGGTAACCTGAATAAAATGTTTGAATTACAAAGCAGCCTAATCCTGCGCATTCTCTGAGCAATGACTGCTATTTGTGTCAAGAAAATAAAGAGGCAGAGAAAATGAGAGAGAGGGAATGGGAGGGAGGGTGAGAGCACATGTAAGTTATCTTTCTTGCAGGAAACAGGGAAACACTAGAAATTAGATTTTTTTAAATTAAAAAGTTAGTGTTTTATATCTTTGGTAAGATCATTACTCACAGAAAAATCCCAGACATTTCTATGGTTTTTATAGGATTTTTTTTGCCTCTTTTCTAAAGGCAGAAAACGAACTCCAGTACCCACCATACCTGTAACCCCTTCCTGCCTTCAGCCTCCTTCCCCAAAATAGAGCATGTGGTATCGCTAATGTGCAGATTAATGGTACAGCTGGAAAGGCATTTATGGTCCATTTTCTTCCGATATTATTAAAACTGCTCCATCACCGCCTGTAACGGGGGCGTCCGTATTTTCTCTCGCCTGTATCCCTGACATGACATAATGCCTGCCCTCACCAGTATGCTATAGCATAGAGGTAATTGAAACATAACTCACCCTAAATTACAGGCAATGTTTAGGCAAGGCCCCAGTGAGCTTCCTAAGGCTCATTACAAGTATAAGCTAAATATTTCTTTAAGGGGGTGGGAGGAAGAGAGAGGAAGAGGGAGGGAGGGAAGGGGGGAAGAGAGAGAGAAAGAACACTTAAGAGTAACTGAGGATGAGGCAGGTTTCTAAAAAGGGAGATTTTTCTTTCCCCCTATTGTTTTAGGTGAGCCCCTATTCGACTCAGATCAGTAGCAACCTGTTATCATTATTAGTTGAATGGCTATTTCCTAGACTACTTGAAATTGTGGGTTTGCATTCAATTCCTAGGAAACTTGAGTTCACACAATTATATTTTCTGGTCTAATTGTTACTGGAAAGGGGTCCCAATCTAGATCCCAAGAGAGGGTTCTTGGATCTTGGGCAAGAAATAATTCAAGGTGAATCCATAGAGTAAAGTGAAAGCAAAATTATTAAGAAAGTAAAGGAATAAAAAATGGCTACTCCATAGGCACAGCAGCCCTGAGGGCTGCTGGTTGGCTATTTTCATGGTTATTTCTTGATTACATGCTAAACAAGGGGTGGATTATTCACGAGTTTTTTCGGAAATGGGTGGGCAATTCCCTGAAGAGGGTTCCTCTTCCTTTTAGACCATATAAGGTAACTTCCCAATGTTGCCATGGCATTTGTAAACTGCTATGGCGCTGGTGTGAGTGTCTTTTAGCATGCTAATGCGTTATAATTAGTGCACAATGAGCAGTGAGGACAATCAGAAGTTGCTTTCATCACCACCTTGGTTTTGGTGGGTTTTGGCTGGCTTCTTTACCACAACTAGTTTTATCAGCAAGGTCTTTGTGACTTGTATCTTGTGCGGACCTATGCCCTCCTGTGACTTAGAATGCCTCACCTCCTGGGAATGCAGCCCAGTAGGCCTGAGTCTCATTTTACCCCGCTCCTATTCAAGGTGGAGTTGCTCTGGTTCAAACACCTCTGAGACAATAACTCGTGAGTTAGCAGTATTTACTCCTGGAAAGGGTAATAAAAAATAAAGTAGTGGCTGACTTCCTAATGTTGTAGGACTTTCTCCTTAGTTCGGCTAAAAGCCAGGTTCTTGTCACATGGTCATGAGAGACTAGGTTCACAGACACTTTGAAGGATGAGAAAAATGGAATTTATTGGGTGAAAAGGGAAAAAAGGGAAACAGGGACTCTCAGCAAAGTGATAGTCCTGCTAGCCAGTTTCCTGCCTCCCAGACTGAATCCCAGGTACCACCCAGGAAGAGAAGGGACGAGGCTCCACCTCAGTGCACATTCCTCTCAGTGCGCAGATCTGTTGGAGGTTCTGCCAGGGATCCGTTCCCATCTGGTGTCTCACTCAGACTGAAAGGTACAGTGGGAAAGATAGAGTGTTCTCTATAATTCTTTCAGTTATCAAAACCTGAAATTTCAGCCATTGTCTTGAGATTGTGTATTTGGAGTAAAGAAGTCAACACACCTAATTTTGCATCAGCTACTTATTAGAAACATGGTTTACACCAATCTCATTAGGAAAAAGGGAATGATAGTGTTCTTTGAATGAAAAGTTCATCTGCCTACAAATCGAATGGCTTTCATTTGACTGCGTTTCATTTTCCCTTTCTCACATGAAAGGGTCCCTGTGACTCTCACACATTTGTCCTTCCTCTCAAATTTTTCCCTCCAATGTTACTTTTAGGTAGCCATCTGATTCCCCTTAGTTGAGCTGCTGTCTTACCCCTGAAGCCCTAGAAGCTTATATCCAGTGCCACAAGCCTCCCCCAGGCCATGTGGAAGCCTGGCTTCTCCATGCTGGTCCTAGTCCCAGCACTCCTTGTGGAGGGAAATGAGCAGTGTTGGGTAAGGGGAAGAGGACAGCAGAGTGCAGTCCTTACACGTGCTTCTGGAGTCTGGTCAGTGGGTTCTGCCCTCTGCACTTTTATAGCACTTTATAAGTACAACTTGTATTTATATCATATATAAATACAACATGGAGTGTCCTAAGGAACAACGCCAGTGTATTTCTCTCCCCCTGAGACAGCCAGTATATTCTAAGTGGTAAACACTTTGAGCAGCATAAGCACAAAGGTAATGTAATTGGTTATTGTCCCTGCTCTCACCCAAGGGCTCAAACTGGCTTTAAAGAAAAACAAACAAACTGATTTCAGTGTTCTCCATCAGCTTCCTGCCACTGTCCCTAGTTGCTGTGGCTGTCTTTCTCAAAATTACAGAATGGCAGTGCCTTCACTTGAGAACTCAAGATTACCTTTCACTTTCCCCATATCAGGACTGAAAAAGATTCAGAGAATCATGTAGTAGTGTTCATGACACTTAAGAGATGATGTATTCCAGTCCTCATATTTCACTCATGGTTGATCAGAGGGGAAAAAGGACCTATTCAAAGACACACAGTTAATTAGGGGCATAAGTGTGCATAGAAATAATTAGTGGTATAAGTGTAAGCAGAAAGCAGATTCTTCTTTCTCAGTTCTATGTTCTTTCTGCTATATACCAAACTACATTTTTTTGTAGTTTGATTCTACATACTGTCCTTAAAGGGTAGAATTTTAGTGACTATGAAATTGAAGTTGGTCTATTGTCACATCCATAAAGGAGTGTTAATGATTAGCTTAATGTGTTACCATCTTTTAAGAATTTGCCTAAGCACAATATGGAAGAATGAATTTCTAAAGATAGAGTGTAATACATACTTAGAGTGAAAGAACTTTTGGGTAGCCGTAATTGAAATTAGATCACATAGTCAACCACCTACTTCCCTTGGGTTTTAATGTTGGGCTTATTGTGTGTATTGGCTGATTGATATGGATTTCTGTCATAAGATTTACACCATTAGTGTTGGAAGGAACCAGAGAGTTCATCTAGTCTAGACGCCACTTTTTATGACTGCATTACCCAAGGTTACACAGCTTGTTATTTGCAGAGCCAGAACTTTTACTCATGAGGGCTGACTCTTTGCACAGTTCTTGAATTCCCTGAGTCTAGGGATAAAGTGATTTGAAAACAAGGATGTATACCAAAATACTTGGATCACCTGGGATACTTTTTAAAAATATATATACTTGTGTATATTTATTCTTCAGCTCTGCTTCTGATTCTATAGGCCTAAGAGAGATATCCAGCAATTATACTTAAAGAATACAGTATAATTTACAGATAGTAAATACATAAATCCTAAGTGTAAATGTCATGATTTTTATGCACACACATGAGCATATATAAACATATACATCCACACATCTGTGTGACCTGTGTGCCAAAGTAAAAATAAATTAAGATATCCAGATTCTGGAAAACTCATGTTATCCTTTTCAGTCAGTAAACCCCCTTCCTCCAAGGATAACCACACTTACCTCTTTCCCCATAGATTATTTTGCCTGTTTTTGAAATTTATATAAATGGATTTATATAATGAATACTCTTTTGTGTTTGATTTCTTCCACTCAATGTTATATCTGTGAAATTTGACCATGTTTTATTTTTCAGTGGTTGTTCTTTTGCATTGCTACGTAGTATTCTGTTGTGTGAATGTATCATTTATTTATCCATTCTACTGTTGATGAACACCTGGGTTATGTATAGTTTTTAGTTTTTATGAATAAAGGTGCTATGAGCATCCTTATCTATGTTTTTTTGGATATATAAAGCATTTATATCTGCTTGGTATATATTCATGAGTGGAATTGCTATGTCATTCATTAGGATATAGGGATGTTTATCTTTCAAAGTTACTGAGATATAGTTTTTCAAAGTGATCTCACATTTAACACTCCCACTAGCAATTTAAGGGAGTCCTTGTGTTGTTCTACAATATTGCCAAACCTTGGTATTGTCAGACCTTTAAATTTTTGTCATTTGGGTAAGTGTATAGTGACTTTAACTTGCTTTCCTCTGGTGACTAAAGTTGAGCACTTTATAAAATGTTTATTTTCTGAATCAAACTTTTTAAAATAAATGTATTGCCGGGCACAGTGACTCACACTTGTGATCCCAGCACTTTGGGAGGCCGAGGCGGGTGGATCACGAGGTCAGGAGATGGAGACCATTCTGGCCAACGTGGTAAAACTCTGTCTCTACTAAAAAACAAAAATTAGCTGGGTGTGGTGGCATGCACCTGTAGTCCCAGCTACTCAGGAGGCTTAGGCAGGAGAATCACTTCAACCTGGGAGGCAGAGGTTGCCATGAGCCAAGATCGCGCCACTGCCCTCCAGCATGGGTGACAGAGCAAGATTCCGTCTTAAAATAAATAAATAAATAAATAAATAAATACATAAATAAAATAAATGTATTGATGATTTTTTTCAGTCTTTAGCTTATCTTTTTACTCTCTTCATGGTGACTTTTGATTAAAAGATCTTAATTTTAGTAAAGTCCAATCTGTTATTTTTTTATTTAAGGGTCAGTAATTTTTGAATCTTATTTAAAAAAATCTGCCTAGCCAATGGTAATGATAATAGTTTACTGTATTTTATTCTAGAATCTTGATTCTTTTTAGCTTTCTTATTTAAGTCCATGTTACATCTAAAAATATTCTTGAGTGTTTGTATAGCAGAACCTACAACTTTTAAAAGCTCTCCAATAAATTTTAATGGTCATTCCTGGTTGAGAATCATTGGAAGTAAAAATATTTAGATTCAGATTTGGGATCAAATCTCATTTATGTTATTTATTAGCTTAATCATATTTTCCAAATCCCTTTTCTCATATTAAAAACATCAAGAATAGTAGTATCTATATCCTAGGGTTTTTTGGCGTATGACCTGTGATAATTACTTAAAGAGACTGACATATATTAGAAGCTCATTAAATCATAGCTATTTTGATTTCATTTAAGTCCATTGCAAGCATGGGATATGCTAAGTTCATTGATGATGAAATGCAAGTATTATGATTATTTATTTAGGTTGTAGTTTGTTTGCTTTTATGTTCATTAGCTGACATACACACATAGGTCATTCATAGTAGATAGTAGATTATTTTAAAAGGTCAACTTAGGTAAGCTTTTTAGAGGTACGATGGCCACTTTTAGACTAACAGCTTACAGAATTCAAATAAAGAAACTGGGAACTCATGGCAGCATGAAGGGCAATGAGAAAGAAACCCACAGCATTTCAACTGAGAACATGTCTATCATTCTAAAATTCAAATGAGAAGAATTCAAAGTAAAGAGAAAAGTATTCTGGATCCAAGAGGTGATGAATCCTACTTTTCCTTTTTGGGAAAATGCACACAAATGTCTGGATGACTCAATGCTCAGTATTTTGCAGGCACTTTGCTGTGCCCCACAGGGGGAGTATCACAGCCATGTGCTGCTAAATACACTCACCCTACCCTTTTGAGAAGACATTTAAATGTCTCTTTACATTTTGCACCAAACTTAATTTTGCTGACAGGGTTGAGGCAGACAGGTGGATTTGTGTGCATGCCTTTATCTTATCTGGTTCTTGGAGTTTCCCAAATTTAGATCAAAGTACCTACAATATTGGGTTTGAAGAGATAGGAACACATTAATGACGAATCACAAGCAAGACCTGTGTATGCCCAACATATTCCTAACTCCCCCATGGAACAGTTAATTCTGTTGGTCAGAGTTTAAGATAGTTGATCGGGTTCCTCTGAAAACAGACCTTGAGACAAAGATAGATTTTTGTAGTTTATTTGGGAAGTAATCCGCAGTAGCATACGTGTGGGAGGGGAAAAGCCAGACAAAGAAAGATGAAATGCCAATAAAGTACACATTTAGTTACTGGGACGTTATGGGCTGAATTATGTAAATGAGGTCAAAGAGCTGGGCCCTAATATGATATGACTGATGTCCTTATAAGAAGAGGAGATTAAAACACAGGCATGTGCACACATAGAGGAAAGGCTGAAAACAGCAAGAATGCAGCCATCTGTAAACCAAGGAGAGAAGCCTCAGAAGAAACCAACCCTGCCAACACCTTGATTTTGGACTTCTAGCATCCAGAACTATGAAAGAATAAATTTCTGTTATTTATGGCATCTAGTTTGTAGTATTTTGTTATGGCAGCCCTAGTAAACCAAGACATGAGGGTAATAAGGGCTCAGCTCTGCCAAATTGCTATTTGGCAAGTTCTATACTCTTCCAGAACTTGCTTTAGAATTATCCTACCAGGAGATGCAAAGGCTAGACCATTTATCTACCAGCTCCTATTCTCTACTTGAGATGAAGTTCTCCTACACTTTTAAGTTGCAATTGCATGTGGTTGGGTGGTTTGTGCTTGATGTGGTATATTGTCAATGAGCATGAGCCACAGCTGGGCTGGCCTGAAATCAGGTGGGCCCAGGGGATTGTTGCATCATGAGTATCTGGACACCCCTGGTTTTCATACATGGCAATATAGCTCACTAGTTACTGGGCTTGAAGCTTGGCCTCTCAGGGAAGCCTGGACAACTTATCTTTGTTCCATCTTCTCTTTTGCTTTTTCATCCCTGTTGCCCTTGTTGCATAGTGGTAAATTAAAAACAAAAATTTAGATCAGAGTCGAATAGGGCAATTATGGCCTAGAACCCCATGCTTCAGCTCAGATTTGATCTGATCAGTGGTCAGAATTAGAATTGTTGGACACTTGTGCAGCTAGTAAGAAAGCGGTGCTGTAATACCTCTTAATGTCTCTCTTGTTAAACTTATGGTGGTGGTAGTAGAGGGTATGGTGATCAACAGGGTAGAATTCGATTATTTGAGGTTCAGGTTCTTCAAAGCTCACTACTACATTGACTTTATTGACCCTGTAGTTTCCAACATGTCTTGCTCTTCTCTAAAACAGAAGCTGTAGATAGATTCTACCCATCTAGGCCAATATGTAAAATAATCATATTAAAATCAACCTCATTTTTCTACACTGCCTGTTTATTTTATTCAGGCAACCTCCCATTTGCCATCCTGATACACAGCCTGTCTCTGTAACTTGGGAGGCAATTTCTTTGGGTGGCCTGATTGTGATGACTCATACCAAACATGTTTCTCTTGCTTAACTTCAGCAGTTTGTATCAGCCACAGATCTCATATCACATATAGTTTCCGTCTCTATAAACAAAACCAACAATACCCTAAATAAATGAGTGTTTAAATCCAGATCCCAGCCAGAGGGATGTTTGCAAGCTAGCACACTTCTTACCTCCCTGGACTTCAGATTGAACCCAGGAGGATATTCATGTTGTTTAGCCATGTGCCTCTACTTTTGGTCCAGAAGGTATATATGTTAAAAAATATTGCTGTATGCCTCATGCACAGATTCTTGGGATTACTGATTTTTTAAATTGACCAAGATATTTGCTTGGTCTCACTTGAGTGGAAATATGAAGAAATATTTCTAGGCCCAGATGGAGATAAAATTGTCTCAAAGTCAAAATTTGCGCTTTACAATTTGGGAATGATTTTTTTTTTCTTTAATTGAAACACTCTAGTTTCAGGGTGCTGCTCTCTCCCATGAGTCCCCTAAGGCTGCCCTAATCAGGTCCGCTGTGGCAATTGTATACTAGCCCATCAGGTCCTCTGCAAGGAAGTGGCCTTAAGACAAAGCAAGTGTCTGACTCAGACAACAGCAAGGAGGAAGGGGGTGCGATGGTTTGAATGTGTCCTCTTCAAGATTCATAGGGGGAAATTTGTCAATGTGGTAATATTAAAAGGTGGAACCTTTAGAAGTGATTAGACCCTGAGACTTTCTCCTTCACAAATGGAATCAACACCCTTATGAAAGAGGCTTCCCTCGGTGTTTGGCTAGCTTGCTCTTCCATCTTCTGCCATGTGATAACACAGCCTTCCTCCTTTCTGGAGGATGCAGCAATCACGAGACAACTGAATTTGCTGGTGCCTTCATTCTGAACTTCTCAGCCTCCAGAACTATGAGAAAATATGTCTCTTGATTTTTATAAATTACTCAGTCCCAGGTATTCTGTTATACTAGCACAAAGAAAACTAAGAAAGAAATCAGTACCAAAAGTGGAATACTGCTATAGCAAATATCTAAAAATGTAGAAATGGTTTTGAAATTGGATAATGGGTAGAGGATGGAACAGTTTTGAAATTAATGCTGGAAAAAACCTAGATTGTTGTAAATGGAGCATTAAGGCAAAATTAAAGGTGAGAGTCAGAAGAAGAGGAATACTGTAGGGAGACCCTCAGTTTTCTTGGTGATTATCTAACTGGTTGTAATCAGGATGCTGATAGAAATAAGGACAGTAAAGACCATTTGATGTGGCCTCAGATGGAAATTAGGAACAAAGTATTGGGAACCAGAGGAAAGGTGATTGTTATAAATTGGCAAAGAAGTTGGCTGAATTTTGTCTGGGTCTTAAGACTTTGTGAAAGGTAGATCTTAAGAACAATGAACTAGGATATTTGGTGATAGAAATCTCTAAGTAGCAAAGTGTTCATGATGCTGCATAACTTCTCTTAATGGCTTATAGAAAAATGCAAAAAGAGAGTAAGGACTCGAAGACAGAATTCATAATTAAAAGGAAAGCAGAACACAAAGATTTGGAAATTTTTTAACCTGGCCATATAAAGAATAAAAGGAATGTTTAGGAGAAAAAACCAAAAGTGTGACTAAACAACACTTTGATAAGGAGATTTAATATATAGAAGGAAGCCATGTGTTTTCCATCAAGAAAATGGGAGAATGGCCCCCAAGGCATATCAGAGATTTTTGGTGCTGCCATGCCCATCACAGGCCCAGAGTGCTAGGCCCTGGGGGTAGAGGTGTTTTGGGGTAGTAGATTGAGATGCCTGTGGGATATCTGTGCTCACTTCCCAGGGCCATGTCAGGTCTTTCCTCCGCATATTCTGACACAGTGCTCCTTAGTTGCCCCAGTTGTGGCTCAGACAGGTCTAGATACAGGTCAGGCCACAGCTCCAGAGGGTATAAGCAGTGAACCTTGGCAGCATCCATATGCTGCTGATTCTTCAAAAGTTCAGAGTGCAAGAACAGTGGAGGCATGGCTTCCTCTACCTAGATTCAAAGAATGCCCTAGATAGCCCTAGGACAGACCTGCCACAGGGTAGAGTCACTGTAGAGAGCCCTCAGTGAGGGCAATATCCAGTGTAATTATGGGGTTTGGGTATAGAAGAAAACCTTCACTAAGGCAATGCTCAGTGGAGCCATGTGTCAGGGTCTCTGCTAAGACCCAAGATATCTAAAGCCACCAGTGTGCAACTCCTGCCAGGGAAAGCTGCAGACATTTACTCCAACCCATGAGAGTTATGATATGAGCTGTGCCCAGCAAAGCCATGGAGCCTTTGGGGATCCAAATCCCACCTCAGTGTGTCCAGATGATGGAACATATAGTAAAAAAAATTAATATTTTTGAATCTTAAGATCTAATGTTTGTCTCGTTGGGTTTTGGACGTACTTGAGACCTGTTACCCCTTTCTTCTTTACTATTCCTCCCTTTTGGTATCCTATGTCTGTCCCATTGTATTTTGGAAGCACATAACTTGTTTGATTTTACAGACTCACAGCTGGAGGGAAATTTGCCTCAGGATGAATCATGCCTTGAATTTTACCCATATCTAATTTAGATGAGACTCTTGACTTTAAACTTTTGAGTTGATACTGAAACAAGTTAAGATTTTGGAGCTATTTGTATGGAATTAATTTTTTTGTATGTGAGAAGAACATACATTTGGGGGGACCAAGGGTAGAATGCTGTGGTTTGATTATGTGCACTCTAAAATTCAGGTGTTGCTGATGTGATAGTATGAAGAAGAGGATGCTTTAGACCATGAGGGATCCTCCCTCATGAATGGGGTTAACACTCTTATAAACAAGGCCTCATGCAGCATTTGACTTGCTTGCCCTTTCACCTTTTGCCACATGAAGACACAGCAGTCCTCCCTTCTGGAGGATGCAGCAATCACCAGACCACAGAGCCTGCTGACACCTTGATCTTGGATTTTCCAGCTTCCAGCACTGTGAGAAAATTAATTTCTGTTCTTTAAAAATTACTCAGTCTCAGGTTTTCTGTTATAGCAACACAGACAGACTAAGACTGGGAGTTTAATAATGAGAAATTAGAGAACATATTTTGGAATAAAGACAACAAAGTTTATGTTTGATGACATGATAGTAAAACTATCCTACACAATAGCAAGAAGCTGCTGCCTCACTGGTTCCTGAATCAGATTAAATTTAGCAGACCAGCCTGAGAGGGAAACAGATTGAAGGAGACAATGATGGAGATAATCTAGTGAGGAAATCATCTAAACCCTCAAATTGTTATCTGAGATGTAAAGTATGTTTTGCTTTTGCACTTGCATGTAGCTTGGCTGAACAGCACCACAGGTTTCATTAACAAAGGCCACACCATTTGGTTCATAGTAGTAGGCCAAGCTAATTGAACCCTGGGGTCAGTGTCAGCCAACCTTTTCTAGATATTTGGAAGCTGCTGACATAGAGCCATCAGCATTGTATGACTTGGAAACAGAACATTCTGTGATAGGCTTTATAATAAAACAGAAACAAGACTGTTTCCTTTGAAATAAAGATAAAATGTGTAACATCTGAAGCATTCAACAAGAAACACAACAGCACAGATCATGACCCCTAATGTGCCTTTTGTCATGACAAAGTTTCACTGAGTAACTTCTACAAGCCAAAACCTTCAGTGGTGCTTCTGATGGGAACCTAAGGAAATAGATGACTCAGTCTTGGCCCCCCAAGCACCCCTGCTGTATAGACAAAGAGAGCAAACAAGTGAAGTATACAGATTTATGATTCAAGAAATGTATAGATGAGATAAGCAAAGGAAGGAACTGTAATGAGATCCATTATATACATTAATGTTTAGTCATGAGAATTAAATCTCTGGATGCTGGAAGGGCATTTGGGGATAATCCATTCTAACTCTCTCATTTTAGGTAAATTGCTCAGGGTCAAATAGCTAGTCATTCTGATAGATAAGATTGGAGTCAAAAGGGCTAACCCTAGCTCAGTGTATTGTTCTAGCAGATTAAATGGTGAATAAAGAAATTGGATAAGTGAATCCTAGGCAAAAATATAAAGCAATAATAAAAAGATAAATAATTGGAAACCTCTCCTGTTCCTTACAAAAATACATTTTAGCCAGAGGAGAAGAAAACCCTCACTAAAAAATATCTGCTAATAAATGGAGTAGGACATAAAAATTTAATGTCAATTAAAATACTTTGTTAGGCTAAACTAATTTTTAAATCTGCCCTCAAGAAGAAAACTGTAGCCTATAAATCTAAACATTGAGAAAGAATAAAGCAACTATTGACCTAAAAATGCAAAAGAGTATGTAGAAAATTTGAACATGTGCACATGATCAAGTCAAAGCATTATTTATCTGCAACTACTGAAATTAGCAGATATTTTTGAAGAATGATTGGAAAAATTGAATAAATGAGATCTCAAGGTTAGAAAGGACATTATTAAAGTATGCTCAGACATAAAATCTCTTGACTGAACATTACACATCAACTTCCATATGTCTAATATGATATAAACAAGAGGGAAATCTCAGTTATATAGAAACATCATTAAAGAAAAAGTATCTTCTAGATAAAAAACGAATAATTAGCTGGCATATATGCCTCCATAATGTGGTGTCTTCTTATGTGTCCAACCCATCTCCTTCCACATATTTCCTTTGACCTACACTCTAGCCATACTGACTCTGACTGGTTCCACATTTTCTCCCACTCTAGGCTTATTCTTAGGTTCCTTACAATTCTCCCCCTTTTCATCTCCTTTTCCTTCTCAGCCCATTGCCAAGTTCAACTTGTCCTGAAGTATTCAATTTCTATTTCCTTTGTCTTGTCCCCTGGCCCTGCCCTATCATTTGGATTGTTTTTTCTTTTTTCTCCATGACTTCCAGGTTACATAAATTCTCTCATTCTCTTTTTAACGCTGCTCTTTAATGCTGTTCCTTTTTATCTAGTTGCCTGGTAGCCACTTGGTCTCATCTACTAGACTCTAAGAGTAGAAATCAGGATTGAGATTGCTTCTTATTCTTCTTGTCATCACCAGATTTGGAGCATGATATAAGTTGGATATTTGTCCCCACCCAAATCCCATGTTGAATTGTTACCCCCAGTTCTGGAGATGGGGACTGGTGGGAAGTGTTTGGATCATGGAGGTGAATTCCTCATGGCTTGGTGCTGTTTTCATGATAGTGAGTTATTGCTAGATCCGATCATTTAAACATCTATGGCACCCCCTCCCCACTCTCCTCTCTTTCTTGCTCTTGCTTTTACCACGTGAAGTGCCTGCTCCCACTTTGCCTTCTGCCATGAATAAAAGCTCTCTGAGGCCTCCCCAGAGGCAGATTACGCTGTGCTTCCTGTACAATCTGCAGAACAGTCAGCCAATTAAACTTCTTTGTTAAAATAAATTACCCAGTCTCAGGTATTTCTTTATAGTAATGCAAGAGTGGCCTAATACAGGGCTCTTAATTGAATTTAATAAAAGTTTGTTGAATAAACAGTCAGACATTCTCGTCCTTGTCCCCAAAAAGGGGGTTGTGATGGTTTTGGTTTTACAATGAGAATGGATGGATATAGTCAACAGTCTAGATTATTTGACACTAGAATAGAGAGGCTAAATGTCCAGGTTTATTTGTTTCTCTGAACAAAGCAGCCTTTGTTGTGATTGGGCTTACAAAGAAAGTGGTCAGAATTGAAAAAATGGAAACATCAGCATTCTAATCAGATGATTGAAATATGTCCTCGCATGCCCAAGGGCTCATTCTTTTTATCATCTGAAATGGAAAGGAGCAATTCTTTCCCCTGTCATCAAGCTTACTACTAAATCATGTGTGGAATGATATCTCAGGCACCTGCCTGGGGACCTGTCATAAGCTCTGGAGAGCTCACTGCAGTGCAAGGGATTCAAGCAGCTTTTGATAATGTTGTTATATGGCCTTCATTATCCTTCCAGTGGTACTGATGACACTTAAGAGATGAAAAGGAACAAGATAAAATGAAAAATTAAGCTAAAAGAACAGCAGACTTAACTCACTTTTCCAGGGGTAGCATGTGAAGATTTGGCTGCTAGAATGGATTCACAAATCACATCTAAAAGCGGACAGAGGCTGGGCATGGTGGCTTATGTCTTTAATCCCAGCACTTTGGGAGGCTGAGGCAGGCCGATCATTTGAGGTCAGGAGTTCGAGACCAGCCTGAACAACATGGTGAAAACCTGTCTCTACTAAAAATATAAAAATTAGCTGGGTGTGTTGGTGTATGCCTGTAATCTCAGCTACACAGGAGGCTGAGGCAAGTGAATCGCTTGAACCCCTGAGTGGAGGTTGCAGTGAACCAAGTACACCACTGCACTGCGGCCTGGGTGACAGAGCAAGACTCCATTCACCCCTCCCCACCAAAAAAGGACAGCAAAATTTTGTAGGGGAGAAGCCCATCCCAGTCTACCAAAGAAGGAGCTGGAAACCTTACCAAAAGCCATACATAAAACCTGAAAAGAAAAACTAAAGAACAATACAATAACTGGCTAGCCAGAAGCTTATGCAAAAGGGCTCTATGGAGCACAAACAAGCCTCAGTATTTCCATATAAAACCTGAATAATTTGTCAGAAACTTGAAATTATCATAGACTGTAAAGTGTCTTTAATAACTTTTTATTGTATATGGACATAAATAAGCAAAAACGGTGCTTGTTGATATTTTAAGAGTCTGAATTATTGTCCAAATGTTTGTTGGTTAGTTATATATTTTATTTTGTAAATTATAAACTTACCATTTTCCTATTCTGGATGTTGTTTTTTTCTTAATGATTTGAATAAGTTATTTATTTAATAAAGATATTATTCAGTGCTTTAAATTTTCCATTCAAGAAAATTGAATATGTATCAAAAGAATTAATTTTTAAATAATTTATTCATTTTTTAAAGAAAATATTAACTAAGCACCTGTCATATGCTAGGTACTATTCTAGGCACTTGGAATATATCAGTAAATGAGATGTACCAAATCCCTGTGCTTATGGAGCTTATATTCCTCTCTCTCTCTCTGTGTGTGTGTGTGTGTGTGTGTGTGTGTGTGTATGGAGGTGGAAAGTTCATAGCAAATAAACAGCAAACAAATAAGTAAATCAAATAGTTAGAAGGTGTTGTAGGTATTGTAAAAAATAGAAAAACAAAGCATGAGTAGAGTGCTGGGGGAAGGTAGGTGTTTCAGATTGCATTATTAAGTATGGTAGCTGAGGTAGTTTTATTGGTGGGTGATATTTGAACAAAGACCTGAAGAAGACAGGAGAGAGTCATATGTCTGGGATATCCTAGGCAGAAGAAGCTACCTGTGCAAAGTTCCTATGGCAGAAGCATCCCTGGTAATCTTGAGAAGCACCAAGGAGGCCAGAATACCTGGAATAGACTAGGTGAGAATTTTAAGGAATGAAATCAAAGAGAAAAGGAGATCAATTGTGTGGGACCTCACAGGTCATTGTAAGGATTTCTGTTTTTCTTCTGAGTGAAACAGAAAGCAGTAGAATGATATGACTTAGGTTTTACCAGGGTCACTCTGGTTGCTAGATTGAGAACAGATCATGGAGAAGAACGGTTTAGAGCAAGGAAAGCAACTAGGGGCTGCTATTAGTTTCCTACTGTTGCTATAACAAATGACCACAAACATAGTGGTTTGTTCAAACAACACAAATGTATGACCTCACAGTTCTGGATGTCAGTAGTCGGAAATGGTTTTCACTGGGCTGGAATCAAGAAGTTGACAGGGCTGCATTCATTCTAGAGGCTCTGGAGATAATCCATTCCCTCATATTTTATAGCTCCTCCTGGAGGCTTTCTGCATTCCTTCACTAGTGGATCAATTCCAGAAATTGTATCACTCTGACTTCTGCTTCTGATATAGTTTGGATGTAGGTCGTTTCCAAACCTCTTGTTAAAATGTGACCTGCAATGTTGGAGGTAGGCCTAGTAGGAGGTGTTTGAGATCATAGGGGTGGATCCCTTATGAATGACTTGGTTCCATCCCCATGGTCATGAATGAGTTCTTGCTCTGGTAGTTCATGGGAGAGCCGGTTGTTTAAAAGAGTGTGGCACTTACCCCACCCCATTTGCTCCTGCTCTTGTCATGTGACGTGCCTGTTCCCCCTTTATCTTCTGCCATGAGTGGAAGCAGCCTGAGGCCATCATCAGAAGCTAATGCTGGTGTCATGCTTTTCATACAGCCTGCAGAGCCATGAGCCAAAATAGACCTCTTTTCTTTATAAATCACCCAGTTTCAGGCTCCTTTATAGCAAAGTGTTCCTTTATAGCAAAGCAAAGCAGACTAGCATAGCTTCCTTCATTGAATCTGCTCTAAGCTTGATCTTGCTGCCTCTCTTTTACGAGGAACCTTGTAATTACATTGGGCCCGCCCACATAATCTCCAGGATAATCTCCCCCATCTTAAGGTCCTTAATATAATCACACCTGCAAAGTCCTATCAGGTAACATAGTCACAGGTTCTGAGTATTAGGACACAGACATCTTTCGGGGGGGTGAGGGGGGCATTATTCTACCACAAGGCTGTTCTAGTAACCAGGAAGGAGATGATGGTGATTTATACTAGGATGTTACAATGAAGATAGTGGAGAATGATCGGGTTTTAGATATTATTTTGAAAGCAAAGCCAGTGGTATTTCCTAATGGATTAGATTTGAGTGTGGAAGAGAGATGAGTCAAGGCTGATTCCAAGTAACCAAATCCTGGTGATCCTGTGTTCTGTGAGGGTAGCCGCCATAGCTGTCTTTCTTACCTCTATGTTTCCAAGGCCTAGCATAGTGCCCGACACACAGTGAATGCCCTGTAAGTATTCACACACTTAAAATTTTCGTATTACAAATAAGCATGAATAAGGAAAATTAGAACATAAAGAAAAAAAACATCAAAAACCATCATCCCCAAACCTGCAAAATTGCTTTAACATTTTTTATCATTTGTTTCAAAATTTTGTTTTATAAGCACATTTTTCTTCTTAGATTTTTGTGGTAGCACTAAACCTGTCATATTGAGCTCTTAAAATATATTTTAAATTAACATTTTCCCATGTTTATAGTCTTCATTGACATTCATTTTGACACCTTTTATACTATTCCTTTCAGTGGATGCTTCATAATTTATGTAATCATTCCCTTACTGTTGGATATTCTGGTACTTTTAGCATTTTCACTAATATAAATAAAGTATATAATTCAAATAGTCTTTCAATATATCTCCCACCTTATATTTGTAGCATAGAGTCCCAGAAGTGGAATGAATCACTGACAAAAGTATGACATTTTTCATAAATTTTGATGCAGAGTACCAAGTTGTTTATAAAACAGTTGTTCTAATTGTTATTGTCAAAACCAATATCTGAGTATACCAGCATCTATGAATTCTTCCAGTAAAAAGTATTGTCAATTATAATAAATATTCTCCTCTATTAAGTAAAAAAAAGTCTCATATTTTTTAAAACTTGATTCCTTTTCCTTTGTAATTCCTCTTTTGTGAGTTATCTTTTTATATTCTTTTCGTTTATTTTATTGTCTTTTCTTATTGGTGTATCTGAACTCTTCAGTTAATACAATCATAAAGCCTAGATCCATAAAATATATTTTTAATAAAATTGATTATAAATCAGGAAACAGTATGAAAATATCTAAAGGACAACAAAATAAAATACAGTAAGAGGTATGGACACAGGGCCATGCCGTGTTCATCAATTTCAAGCAGGTTTGTAAGTCCCTTGGTGAACAAGCTAGTCTTCTTGAAGATACATTCTCACTGCATGTCTATTTGTAACATCTACTGGGAACAATAAATAACATCCAAGAGAGAAAGAGATTTTGGAATCTTTTCTAATAGAACTTTCAAACAAATAATTAGAAACCTTATTTTTAAATGAATGTAAGCCACATTTTATTTTTCATTTATTTTATTTTATTTATGCTTTAAGTTTGGGGATACATGTGCAGAATGTGCAGGTTTGTTACATAGGTATACATGTGCCATGGTGGTTTGCTGCACCCATCAATCTGTCATTTACATTAGGTATTTCTCCTAATACCATCCCTCCCCTAGCCCACCAACCCCCACAGGCCCCAGGGTGTGATGTTCCCCTCCCTGTGTCCATGTGTTCTCATTGTTCAACTCCCACTTAAGAGTGAGAACTTGCAGTGGTGTTTGGTTCTCTGTTCTTGTGTTAGTTTGCTGAGAATGATGGTTTCCAACTACATCCTTGTCCCTGCAAAGGACATGAGCTCATCCTTATTTTATGGCTGCATAGTATTCCATGGTGTATATGTGCCATATTTTCTTTTTCCACTCTATCATTTATGGGCATTTGGGTGGTTCCAAGATTTGCTATTGGGAATAGCTCTGCAACAAACATACTGTGCATGTGTCTTTGTAGTATAATGATTTATAATACTTTGGGTATATACCCAGTAATGGGATTGCTGGATAAAATGGTATTTCTGGTAGATCCTTGAGGAATTGCCACACTGTCTTCCACAATGGTTGAACTAAATTACACTCCCACCAACAGTGTAAAAGTTTTCCTATATCTCCACATCCTCTCCAGCATCTGTTGTTTCCTGACTTTTTAATGATCACCATTCTAACTGGGGTGAGATGGTATCTCATTGTGGTTTTGATTTACATCTCTCTAATGACCAGTGCTGATGAGCTTTTTTTCATGTTTGTTGGCCACATAAATGTCTTCTTTTGAGAAGTCTCTGTTCATATCCTTTGTCCACTTTTTGATGGGGTTGTTTGTTTTCTTCTTGTAAATTTCTTTAAGTTCCTTGTAGATTCTGATTATTAGCCCTTTGTCAAATGAATAGATTGCAAAACTTTTCTCCCATTCTGTGGGTTGCCTGTTCACTTTGCTGATAGTTTCTTTTGCTGTGCAGAAGCTCTTTAGTTTAATTAGATCCCATTTGTCAATTTTGGCTTTTGTTGCCATTGCTTTAAGTGTTTTAGTCATGAAGCCTTTGCCCATGACCATGTCCTGAATGGTATTGCCTAGGTTTTCTTCTAGGGATTTTATGGTTTTAGGTCTTAGATTTAAGTCTTTAATCCATCTTGAGTTAATTTTTGTATAAGGTGTAAGGAAGGGGTCCAGTTTCAGTTTTCTGCATATGGCTAGCCAGTTTTCCCAACACCATTTACTGAATAGGAGATCATTTCCCAATTGCTTGTTTTTGTCAGCTTTGTCAAAGATCAGATGGTTGTAGATGTGTTGTGTTATTTCTGAGGCCTCTGTTCTGTTCCATTGGTCTATATATCTGTTTTGGTACCGGTACCATGCTGTTTTGGTTACTGTGGCTTGTAATATAGTTTGAAGTCAGGTAGCATGATGCCTCCAGCTTTGTTCTTTTTGCTTAGCATTGTCTTGGCTATATGAGCTCTTTTGTGGTTCCATATGAAATTTAAAGTAGTTTTTTTTTTTTCTAATTCTTTGAAGAAAGTCAGTGGTAGCTTGATGGGGATAGCATAGAATCCATAAATTACTTTGGGCAGTATGGCCATTTTCACAATATTGATTCTTTCTGTCCATGAGCATGGAATGTTTTTCCATTTGTTTATGTCTTCTCTTATTTCTTTGAGCAATGGTTTGTAGTTCTCCTTGAAGAGTTCCATCACTCCCCTTGTAAGTTTTATTCCTAGGTATTTTATTCTCTTTGTAGCAATTGTGAATGGGAGTTCACTCATGATTTGGCTCTCTGTTTGTCTATTTATTGGTGTATTGAAATGCTTGTGATTTCTGCACATTGACTTTGTATCCTGAGACTTTGCTGAAGTTGCTTATCAGCTTATGGAATTTTGGGGCTGAGATAATGGGGTTTTTTAATATACAATCATGTTACCTGATTGTATATCAGAGACAATTAGACTTCCTCTTTTCCTATTTGAATACTTTTGTTTCTTTCTCTTGCCTGATTGTCCTGGCCAGAACTTCCAATACTATGTTAAATAGGAGTAGTGAGAGAGGGCATCCTTGTCTTGTGCCAGTTTTCAAGGGAAATGTTTCCAGCTTTTGCTTATTCAATATGATATTGGCCGTGAGTTTGCCATAAATAGCTCTTATTATTTCGAGATATAGTCCATCAATACCCAGTTTATTAAGAAATTTTAGCATGAAGCGTTGTTGGATTTTATGGAAAGCTTTTTCTGCATCTATTGAGATAATCATGTGTTTTTTGTCATTGGTTCTGTTTATGTGATGGATTACATTTATTGATTTGCATATGTTGAACCAGCCTATCATCCCAGGGATGAATCCGACTTGATCGTGGTGGATAAGCATTTTGATATGCTACGTTTGCCAGTATTTTATTGAGGATTTTCGCATCAATGTTCATCAGGGATATTGGACTGAAATTTTGTATTTTCTTTTTTTGTTATGTCTCTGCGAGGTTTTGGTATCAGGATGATGCTGGCCTCATAAAATGAGTTAGGGAAGAGTCCCTCTTTTTCTATTGCTTGGAATAGTTTTAGAAGGAATGGTACCAGCTCCTCTTTGTACCTCTGGTAGAATTCAGCTGTGAATCCATCTAGTCCTGGACTTTGGTTGGTAGGCTATTAATTACTGTCTCAGTTTCAGAACTTGTTATTGATCTATTCAGGGAGTTGAGTTCTCCCTGGTTTAGGCTTGGGAGGGTGTATGTGTCCAGGAATTTATCAATTTCTTCTAGATTTTCTAGTTTATTTGCATAGAGGTGTTTATAGTATTCTCTGATGGGGTAGTTTGTATTTCTGTGGGATCAGTGGTGATATCCCCTTTATCATTTTTTATCGTGTCTATTTGATTCTTCTCTCTTTTCTTCTTTATTAGTCTGGCTAGCAGTCTATCTATTTTGTTAATCTTTTCAAAAAACCAGCTCCTGGATTCATTGATTTTTTTGAAGGATTTTTAGTGTGTCTATCTCTTTCACTTCTGCTCTGATCTTATTTCTTGTCTTCTGCTAGCTTTTGAATTTGTGTGCTCTTGCTTCTCTAGTTTGTTTAATTGTGATGTTAGGGTGTCAATTTTAGATATTTCCCACTTTCTTCTGTGGGCATTTGGTGCTATAAATTTCCTACTAAACATTGTTTAACTCTGTCCCAGAGATTCTGGTACATTGTGTCTTCATTCTTGTTGGTTTCAAAGAACATCTTTATCTCTGCTTTAATTTCATTATTTACCCAGTAGTCATTCAGGAGCAGGTTGTTCAATTTCCACGTAGCTGTGCAGTTTTGAGTGAATTTCTTAATCCTCAGTTCTAGTTTGATTGCACCGTGGTTTGGGAGACTGTTTGTTATGATTTTGGTTCTTTTGCATTTACTGAGGAGTGTTTTACTTCCAATTATGTCGTCAATTTTAGAATAAGTGTGACGTGGTGCTAAGAAGAATGTAGATGCTGTTGATTTGGGTTGGAGAGTACTGTAGATGTCTATTAGGTCTGCTTGTTCCAGAGCTGAGTCCAAGTCCTGAATATCCTTGTTAATTTTCTGTGTCATTGATCTGTCTAATATTGACAGTGGGATGTTAAAGTCTCTCACTATTAATGTATGGGAGTCTAATTCTCTTTGTAGGTCTCTAAGAACTTGCTTTATGAATCTGGGTGCTTCTGTATTGGGTGCATATATATTTAGGATAGTTAGCTCTTTTTTTCCATTGATCCCTTTACCATTATGTAATGCCCTCCTTTGTCTTTTTTGATCTTGCTTGATTTAAAGTGTGTTTTATCAGAGACTAGGATTGCAACCTATGCTTTTTTTTTATTTCCATTTGCTTGGTAAATATTTCTCCATCCCTTTATTTTGAGCCTGTGTGTGTCTTTGCACGTGAGATGGGTCTCCTGAATACAGCACACTGATGGGTCTTGATTCTTTATCCAATTTGCCAGTCTGTGTCTTTTAATTGGGGCATTTAGCCCATTTACATTTAAAGTTAATATTATTATGTGTACATTTGATCCTGTCATTATGATGCTAGCTGGTTATTTTGCCCATTAGTTGGTACAGTTTCTTCATAGTGTCAATGGTCTTTATAATTTGGTATGTTTTTGCAGTGGCTGATACCGGTTTTTCATTTCTATATGTAGTGCTTCCTTCAGGAGCTCTGGTAATGCAGGCCTGGTGGCGACAAAATCTCTCAGCTTTTGCTTGTCTCTAAAGGATTTTATTTCTCTTTCAGTTATGAAGCTTAGTTTTACTGTATATAAAATTCTGGGTTGTAACTTCTTTAAAAATGTTGAATTTTGGCCCCCACTCTCTTCTGACTTGTAGGGTTTCTGCAGAGAGATCTGCTGATAGTCTGATGAGCTTCCCTTTGTGGGTAACCCAAGCTTTCTTTCTGGCTGCCTTTACATTTTTTCCTTCATTTCAACTTTGGTGAATCTGATGATTATGTGTCTTGGGGTTGCTCTTCTCGAGGAGTATCTTTGTGATATTCTCTGTATTTCCTGAATTTGAATGTTGGTCTGTTCTGTTAGATTGGAGTTCTCCTGGATAATATTCTGATGAATGTTTTCCAACTTGGTTCCGTTCTCCCTGTCACTTTCAGGTACAACAATCAAATGTAGGTTTGGTCTTTTCACATAGTCCCATATTTCTTGGAGTTATAAGCCACATTTTAAAACATTTTTTCTTGGAATGTAGTTCAAAGGAGACTGGATAAAGAAATAATAAATAATAACAGTTATCAACAGAATAGTAGACTATACAATCTGATAAACTGCAAAGGGGATAGAGGGTATTATGGACATTATGGAACAAATTACTGTTTCTACTTCTCTTTTTCAACTCAATTAATAGCTGCAGAATGAGCAGTACATTAATGTATCTTGAAATGATGCTATATTAAGCAATGTTGTAAATATGGGTAATGACTTAGGAAATACTTATCTGGAACTTGAAAAGGTTATAAATGTGGACTCAAATCAAAATGAGATTAAATTGGGAGAGTGTAAACTAGTATATCTGGAAAGAAATTGACTCAGATTCATTGTCCTTCTGAGAAATCTGGTATGTGAGATGGCACTGAGCAAGAGGGTAGCTAAATAAAAATAAATTTATAATGCAATATTGGAACAAAAAAGGTCAATGTGATTTGAGCTGTAAAAATTTTTATTTAAAGCAAAGAAGAAAATGAAATGGGAAGCAGTAATAAAGTTTATTCTTAAAATTTTGGGGGTAGCTAGTGTATGAAACATATTTAGACAATAAAGTCAACTAGTCAGAAAATGAAGGAAGTTATCTAGAAAGAAAATGGCTTTAATAGACAAAATAGATCTATGTAAAAACCCAAAGCACTCACAGATGTCGCTGCAAAGTATGTTGCTCGTGTCTTCAGCGTGTCTTATTTTTTAGTTATTTGGTTTAAACTCTGAAACTATTCCCCACACTCCCTTTCTCATTCTCATTTCCATTGCCATTATCCTTGTCCAGACTATCATCCTTTCTTGCCCAGATTATCACCACTTAGTTGGTTTACCAGGGTTTGCTCATGCTATTGCTTTTGATATGGTTTGGATATTTGTCCCATCCAAATCTCCTGTTGAAATATGGTCCCTGGTGTTAGAAATGAGGCCTGGTGGGGAGTGTTTGAGTCATGGATTGGATTCCCCATAGCTTGGTGCTAGCCTTGTGACAGTGAGTGAGTCCTCATGGAATATGTTTGTTTAAAATTGTGTGGCACCTTCCTACTCTCTCTCTTGCCCCTGCTCTCACCATGTGAACTGTCTGTTCCCACTTTGCCTTTGTCCATGAGTAAAATCTCCCTGAGGCCTCCTCAGAAGCTGAGCATGCTTCCTATACAGTTTGCAGAACCATGAGCCAATTTAACCTCTTTTCTTTATAAATTACCCAGCCTCAGATATTTATTTGTAGCAATGCAAAAGTGTCCTAACACAGCTTTAGACCAGAAATCCCTTGCTACTATCTCAACCTAAAAAAACCATGCTAATCCTTCAACCATAGTTCAAATACTATCTTTTTGCTAGCTTTTATAGACTGTTCCCCCAACCCCACATTAGATTTAATTAGATTTAATTACTTCTCTGTTGTACTATTTGTATTTATTGTGTTTGCAAATTAATATATCCCTCTTTTCCCAGTAAATTTGAAGCTCTTCAGGGCAGAAAACAATTTTCATTCATATTATGTATTTTCTCCATTTCCATAACAACTAACCACAGTACTTTGTATACAAGAGACACTTACTACATGTTTATTGAATTCAACTGAATGTCAAAACTGCACCATTATTTTTAGAACTGAGGTTCAACCTCATAAACAAGTGACTTTCAAGTGAGCTGATCCCTAAGCCAGATCATAAGACCTATAGGCCAGGTACACCCACTTGCAGAGGGAGGAGTTCACTTTTACAGTAAACAATTGCTGTTTTCTATAGTAGTTTCTTTACATATATTAGCCTATTGAATCCTCACATCTACCCTGTGATGTAGACACACACATCTTACTCCCATGTTGCAGATTAGAAATCTGACTAGAAAATGGTGGACAAGATTTGAACCTTGATCTGCCTGATTCCAATACCCGTGGAAATAAATTTTTGTTTCTTTATTTTTTTTGCATTCTATTATACAATGTTGCCTCTTTGATGCCACTACTTTTAAACACAAATATCACTACAAAGTATGGTAGTAGTTCAGGTAGTTTTGCATTATAAAATTATAAACACTATGAAGCTTTCCTACTATCTTTTACATTTATTTTATGCTTTATAGTGTGTGCATGGGGCAGGAAACTGGAAATTCCTGAAAGAACAACAAAAGAAAAATTAGCATTTTTTTCATTAGCTATATCTCTCTAAATTTACTTGCTATATAGATATAGCTCTCAGTGAAACTAAAAAATTTAACTGAGCTACATTGAACTGATAGGTAAAATTTTAAGTATGTTAAAAATCTATGAGAATGGGAATTCTTATCCTCTTTAGTCATCATTAGAGAAATGTTCAAGTACCGATAACAAAAATGTCTACAATACCAAATGTAATGATTTATATAGAAAGAAAAGCTTGAATTAAGGATAACAACAAGGTGGGGGAGGGAGCCAAGATGGCTGTGTAGAAGCAGCTATGGTATGTGTCACTCACAGAGAGGAACACAAGGGGTGAGTAAATAGAACATCTTCAACAGAAACATCCATGTATTCGCATTGGGACTGATTAGGGAAACAACTCAACCCAAGGGAGAGAACAGAGAAAAGCAGGGCAAGGTGATGGCCCACCTGGGAATGATATGAAGCCACCTCCACCCCAGCCAAGAGAAGTGGTGAGGGAATGTGTGACCCTGGGAAACCACTCTTCTCTCATGAATCTTTGCAACGCTTGGATCAGGAGATCACCTCGTGAGCCCACTCCACCAGGGCCTTGGGTCTGACACACAGAGCTGTGTGGAGTCTTGGCAGAGCAGCTGCTCAGGCATGCAGAGAGACCTAGGAGTTTACATACTCTAGCCTCAGGATTCCTGGCAAAGGTGACTGCAACTCAGGTAAGGCAAGAGATCTGTACATACCCTAGGAAGGGGGCTGAATCCAGGGGGCCAAGCAGAATAGGTTTACAGGCCCCACTTCCATGGCACCCAAGAAGATAAGACTGACTGGCTTGGAATTTCATCCAGCAAGGTACAGTCTGCCTGAGATGGGACAGAGCCCCTGGGGGGAAGGGGTGGGCCACTACCTTTGCTGTTGGACAACTCAGCTGTTTGAGCCTGTGGGCTTTGGAGAGTCCAAACAGTCTAGACAAGGAAGGGTTCCCTCAGCTCAGCACAGGTGCTTTACCAAAATGTAGACAGCGTCCTTCTTTAAATGGGACCCAGATACATTTCTCCTCACTGGGCAGGACCTCCAAGCTGGGGCCTCCAGCCACCCTCATCTGTATTCTGTGGACAGAGTTCTGATTTCTCCCTGGGATGAAGTGCCCAGGGGAAGGGGTTGGTTGACACCTTTGCTATTTGGGCAACTTGACCATTCCAGCAGGTGGGTTTTGGAGAGTCCAACCAACTAGCACACAAGCAGTTCTCCAGTATGGCTCAGCTATTTTGTTGAGGTATGGCTAGATTGCTTTTTAAAATGGGGCCCTGATCCATTTCTCCTCACTGGGTGAGTCCTCCCAGCTGGGACCTCTGACCACCCTGCCTGTGTTCTATAGCCAACAGAGTTCTAATATCTCCCTGGAACATAGTACCCAGGAGGCAGGAAGGGCTGCCACCTTTGCTGTTTGGGCATCTCAGCTGGTCCAGCCTGTGAGCCTTGGAGAGCCCAAACTGATTGGGAGCTGAAAGGATCCCCCAACATAGCACAGCTAGCTGCTCTACCGACATGCAGCCAGGCTACTTCTTTAAGAGGAACGCTGATCTCATTCTTCCTGACTGCTGAGACCTCCCAACTGGGGTCTTTATCCACCACCTTTAGGTGCATGTGGGCTAGCAACACGTTAGGACCCCCCTGGGACTAACTTGGAGCTCCCAGAGGAAGGGGCAGGCTGCCATCTTTGTTGTTTTGCAGCCTTTGCTGGTGATACCTCCAATTACTAAAGAAACCGAGGCAACAAGGGTCTGGAGTGGACCCCCAGCAAACCACAGTAGCCCCACAGATGAGTGGCTAGACTGTTAAAAGAAAAGCAAGCAAACAACAACAGTAAGAAAAAACTCCACCAAAACCCTACCCAGAGTTTAACAACCTCAAAGATAGAAGGTAGATAAGCCCACAAAGATGAGAAAGAATCAGTGCAAAAACACTGAAAACTCAAAAAGCCAGAGTGCACCTTTTCCTCCAAATGACTGCAACACCTCTCCCGCAAGGGTTTAGAACTGTGCTGTGGCTCAGATGGCTGAAATAACAGGGGTAGGCTTCAGAATGTAGATAAAAACAAACTTTGCTGAGCTAAAGGAGCATGTTGTAACCCAATGCAAGGAAGCTAACAATCATGATAAAACAATGCAGTAGGTGACAGACAAAATATTAGCAGCAAGTATAGAGAGGAACATAATCAACCTGATATGCTGAAAAGCACACTACAAGAACTTCACAATACAGTCACAAGTATTAATAGCAGAATAGACCAAACAGAGGAAAGTATCTCAGAGCTTGAAGTCTGTCTTTCTGAAATAAGACAGACAGACAAGAATAGAGAAAAAATAATAAAAATGAATGAACAAAACCTCTGAGAAATATAGGACTATGCAAAGAGACTGAATCTATGACTGAGTGGGGTACCTGAAAGAGACGAGGAGAATGGAACCAATTTGGAAAACATATTTCAGGATATCATCTACGAGAACTTCCCAAACCTAGTTAGATAGGCCAACTTTCAAATTCAGGAAATGTGGAGAACCCCAGTGTATTAGTTTGTTTTCACGCTGTTATAGAGAACTACCTGAGACCGGGTAATTTATAAAGAAAAGAGGTTTAATTGACTGACAGTTCCACATGGGTGGGGAGGCCTGAGGAAACTTAAAATTATGGCAGAAGGTGAAGGAGAAGGAAGCACCTTCTTCACAAGGTGGCAGGAGAGAGAGAGAAAGAGAGTGAGGGAGGAAGAGCCACACTTTAAAACTATCAGATGATGTGAGAACTAACTCAATATCACAAGAACAGCATGGTGGAAACTGCACCCTTGATCCAGTCATCAGGTCCCTCCCTTGACATGTGGAGATTACAATTCAAGATGAGATCTGGGTGGGGACACAGAGCCAAACCATATCACCCAGCAAGATACTCCATGAGAAGATCATCTCCAAGACACATAATCGTCAGATTCTCCAAGGTCAAAATGAAAGAAAGAATGTTAAGGATAGCCAGAGAGACAGGCCAAGCCACCTAAAAAGGGAAGCCCATCAGACTAACTTCAGACCTCTCAATGGAAACTTTAAAAGCCAGAAAAGTTTGGGGGCCAATATTCAATTTCTTAAAGCTAAGAAATTCCAACCCAGAATTTCATATGCAGTCAAACTAAGCTTCATAAGCAAAGGAAAAATAAGAACCTTTTAGACAAGTAAATGCTGAGGGAATTTGTTACCACCAGACATGCCTTACAAGTGCTCCTGAAGGAAGCACTAAATGTGGAAAGGAAAAACTATTACTAGCCTCTACAAAAACACACTGAATTACTCATACTGGTGACACTATGAAGCAACCACATAAAAAAGTCTGCAAAATAACCAGTTAGCATCATGATGACAGGATCCAATCCACCTGTAACAATACTCACCTTAAATGTAAATGAGCAAAATGCTCCAATTAAAATACACAAAATGGCAAGCTGGATAAAGAACCGAGACCCATTGGTATGCTGTCTTCAAGAGATCCATCTCACATGCAAAGACATATATAGGCTCAAAATAAAGGAATGGATGAAAATTTACCAAGCAAATGGAAAAACAGAAAAAAGAAAGGGTTTGCAATCCTAGTTTCTGACAAAACCTACTTTAAACCAACAAAGATAAAGATAAAAAAAGACAAAGAAGGGTATTGCATAATGGTAAAGGGTTCAATTCAACAAGAGGAGCTAACTGTGCTAAATATATATGCACTCAATACAGGAACACCCAGATTCATAAAGCAAGTTCTTAGAGACCTTCAAAGAGACCTAGACTCCCATACAATTACAGTGAAAGACTTTTAACACTTCACTGAAAATACTAGACCAATCATTAAGACAGAAAATAAACAGAGACATTCAGGATTTGAACTCAACTTTGGATCAAGAGGACCTGAGAGATATCTACAGAACTCTCCATTCCAAAACAACAGAATATACATTCTTCTCATCCCCATATGACACTTACTCAAAAATTGATCACATAGTCAGAAGTAAAACACTCCTCAGCAAATGCAAAATACCTGAAACTATAACAAACAGTCTCTTAGACCACCGCACAATCAAATTAGAGCTCAAGATTAAGAAATGCACTCAAAACCATATAACTACATGGAAATTGAAAAACCTGATTCTGAATGACTTTTGGGTAAATAATGAAATTAAGGCAGAAATCAACTAGTTCTTTAAAACTGATGAGAACAAAGATACAACATACCACAGTCTCTATGATGCAGCTAAAGCAGTGTTAAGAGGGAAATTTATAGCACTAAATGTCCACATCAAAAATCTAGAAATATCTCAAGTTAATAATCCAATAAGACAACTAAAACAACTACAGAAACAAGAGCAAACAAACTTCAAAACTAGCAGAAGACAAGAGATAACCAAGATCAGAGCTGAACTGAAAGAGATAGACATAAAAAACCCTTCAAGAGATCAATGAATCCAGGAGGTGATTTTTGGAAATAAGTAATACAATAGATAGACCTCTAGCTAGCCTAATAAAGAATAGAGAAGACTCAAATAAACACAATCAGAAATCATAAAGGGAATATTACCACTCACCCCACAGAACTACAAACAACCATCAGAGAATATTATAAACACCTCTATGCATATAAACTAGAAAATATAGAAGAAATAGATAAATTCCTGGACAAATACATCTTCCCATGACTGAACCAGGAAGAAATAATAATATGATTCATCATATAAACAGAACTAAAGACAAAAACCACATGATTACCTAAATACATGCAAAAAGGGCCTTCAATAAAATTCAACATTCTTTCAGGTTAGAAACTCTCAATAAACTAGGTATTGAAGGAACATACCTCAAAATAATAAAAGTCATATATGACAAACCCACAATGAATATCATACTGAATGGAAATAGCTAGAAGCATTCCCCTTGAAAACTGGCACAAGAAAAGATGCCCTCTCACCACTCCTATTCAACATAGTATTGGAAGTTCTGGCCAGGACAGTCAGACAAGAGAAAGAAATAAAGGTATTCAAATAGGAAGAGAGGAATTCAGACTATCTTTGTTTACAGATGACATGATCCTATATCTAGAAAACCCCATTGTCTCAGCCCCAAAGCTTCTTAAGGTGATAAGCAACTTCAGCAAAGTTTCAGGATACAAAATGAATGCACAAAAATTGTTAGCATTTTTATACATCAAAAACATGCAAGCCGAGAGCCAAATCACAAACTCCCATTCACAATTGCCACAAAAAGAATAGAATACCTAGGAATACAGCTAACAAGGGAAGTGAAGGACCTCTTCAAGGAGAACCACCAACCACTGCTCAAAAATCAGAGATGACACAAACAAATGAAAAAACATTCCATGCTCATGGATAGGAAGAATCAATAGTGTAAAAATGGCCATATTGCCCAAAGTAATTTATAGATTAAATGCTATTTCCATTAAGCTACCATTGACATTCTTTACAGAATTAGAAAAACATATTTTAAAATTTATATGGAGCCAAAAAGAACCTAAAGAGCCAAAACAATTCTAAGCAAGAAAAACAGAGCAGGAGGCATCATACTATCCAACTTTACAGAGCTACAGTAACCAAAACAGCATGGTACTGGTACAAGAACAGACACATAGACCAATGGAACAGAGTAGAGCACCCAGAAATGAGACCACATGCCTACAACCACTTGATCTTCAATAAACCTCAACAAAACAAGCAATGGGGAGAGGATTCCCTATTTAATAA
This sequence comes from Homo sapiens, assembly GCF_000001405.40. Taxonomy (NCBI): domain Eukaryota; kingdom Metazoa; phylum Chordata; class Mammalia; order Primates; family Hominidae; genus Homo; species Homo sapiens. The sequence goes on along the minus strand of NC_000003.12, from coordinate 118,450,230 downwards.
ATGGTGTTGGGAGAACTGGCTAGCCATATGCAGAAAATTGAAACTGAACCCCTTCCTTACACCATATACAAAAATCAAGTCAAGATGGATTAAAGACTTAAATGTAAAACCAAAACCTTAAAAACTCTAGAAGAAAACCTAGGCAATATCATTCAGGGCATAGGGTTGGGCAAAGATTTCACGTAGAAGACACCAAAATCAATTGCAACAAAAGCCAAAATTGACAAATGAGATCTAATTAAACTACAGAGCTTGCACAGCAAAAGAAACCAGCAACAGACGAAACAGACAACCTACAGAATGGAAGAAAATTTTTGCTATCTATCCATCTGACAAAGGTCTAATATATAGCATCTATAAGAAACTTAAATTTATAATAAAAATACAAATAACCCTATTAAAAAGTGGGCAAAGGACATGAACAGACGCTTCTCAAAAGAAGACATCCATGGGGCCAATAAAAATGTGGAGAAAAGCTCAATATCACTGATCATTAGAGAAATGCAAATCAAAACCACACTGAGATACCATCTCACACCAGTTAGAATGGCTATTATTAAAACATCAAAAATTAACAGAAGCTGATGAAGTTGTGGAGAAAAAGCAACATTTATACACTGTTGGTGGGAGTGTAAATTAGTTCAACCATTGTGGAAGACAGTGTGGCAATTCCTCAGATATCTAGAGAGAGAAAAACTATTCAACCCAGCAATCCCACTACTGGGTATATACCCAATGAAATATAACTATTCTTTTATTAAAATACATGCATGCGTATGTTCATTGCAGCACTCTTCACAATAGCAAAGACATGGAATCAACCTAAATGACCATCAATTATAGACTTGATAAAGAGAATGTGGTACATACACACCATGGAATACTATGTAGCCATATACAGCAATGAGATCATATCCATTCCAGGGGCATGGATGGAGTTGGAGGCCATTATGCTCAGCAAACTAACACAGGAACAGAAAGCCAAATACCACATGTTCTCACTTATAAGTGGAAGCTAAATGATGAGAAAACATGGACACATGGTGGGGGAACACACACTTGGGCCTGTCAGAGGGCAGGGGTTGGGAGGAGGGAGAGGAGCAGAAAGAAGAACTAGTGGATGCTGGTAATGGTATGAGCTGTGCAGCAAACCACCATGGCACACGTTTACTTATGTAACAAACCTGCACATCCTGAACATGTACCCCTGAACTTAAAGTCAAAGGTGGAAATGAAACACACACACACATGCACACATACACACACACACACACACACACACACACACACACAAAGGATAACAACAAAATTATGACAAGAATTGCCATCTCTTCAAGAAAATAAAAAAATTAATGATCCAGACAAGATTTTGTCTGCCATGTTAACACTGGGACCTGATTCTATTGGAATAAGCCTCTAAAATGCCTTACGTTTTTAATGATTTTCTAGGACTTTTCCTAAGAATTTCAGCAAATAATGAGTAGAAAAGATTCTTTCACAGTTTCAGACATCAACAGCAGAGAAGGTAAAGTAAATTCTTATTTCTATGCTAACTGATAATAAAAGATGACTCAATTATCCAACACATATAAATAAGCACCTATTATGTGCCAAGCCTTGTTCCAGGAAGTCACAGATACAGTGTTGAACAAAACAGGTATGGCAACTTTCTTCATAAAGTTTCAGTCTAGTATAGTGTTTTTCAAACTGTGTGTTAACCCCAATCGTGGACTATAAAATCAATTTCATGAATTTTGACTTATCGTTCTTAAAAAAATAAAATACAGTGGATAAAAGAATACTAGAATACATTGCATATAATAATGGTAACATTTGTGAGTCTTTTACTTCAGTGATATGAGTATGTCTGATATGGCTTGGCTGTGTTCCCACCCAAATCTCATCTTGGATTGTTGTTCCCATAATCCCCATGTGTCGCTGGAGGGACCTGGTGGGAGGTAATTTAGTCATTGCGGAGGTTACCCTCACTCATGCTGTTCTCGTGATGGTGAGTGAATTCTCATTAAATCTGATGATTTTTTGGGGGGGCTTTTCCCTCTTTTGCTTGACACTTTTCCTTGCTGCAGCCATGTGAAGAAGGTCATGTTGCTTCCCCTTCCACCATGATTGTAAGTTTCCTGAGGCTTCCCCAGCTATGCTGAACTGAATCAATTAAACCTCTTTCCTTTACAAGTTACCCAGCCTCGGGAATGTCTTTATTAGCAGCATGAGAATGGACTAAAACAATGCCTATGTATTTGTGTACCATATTTCATTCTGTGGGTTACAGTACAAAATATAAAATATTTTTTTTCTGGTGAAATTTAAAGCTTACAATTTAAATTATAATAGCTGGCACTTACATGATGCTTTCAATAAGATAGAGAGTTCTATTTGCATTACATAAAAAATAAACAATCTTCACCACAATTCAATGAGTTATGTACTGTTATTCCAATTTTAAAGTAAAGGCAACTGAGAAACAATTTTAAATCTCAAGGCCACAGCCAAATAGAGGGATAAATGGGATTTGAACCTGACTTCAGAGACCATCCTCTTAATTACTTCCTTGCACTCCTTTACTGATGTAATGAAGCACTTAAAAGCAATAGTAAGAGGCATGACCTGTCTCAAGAGGAGAATATCTTGCATTGCAGGCTGAATGGGTGAGATAATCTATTCTGTATTTGTATGTGTGTATGTCAGGGGTATTGTGTGACAAGAGTGGATATGGGCTGGTGTGCAGACTGATAGAGCAAGATAGGAGTATCCCAGCTTGAAACTAAGCCATGAGCAACCCTGGGATACAGAAAAGGTGAGGCACATGTTTAAGACCAAGGGGAGCTCTTTAGAGTCAGGAGTGAAGTCTCATAATTAGGCATGACTTAATGGAGACACAGGAGTCTGGACCAGTTGCAATGCCCTGTCATTATAAAGGAGAGTTGTGAGTAAAGCTTAGTATCCTTTTACTCAGTTGACCTGCCTGCCCAATCTTTAGCTCAAAAGTGGTTCTAATCCTTATGTCATCAGTTACTAGATATGTTACTTCAAGCAACATAACTAATGCCTGTGCCTCAGAGTTATGTTGTTATTGTAATAATCATCATCAACTATATAATTATTAGAACTGAGTCTGAAGGAGAGAGTCCTGCAAATATAGATGGGGAAATGACTTTACTAAAAAGCCTGTGAGGTGTTGGAGCACATGTTCTTAAACTTTAATGCACATAAGGATCAGCTGGGAAACATGAAAAAAATGCAGAGTTTTGACCATTTCTCCAGAGACTTTGAGTCAGTTGTTGTAGAAGAGGGCACAGGTAATAAATGAATATATGCTATTTGGGAAAAACTAGTATAGTACAATAGAAAATACCCCTGAGGTGGAAAAAAGACATTCTTGCAGGAGATCCCACTCAGTCTTGCCACACGCAGGCCCAAGTCACCACAGTGACTGTAGTGCCAGGGGCAGGAATGGCCTGCTGCAGTGTGACAGTTCTGTCATAGGAGAGCTGCTTTGCTGGGCAGGCCCTTGACTCAGGATAATACTGGGAGGTTGACAAGGGTGAACATGCACTCGTGTGCAATGCTCTAGAAGATGCAATTATTGGGAGAGATTTTGAGAGGAGTCGACATTCTCAACAGCGAACTGAAAATAGAATGTTTGCATTTATCATGGCCTTATTCATTATTCACCTTGATGTAATCTGCAGAATAACATGGCTTGGAAAACATGGGTCAAATATACCTATAATTTGTATACAAGATACATTTTATGATTTCAAGGAGAAAAATAAAAAAGTAAAGAATAAATAAAAAAAGGAAATGTAAACTTAAAGACGAATCTTATAAAACTGCCTTCATTTTAGGTTCTTTACTTAAATATCTTAAACTATGTTTGAGGTGATTGTATCTTCTTAAAACTTGATAAATAATTCCCACATCAGACAGGCTATCTGCTGTCTATGATTAGAATGGCCACAATGACCTCAGAATATCCTCAGATATCAATTGAGGTTTCCATACTGCACAGCATTTTAAATAATATCTCAGGTATGTCTAATGTGGTCTTATAAGTTAGTGGTAGAAGAGGAGAGGGAGGGCTTGAGGAAAGGAAATGGAGAAAACATCACAGAGCATAAAGGGGGAAGGCTCTAGAATAAAAATTATATCAACCAATAGAAATCTAGAAATATAAAATACTTATTACCCATTTGCTTCCTTTATAATCATAATACATTTAAAAGTGTCCATCTTTTGTCTCTCAAATGATGGCTTTGATTAGGGCAGATTATTTGTTGTTGTTGCTACCTGAGATTAGGCAGATAGGCTACTGGGTTGCTTTTCCATCCTTAATAGCATTATAGCAGGATGATATGGTTTGACTGTGTCCCCACCCAAATCTCATCTTTACTTGTACTCTCATAACTCCCACATGTTGTGGGAGAAACTCAGTGGGAGATAATTTGAATCATAGGGGTAGTTTCTCCCATACTGTACTTGTGATAGTGAATAAGTCTCACGAAGTCTGATGGTTTTATCAGGAGTTTCTGCTTTTGCATCTTTCTCATTTTGTCTTGCCACTGCCATGTAAGAAGTGCCTTTCACCTCCTGCCATGATTCTGAGGCCTCTCCAGCCATGTGGAACTGTAAGTCCAATTAAACCTCTTTTTCTTCCCAGTCTCCGGTATGTCTTTATCAGACTAATAGACAGGATGTCTCAATTTTGGCACTATCGACATTTTGGGTGAATTACCTCTTTGTTGGAGGAAGCTTCCTTGTAGGATGTTTAGTAGTACTGATATGAAAGTAGGGCAGGGAAGTGCTAGGTAGAGAAGTTTGGGGTCCCTGGCAAAGGCTCCACCCTCAGGCCTGTGCCCATGGACCTAAATGAGGACAGGCATTTCTGTTTTCACACCCCAAAAATTGCCTTTTGGCCTGCCACGCCCCCATCCCATAAAAACCTGAGACCCTAGTGGGCATGGACATAGTGGCTGGACGTCAAGAGAAGCCCAAGAACACACTGACAGACACCAGCAGACACTGGCAGACTAGCAACGGCAGAACGACATGGACGCTGAGGGGAATTCAGCTGGGGGTGGTAGGAGGAGAGTCTGGTCTCTGGGCAGTCCGACTCCAGGGGAACACCACTTTCCCACTCCATCCCCCTTCTGGCTCCCCATTCATCTCATTTAGAGCTACCTCCACCACTCAGTAAAACCTTGCACTCATCCGCTAAGCCTATGTGAGATCTGATTTTTCTGGTACACTAGGGCAAGAACCCAGGATACATAAAGCCCTCTGTCCTTGCGATAAGGCAGAAGGTCTAATTGAGCTGATTAACACAAGCTGCCTGCAGACAGCAGAGCTGAAAGGGCAGGCTGTAACACATGCCCACTTGGGCTTCAGGAGTTGTAAACACTCACCCCTAGAGCTGCTGTGGGGTTGGAGCCCAAAAACACGCCCCACAACCTCTGCACCTGCCCATCTGCATGCTCCCCCTAAGGGTTTGAGCAAACCCCTTTGGGGTACCAAAGAAGCAAACCACACCCTTGTCCTATGTCCAGTGAGGGGGACGGGGAACTCTCCTGTTTCAGTATCACTGGCCACTACCTATTAGATATTATTAGCACCCTTCTCCCAGTTGTTACAACCAAAAATGTCTCAGATATTGCCAATGGTCTTCTAGGGGCAGAATTGCCTCCCATGAAGAACCACTTCATTATAGGGGCACTAGTGATCCAGCTACCCCTCTCCTTTCCATTGTGTGGCACCAGGCCAATAGTCCGCTGTGAAGCCTGCCACCATCCTCTTGGAGACATTTCCATAGTGCACCATAGCTGAGGTTTATGGATCTCAGTACTGTGCTACTTGACATTATTAGTTTATCTCTGACCTCTGGCAAAGTTCCCAAGCAATTTAAAAATAACTATTGTGTCTGGGTTGCTAAAAACATTGCCTCCAGATCTGAGAACTATTGATTATCCTACCAAGGCCCAACATTTCCAGTTTCTTATTATTTATGTATGCATTTAACCGATTTGGGAGCAACTTTAGGGTTCATGAAATTCAAAATCTAATAAGGTTAGCCAGGCCTAGTAGCTGCTTCTTCCATGGGAAATGCCTTTCTTCTTACCAGCAGTGTGTTGCTGCTCTCCAGGTCATGGGTTCTCTTGATTTACCTAAAGTGGACCTTTGTTCTGACCAGCCCTCTGCATTCAGAACTCTCATCTTAATGTTGCTGAGTCTGAATCAGATAAATTATTTCCTCTCTTCCTTTTACACTTTGTAAGGGCTTGCATTAACCAAAGAAATTTTTGATCATTTATTAGCATGACTTTGACTTTCCTGATTTGGTTATTGCTAAATTAGTGAAGCTTCAGAACAGGATAATAATTGATTTATATGTGAATTTCATAGATAGCCTGTTTATAAATGCATTCTGTAGCTCACCTAAATAGGAGTATACCCAGTTAAGGCAGTTCTTGGGAGGAGACTAACTACTCATGAGGTTTCTCTTCTTAACCAAACTCTAGACAGGCTCCTAGGAGCCTGTTGTGAATTCTTATAATTTTATTTTGTCTCACCATCCATTTTGAATACAAGTGAAACTTTCTCATACCAGAAGCCAGGCTCAGTGACCCTTGGCACAGCTTCCAGTTCCCACAGCCAATTTAACTCAAGAATTTATAAGGAGCACAGAAAGGTTGATTGAGAAAAGTGAGAAGAGATGAATCTGTGAAACATGTTGTGCTCTCTGGTGTTCATGGATGATGGAGGGAAGAAAGTTTACTAAAAGGTTCTGTGTCCTTTAGAGATCAAGCAGCTTCAAGAGAAGGAGCTTACTCTGGGGTGAGGTAAGGAAGCAGGGGCTGACTCGCTTATTAGGAGGCCAGTGAGTACTCACAAGTGAGGAGAGAAGGAGAATTTTGAAGAGAAGTGAAGTGAGCTCAGATTGTTGTGTTTCACCATTTCCTCTGAGACTTCCGTCAGGTGATAAGAAAATTTAAAAAAAATATATTGTTCTAATCTCTGTAGGATGCTAGAATCTTAAGAACGGACAGTTTTGTGCCTCGTAAATGAATTAGAATGAAAGAAATAGGTTGAAGCAGGGTCTTAAACTTACATATTTGAGAGAAGATTCTTTAAGAATACAAAATTAGGTACATGGCCCTGAAAGAGATGGAGCAAATGAGGGGCCTTGAAACTCAAGCTTTGTCAGCATCATGATAAATATGACTCTGGATTGAAATATCTTGGTCCTGCCTCAAATGTTCACTGGTGCAGGATTCGAAATCAAAGATGTAATGTTGGAAATGAAAGCTGCATTGTTGTGATTAGGGCCAGGAGCAAGAGATAACTCATGCTGAGGACAGAATAGAGTAACTGAGAAATAGCGTAAGACCTTCACAGTGATCTGGAACTCTCCCAGCTATTGTTGGAGGCAGTAGAGGAGAAGGATTGTGTGCAGGAACCAGGAAGCCTGTATTTGTGGGTAAGGAACCCAGGTAACCTTTTGGGAATCTCGAGTCAAGAGGAATTCAATGGGGCTTATCATCCAAAAATTCGGTTAGTGAGGCTAAGCCAGAGAAAGCCCGTTTTGTTACCTGTATTGTAGGTTCACTTTACTACCTTTCGCAGGTAGTGTGCCCCAGAATGGTTGGCATGAATGGGGTAAATTTTCATTAAAAAATGAAAGAAGATTTAAAATAAATTCTTGTTTTTGGAGGGTTGGGAGCACAGGGTCTCACTCTTTCACCCAGGCTGGAATGCAATGGTTTGAAAACTGCTCACTGAACCCTCGACCTCCCTGGCTCAAACAATCCTCCTGCCTCAACTTCCTGAGTAGCTGGGACCATAGGTGCATGCCAACATGTCCAGCTAATTTTTGTACTTTTTGTAAAGACTGGTTCTTGCCATGTTGCCTAGACTAGTCTCAATCACCTGTGCTCAAGCAATCTCACCTTGGCCTCCCAAAATGTTGGAATAAAGGCATGTAAATTAACTTCTTTTCTATGAAGTTAGTGTAGGAAGATTTATGTGAAACACAGTAGACTCCAGCTCATATTCAATGAGCTCCAATTAACTGCAATTCTTCATTCATTTGGTCAAACACGCTGAATAGTGTCCATGTCAGGCTTGATGTTATAGCTACTATGTCCTATCTAATATGCTCAGACATGCTTGCTCCCACCAGTCAATTTGTGTGCCAGTAAATGTTCTGTTGTGTTTATCCCTAAACTTTTTTATTGCTTATTTTGTTTTAATCTAATAGAGTAAAGCATAAACTGATAACGCACAGATGTGAAAAGAAAGGGATTATTGATTTTATAAAAACAGTGAAATGCTTACGTAAGACTTGTTGGAAGAGAGTTATTAAAAATGTATAGACACAGGGGTGGGTGAGACAATGATAATAAAAAAATGTAAAACTAGTAGGATTTTATATTCAGGTTGCTTTACAAGTACTCATAATTAGGTTATTGTTTTACTTCAAGATGCTGAAATAGAAAACAATTAACAATGCATGTGGCTGTGGTTTATGAAAGAACTGTGACTCAGAATGCAACTAACAGACCCTCAATAAAAGCTCTGCTCCTATGTCAAAATATTATATTTTTATGTACATTTATATATTTTATATGAAAATAAGGTATACAAGACACATAAACATTATTATTTTAATACCTGCTGTTATAAATTACATTTTCTCATAACTGATTAATACCAGCCCCAATTACAAAATGATATGAACCAGGGTTCCATCATTAATTTCAACTTCTTCCTCATTAGGACCTTCCTCATTAATAAGACCTTTAGTTAGATGCTGCCAACTGAATCCTTCCTTTTTGGGACCTTATGAATCTCCTCTCTTACCTACATGCTCTCATGCATGGCTTCTGCCCTGTTAATATTCTATATAGAAATGGTCACTTCCTTGTATCAGGAGCTTCAATAACCGTATGTGGGACTCTCTGTTTTTGCCCGAGTTCGCCTATGGAATAGCAACATTCTTGTTAACTGATTTCTAATGATTTTTTTTTTTCTTTCTGTTAATATAGTCTGCCAATTGAGCTCAGACAAAACCATTTTTACCTTTAGTTACTATTGGAACTGAGAGATGATTCTTTAGGTCCTAAACAGTTCTGAGGTGATTTGGCTAAGTCACACTAAATATAGAAATAGAAAGAACAAACTGAAATAAGATTATGGTTACAAAAATAAAATAATCTGTAAATGGTATTACACATAGAATCCCAACAATAAGACTTGTGATCACCACCACCACCACCACAATCATGCTTTCTTTAGGTGCCTGCAACATGATCATTTACTGGAGAAGACTTGTTCATTGAGCACTATTCTTTTTGTGCACTGTTCTAGAAAACTATTTTTCCTGATAAAAAGGCCAATTACTATATCGCTTATTACTCCAGATAATAAAGGCCCATTTTTCTCCAATAATGTTACTAATACAGGCATTATAGATTAAATTTACCACAAATGCCAGAAGACAAAAAGTCTGTATTTTCTGTTTCCCGGTCTTAATGACTACAAATCTGAAATGTGGTAAGATATAGGTTCTGAATGCAAAGAATCTGATCTGATCACCAACTTACTGAAACTTAGCATTATATATCAACCGTAGAACCAGCTTGTAAGACACAAAGTTTCTCATGTTCAGAGATTTTAGTTATTTGCTGTTCTGGCCATAAAGCAAAGTAATTTGGGTAGAGGTAGAAGTGCACTGACCATGTGATGGTAGTTAATGTCAGGGAAGTTTTTTGAGTTATTCTTAAAATTGTATGTCTTTTGACTTTGATTCAGCTACTGAGAAAGACTGACCTTCTATATCTTTATGTTTATATTCCTGTAGCTAAGGGCATGCAGATTCTTTACATGTCTAATTTCAACTTGACAGTCCCTTGAACTTTATAGTCCCTGCTCCCATTATCTGACACAATAATTTTATGAGGTCTAAATGCTAGGACTGGCTATGGTACTAACATTTTCACCTCTAGGACATCTAATTTGCAAGATTCTTTATGGGCCCACTCTTAGAGGGATAGCTGAATGCAAAGAAAATAAGAAAATACCTACTTTAATTGTTCCATCTGTGAGCATTCCCTAATAGAATTTAAAAGCAACTTAGGAGGAAATGCAAGGTGGAACATACTTTTCATCACAAGAAATGGTCAAGGATACCTATTGTTCATTGACTAACTGGCTTCACTTTGCTTATCATCATCTTTGAGAAGGAACTCTTATGTGAAGATATCTCTGTGTTATTATGAACTTCAATGTAACTCTCTTTTTGCCTGTTTTTCTCATATTTAGAAGAGTGAGATTGAAGTACTAATGATATAGAGCTGGTGTCAACACTTTTCTATTTTATAAACAGCCTTGATTTTTAAATTTTGTTTTCTAGGGACAATCATTATTGAGTCACATCACCTATTCTCTGTGTCTCCACCAACCAAGATTAATCATCAGACAATGGCTTCCAAAAGTAGTTATTATCTAGGTTTGAGCATAATTGCTGCTGAGCAAAAGAGGTCTTAGAATATATTACACACACACACACACACACACACACACACACACATAATGAAATATTTGTTTGGGTTTGGTTTCTTTTGAGATATAAGTTGTTGTAGATGAAAATCACCAGTGAGGAACAACCCTAAGTTTGAAATAGAAAAAAAGATGCTGTACTTTGATCTGGTGTGTGATATGATACCTTGAGATGGCCTTGTTGCTATGTACATGCTTTATCCTTATGGGACCAGATAGCATCTGCTTAGCTCTTTGGGGGAGAATTATTACTATGTGATAATGGTACTGGTTGGTCCCTTATGTGTATCTTGGGAAGTAAGTTTGGGGAAGTTAGAAACATAGGCTTTTTACTACTGATGGAATGCCTAGTGAAGGCTAATGGGAATGCAGGTGTGTTGACTTCCTCCACTTCTGTAACATGGGGTATTCTAATGACTAACATAATTTTAAAATAATGATTCTTTAAAGCTAAGATTAGGTTTGCAAAACTATTGTCATTGTCCACATTGACTTGGATTCCAGGTACCATGCCTAGAGGCTCTGGATTCAGCAGAATTTTTCTTTCTTATAGTCATTAGAAAACAGAAGAGGATGTGCCAGAAAGCTTACATTCTGTGAAATCATCTGTAGTTATTTGGTATGGGACTACTGCTCTCAAACATAAAGGTGCCTATTCCACCTTCAGAAATTGAAGTGTGTATATTTCTACTTTGGTCCAGCTTTCCTTTCATAGCAAGTTCTCAGTTTAGGCTTAGGTCTAGGGCATCTCAAAACCAGGTTCCCACCTTAGCAGACCTTACTTCTAAGTCTTTTTGAGTACTAAATTCTAAAGAGAGAGAGACACAGAGAGAGAGAGAGAGAGAGAGAGAAGGAGGAGGAGAGAGAAGAGGCCACAATGGCTCAAGGACAGTTGTCAAAACGCAAGGAAGATTCTGAATGTAACAAATCTCCCACTCACTTTCTTTTTGCTGGCTCATGGTTGAGGAGGCTGCAATAAATAAAAGACTGAAAACCAAGTTTTTTTTTTTCCATTATTGTCTCTGTAACTTATTGATGGCACAGTGTTCCAAAGGAGATGTGCTAGGGACACCTACCATGATTGTAGGCAGCACTAAGACTAAGACCTGTAGTAGTGACACATGCCAGGGCCCTCCATGCAGACAGCTTAGCCTCATCACTTTAACTGGCTGCCTGCAGACAGACAGACGGGTGGCTGCAGCCAGGGTAGCTTTTGCATGGATCATTGTTAGCTGTGGCATTGCCTTCACTAGGCATTCCATCAGGAGGCCTTAAACAAACAAAAGTCCAGTAATATATGCCATGTTATAGCTTAAAGGACTAGTCCATAAAATGAGCATGTAAGACACTTGCTGAGGGTTCCACAGTTTGAATTTCTGCAGTGAGTGGGGATAAACCTAGAGATACTGAACTTTGTGATAAATGTGATTATCTTTCAATATACTTATTATACTCATTTATACATGTATTTATAAATTATAATATATTCAAATCATATTTATTATGACTCCTTATATATTACATCATTATGTATATTAAGATCTACTTTTTGCTGTCTGTTCTTAACCACCAATTTATGTTTATTCTTATACCTTCACTACATTTGAGATTATTTTGCCTTGAAAATATGAATTATCAATTTCATAAGTCTAGTTTCTTGTACTCCTCAAAATTACCTTTGACATTCTTACCTATCTGTTCTTTCAGATGCTATAGGTTTCTGTTCTTATAAACCTCAGATCCTTTGCAGAGGTAAGATAGGGAATAAATGAAACGTTAATGAAAGAATTCACATGCATACCTGCATACATCTATGAACAAAAAACCAAGCAGGCATATTCTTCCTTAAAGATTTAGTTGTTTTCCTACATCTATCAGAATAAGGTCCAAATCCTTTAGATAGATATCCAAAGGCTTCCAGAATCTGAGTTGAATTTTCCTTTACATCATTGCCATGGGTCTTTCCTCACACCAGGATGGTTTACTTCCTCCAAAAGCCAGCCCTTTATTTTTGAGTGTCTTTGCCCATGCTGTGTACTTTTTTTTTTTTTTTATTATACTTTAAGTTTTAGGGTACATGTGCACAGTGTGCAGGTTTGTTACATATGTATACATATGCCATCTCCTTAACTCCATCTAGTAAACCATATCTATTTTCTTGGTCCACCACAGGGCCCAACCCCAGGGACCTTGAACTCTTTCTCCTTTGAATTCAGAGCCCACTCATCTGTACTAGAACTCAATATGTACCTGATGTTGATGTCCTGCCTTATTTGGTCCTTTAATGTTTATGCCTTGTGTCCACAATAATGATGTAAGGTCTGTTATCAGAGAGAGTACCTCTCTATCTTCATGCCCTCAGGCCTCACATGGTTCCTGAAGCGCAGTGGGGCCCGAATATGCTCTTATTGCTTGCTTGATTGATTGAAGTGCATAAAATAGGGGGAAGAGGCTAGTAACAAACTGGAATAGGGTTGAAAAAAAAAAGAGAAATGGCAGGGAGGCTAAAATTCCTTTAGTTTTAACTTCAAGGTTTACTGCTTGCCATAGATAAGCTGCTATTACAGATAAGCCTCTTCAGTCCCAGAACTCTCCCTCAGTTGCTGCTGCTTCACCAATGATAACACGGGGAGGGGAGGGGGAAGAATGAGAGGGAGGAAGAATTGGGACTTCACATCTGCCTCCCTCCCTGAATCTTGGCAGAAGACTTCTGTAATCCAGTGCACAGTCAAAACATAAGCACCTTTGAAATGCTTCCCTGACCCCTATCTTCAGATATTCACAGCTATTGGGATTCACTCTGAGGACTTTTTATTTTTTTTACAGTCACTTCATTACTTCAACCACTTACAAGCATATACTTCTTTGCTTCATTTTCTGTTTAGTTTTTCCAACTGCTGCTCTCCTTTTTATCCCCTTCTCTCCACTGACTCTTCTTTACATTTGCCAAATTACATGTAAGGGAACTGCTTAGTTCTTCTGGGGGCACACACATTTAAAGAACTGCTTGGCCTAGGTTATTTGATGGGGTTTTTAGAAGTTATAAAATGCAGTTTTACAGTATTGTATTAAGTAAGCTAGGAAGTAAATGAGGCCACGTTTGCAAAGTGAAGTGGAAATTTGTACATTACCTTGTAGAACTGGGCTGTAGAGAGTGTTAAATCAGATCATTCAGGCCCTAGGTTTTTTTTTTTTTCTCTTATCAATTATGAAACGTAACTGTCTATACGACCTGAATTTAATAGATATTAACTGCTTCACAAGATTGAACTGACTTAATATACCTACTCCAATTGGGTCCTTGGCCTTGAACAAGAGTTCTGGGCACCCTGGAGTTAAGCCACCAAGGGCTTAATTGCTTCAGATATCTCTGCTTGTTTGTAATTTGGATTTTGTTTGCTTCTAGTCCCTCAGGAGTGCTTTATGCTGTTCAGTTAATTGAAAGTGGCTAAAACTGAATGAGGCAGCAGCATTGCAGGTGGCATCTTTGGGATCAATTTGAGAAGACTATTGAAATCCTCTTGCTTAGTTTAATAATTATCTCTGATTGAGGTAGGATTTCAGTCTTGAGATGAATAGGAGATTCCAAAAGTTTCCCATAGGCTTTAGGGAATAGAAATTCCCCAAGCAATTAGCTTTTCCTAGAGGGTGTTTCTATTTAATAGTGCAGTTGATGATGTTAGAAAATGGAGTAGAAATGACATGGGGGGAATTACACACAAAAGACAGGGAAGAATAAAAAGGCAGTTATTAAAGACTTGGAGTGAAAGATAAAGAAATTTACAAAGATATCTCAAGTAGCTCGGTAAGGGGAGAAACTACAGAGGTGAATATAGAGAAAAATGAAGCCCATTTTAGGATTTTAAAAGAAAATTATTATTGTAAAAACATAGAAAAGCATTTCTAAAGCACAAAATAATACTAGCATTTCAAAATAATGTAAAAGGGATATTAGAACTAGCATGGACATGGATAGAGGAAAGAAAGGGAAAAGCTTTAAACAATAAAAAAGGCAGTTTTTGAATAAATAATAAATAGGATATTGGTTGTTTTTCTTTTATATTTTTGAATCACTCCATTCAAGTTTGTATGTGTTGTACCCTCCAAGTTCTTGTAAAGTTTTGAAGCTATGCTTCTTATCTTAGCATTCTGATACCTGGAGTGATATATGACTCTACCAACTTACAATTCTTGGCCAGGTATACATTAGTGACATCTTAGAGTTGAAAAACATTAAAATATCATGTAGTCCAGCTTCTTGGTTAAAGCCAGTTATGTAATTCAATGGAGCCACTGAGTTCCACGGCAATCACATATGTTTTTCAAGATAGTGAAGAAGGAAGGAGATAGCCCTTAGAATCTACTGAATGACAGTAACTCTGCTGATTATACACAATGCTTAGAGCTAGAAATAATTGAGAACTTGTGAGGTAGGCATTGTACTGAGGGCTATACACCTACAAATCACTCTCAAACTCACAATGACTCTATATTGTAGGTTTGAAGAAGAGCAAATTATGAATACACAATTATATGTGAAAGTAACATATATTTAGAAAAAGAAAAAAGTCACAAAATTTTGCAAATCACAAAATGCTGACAAATACCACAGATAACACATTTAAAACATAGTATCTTTATTAACTGCATAGTTGCCTTGCACACCTCTGTAAGTCTTTGACTTTTGATATGATCAATAAGTATAAAATGTATATTTAATCTGAAATCAAGGCATAAACAAAAGGAAATTAAATGCATTTACAAAATGTGGCTATATTGTATTGAGCTACATAATTGTGTAATCACATTACTCTTAAATTGCATACATTGCCTTACTGATCAATATGCATGGGAGTTTTTGTCACTGGAGCACTTGGTTCTTCTGACTGTTTTGTTGCCTTAGTAGTAATTTCACTCACTGGTTTGTCTGAATGTGTCAGAGAGTTCAGGCCAACATGCATCAGATATGCTAAGATATACTACAATACCTTGAGATGCACATTGCAGACAACTTCACATTCTGATGTCCTGGCTTTTTGTAGCACTGTTAGAGGAATGTGCCCTATAAACAAAAGAATTTGGGGCAGTTCAACTTTGTGCCCAATTCTCATTTAAAAATGTGTTATATGTTTATAATTGTACGTGCTGTGTTATTGAGTATATTCCAGTCAGGTAGTAATTTTTATTTTCTCTAGGCTCTATGAGATTTAAATGCACTGCTTATAATTTTATACCACTGATGACTGTAAGAAATTTCCACAGGCTGCCTCCTGATCACGCAGATTTCAAACATTATTTCTTCTCTATTATTCTGACTTCCAATACTGAGAGATGTAGGGCATGTTCATAGAACAGGAACTCTAATACCATTTGTTTCATGGAACTGGGTGAGTTCAAACAGTGAGAGGTGCAAGTGTTCTGAAATCCATTTCTATACCTGGATGGTTAACAATAAGCTCACTATACACAGAACCAATTGTGAACCACATAATACATACCCCATTAAACCCAAATGAAATATATCCTCCTCTGAAATTCTCCTTTGTGAGATCGCCAAAATGCCGACAGTCACTCTAGTGCCATCTGTCACAGGGGAAGAGTGATGAAAGGGAAGTAAGAGTGTAGAGAGACAGTGGTGTTTACTGATTAAGGTTAAACTATCTTTCTTCCAAATTTTCCATAGATGTGTGAACATGTGAACACATTTTTGGAACTTTTTCTAGGGCCTTGTAAGAGCTCCATGCAAGTGAGGGTCCCTGAGTCCTAAAGTTCCATTCATTTCATGACAAATCCATCTCTGGCAATGCATAATTTATTCAAATAATTCAGGAAAGTTTCAATGGAAATATTATGACTCAATTTTCCAAATAGATTTTAATAATCCTATATCACCTCTAACTATTCTATTTTTAGCCATTAACTGTTATTCAAATCTTTTATAAAATATAGTGTTTCATTTATTATCACTTTTTTTTATTATTATACTTTAAGTTTTAGGGTACATGTGCACAATGTGCAGGTTAGTTACATATGTATACATGTGCCATGCTGGTGTGCTGCACCCATTAACTCGTCATTTAGCATTAGGTATATCTCCTAAAGCTATCCCTCCCCCCTCCCCCCACCCCACAACAGTCCCCAGAGTGTGATGTTCCGTTTCCTGTGTCCATGTGTTCTCATTGTTCAATTCCCACCTATGAGTGAGAATATGCAGTGTTTGGTTTTTTGTTCTTGTGATAGTTTACTGAGAATGATGATTTCCAATTTCATCCATGTCCCTACAAAGGACATGAACTCATCATTTTTTATGGCTGCATATTATTCCATGGTGTATATGTGCCACATTTTCTTAATCCAGTCTATCATTGTTAGACATTTGGGTCAGTTCCAAGTCTTTGCTATTGTGAATAGTGCTGCAATAAACATGCGTGTGCATGTGTCTTTATAGCAGCATGATTATGTTCCTAGAAGGCAATCACAGTTATAAATTTTTCTATCCCCCAATATACCTAACTCAGTGCTTTGCATAATCAATGAATATATAGTGAATTGATTAGAAACAAATTAAATAATCAGAAAATGGACTACATGTCTTTTCCTCATAGCAATTAAGTGTTTCACCATAGATATGAGAAAATTAGGCACCAGATTAAAAACTGGTGAGATGGCCTTGGGTGTTTAATACTTGACAGCACAAATGACCAGTAAACCTCCTGACACTGTCTTGATTTCAGTGGGTTGTTTGGTTGTGCTGGTTGAGGATAGATGTGATTGCTGCTGTTCTTTGAGCTTTTTGGCAAAAGTAATACAAACTAACACATATTGAATAATTATTTTGTGGCTGGCACTATTCTAAGTGTTTTTTACAGGTATTAAGTCATTTAACTCTCAAAAGAAACTTAGCAGGTAGATACTATAATTATATCCATTTTAATTCTGAGGAAGTTTAGGCACAGAGGCTATGCAGTTTGGAAACTGGAAAGACCATGCTCTGAAACACTAAGATCTACTGTCTCACAACACGAACACTGTAAACTCAAGAAACCAGTGGAATTTCCTTATCTCGGAACCCCTGTCATTGATCACCTTGTTGAAGTACTCTCACTGCCTCTGAGGCCATCAGAAAGAAATACAAAATTCAGGTTAATCTCCACTTTTTCCAAGGCTCCAGTAGAGTCATACCTGAGGAATAAGAAATGTGTAAACTCACATGAACAAAAAGTACAGAAGAGAAGATAAATTTTCGAGGCTAGAAAATAGATGCACATAGCAAACAAAAGAAAACTGGAACCTAAGTTAAGAGGAAGGTGATCCAGATGATTTGTGGGACAGAACCACGGAAGCCTCAGGAACTCCAGGCACCAAATACCTCTGAAGGTCCAGGGGTAGGGCCAGGTGAGGTGAAACAGGATAACTATATGGAAATCTGTATAAGAATCAGTTAGATAAACAGATCCTTTCTCAGTCATGTTTAGGACATTGATAATAATAGGTAATAAAGATCAGTTCTTCCCACACTCCCATTCACAATAGCCACAAAAATAATATAATACCTAGGAATACAGCTAACCATGTAGGTAGAAGACCTCTGCAGTGAGAATTACAAAACACGGCTCAAAAAATCAGAGATAATACAAATGAATGGAAAAACTTTCAATGATCATAGATAGGAAGAATCAACATTGTTAAAATGGACTGCTGCTTAAAGCAATTACAGATTCAATGCTAATTGTGTCAAACTACCAATGACATTCTTCACAAAATTGGAAGAAAAAAAACTATTTTAAAATTCATTTGGAACTGAAAAAGAGCCTGAATACCCAAGGCAATCCTAAGCAAAAAGAACAAAGCTGGAGGCATCATGTTACCTAACTTCAAACTGTACTACAAGGTTACAGTTATCAAAGCAGCATGGTACTGGTACAAAAACAGATAGACAAATGGAACAGAATAGAGATCCCAGAAATAATGCCACACATATACCACTATCTTTGACAAAGTCATACACACACACAAAAAGCAAAATAGGGAAAGGACTCCCTATTCAGTAAATTGTGTTGGGATAACTGGCTAGCCATATGCAGAGGACTGAAACTGGACTTTCTTACACCATATACAAAAATCAATTTGAGATGGATTAACAACTTAAATATAAAACCTAAAACTATAAAAATCCTGGAAGATAACCTGGGAAATACCATTCTGGACATAGGCCTTGGCAAGAATTTCACAAGTAAGATACCAGAAACACTTGCAACAATATAAAAAATTAGCAAATGGGACCTAATTAAACTAAAGAGCATCTGCACAGAAAAATAAACTATCAACAGAGTAAATGGATGACCCACAGAATGGGAGAAAATATTTGCAAATTATGCATCCAACAAATCTCTGATATCCAGAATGTATAAGGAACTTAAACAAACTAACAAGCAAAAAACAAACCACCCCATTAAAGAGTACACAAACAGGCTGGGCACGGTGGCTCACTTTTGTAATCCCAGCACTTTGGGAGGCTGAGGTGGGCAGGTTACTTGAGGTCAGGAGTTCAAGATCAGCCTGGCCAACATGGTGAAACCCCGTCTCTACTAAAAATACAAAAATTAGCCGGGTGTGGTGGCTGTAAGCCCAGCTACTTGGGAGGCTGAGGCAGGAGAATTGCTTGATTCTGGGAGGTGGAGCTTGCAGTGAGCCAAGATTGCACCACTGCACTCCAGCTTGGGCGGCAAAGGGAGACTCCATCTCAAAAATAAATAAATAAAATAAAATAAAAATTAGACAAACAACATGAACACTTTTTGAAAGAACAGAACACATGTATGTGGCCAGAAAGGTGTAAAAAAGTGTCCAGCATCACTAATCATTGAAGAAATGCAAATCAAAACCACAGTGAGATACCATCTCACACCAGTTAGAGTGGCTATTATCAAAAAGTCAAAAAATAACAGATGCTGGTGAGGTTGCAGAGAAAAGGGAACACTTACACACTGCTGGTGAGAATGTGAATTACTTAAACCATTGGGGAAAGCAGTGTGGCAATTTGTTAAATAACTTAAAACAGAATTACTATTTGACCCAGCAATCTCATCATTGGGCAAAATAAACTATCAACAGAGTAAAAACATGACCCACAGAATGGGAGAAAATATTTGCAAACTATGCATCCAACAAATCTCTGATATCCAGAATGTATAAGGAACTTAAGCAAACTAACAAGCACAAAACAAACCACCCCATTAAAAAGTAGACAAACAGGCTGGGATTGGAGGCTTTCCAAGTACAATTACAAATATACCCAAATGAATATAAATCATTCTACCATAAAGACACATGCACACATATGTTCATCACAGCAGTATTCACAATGGCAAAAACATGGAATCAATCTAAATGCCCATCAGTGATAGACTAAAGAAAGAAAATGTGGTACATATACAGTGTGAAATACTATGCAGCCATAGAAAAATGATGTTCTATCTTTGGCAGCAACATGGATGGAGCTGGAGTCCATTATTAGGTACTATACTTATTACCTGGGTGATGAAATAATCTGTACGCAAAACCCCCATAACACACAATTTGCCTATAGAACAAACGTGCACATGAATGTTTGAACTTAAAAGTTTAAAAGAATCAGTTCTTTCAGTGAGATAAATTACAAAATTTGAATAAAATGCAAGATTTATCTTTTTAGAAGCATCAAATGCTAAAAGTTAGCAGTGAGGTAGTTGGGGTCAAATGTTCCAATCCAGGAGATGGTATACTCAGAGAAGTTCCATTCCGCATCTCACTCTTGATCCTCCATTCTCATTTCCCTATTCTCTCCACCTGTTTTTACCTCCTCTCTGTAGGTGATCTTTCTCATTAGATTCTAGTTTATCCTTTTAGTGTTCCATTTTGCACAAATGAGCAGATCCCTATATATTTTGTTGTATCCTTTTATTTGTTATATAAAAGGCAGCATATACTATAGGTACACTTTTGCACTTTGCTTTTCCATTTGATTTTATATCTTGGAAATCACTCCCTATCCGTTCATAGAGTTTTGCCTCGTCATTTTTTATAGCGGTGTAGTATTCCGCTTTGTGGGTGCCATAGTTTATTCACCCATTCTCCTCATATAGGCATTTAGATTGTTTTCCAAGTACAGTTGCAAACAATGCTATAATGAATAACATTACATATACATTTTCATATTGTTGGAGGCATATGTTCAGGATAACTTCAGGAGTCAAAAGTATGTGCATAAGTAGTTTTATTAGATATTGCTAAATCCTCCTTTAAAAGTTATACCATGCCAGGCACGGTGGCTCACGCCTGTGATCCCAGCACTTTGGGAGTCCAAGGTGGGTGGATCATGAGGTCAGGAGTTTGAGACCAGCCTGGCCAACATGGTGAAACCCCGTCTCTACTAAAGATACAAAACATTAGCTGGGCGTGGTGGCTCGCACCTGTGATCCCAGCTATTCGGGAGGCTGAGGCAGGAGAATCAGTTGAACCCAGGAGGTGGAGGTGGCAGTGAGCCAAGATCACTCCATTGCACTCCAGCTGGGGTGATAGGGCGAGACTCCATCTCAAAAAAAAAAAAATTTATACCAGTTTTCATTCTTAGTAAAAATGTATGAGAGTACTTGTTTCTCCACAACCTCACCAACAGAGTGGATTGTCATACTTGTACAATTTTCAGTTATCTAATAGGTGCCAAATTTATATTTAAGTGTTATTTTTATTAACATTCCTTTTTCTTCTTTTTCTTGAGACAGGGTCTCACTCCTGTTGTCTGGGCTGGAGTGCCGTGACGCGATCACAGCTCATTGTAGCTACTACTAAGTAGCCTACCAGGTAGCTGGGACTACAGAACTGCGCCACCATGCCCGGCTAATTTTTAGTATTTTTTGTAGAGATGGGGCTTTGCCATGTTGCTTAGTGTGGTCTCTGACTCCTGGGCTCAAGGGATCCGGCCTCCTCAGTCTCCCAAAGTGCTGAGAATACAGACATGAACCACGTCTTAAAGTTTCTTTGATTATAAGTGACTTTGAATACCTTTTCTCATGTTTAAAGGACTACTTTTCACTTTTTATTTGAGTTGTTTTCCTACCTTTCCCCCATTTTTCCATCAGATACTTGGTTCTTTGTCTCTCAGTTTTTAAGAGTTCTTTCTATATTAGGGATATTATCTATTTGTGATATATTTTGCAAAGATTTTCTCCCAGTTTGTCAATGTCTTTTGACTTTTGTATTATATTTATTTTATTTTATATTTATTTTGTCATTCAAATACTTAAAAAAATTTATGTATTCAAATATAGCAATCTTTTGTTCCCTCTGGATTTTGAATCCTAATTAGAAAGGCTTTTCTAGTTGGACCCTGGTGCTCATTCCTGTAATCTCAACAGTTTGGGAGGCCGAGGTGGGAGAATCAGTTTAGCCCAGGAGTTCAAGACCACCCTGGACAATATAGTGAGATCTTTGTCTCTACAAAAAAAATTAAAAATGTATCTGATCCTGATGGTGTGCACCCACAGTCCCAGCTACTCAGAAGGCTGAGGTGGGAGGGTTGTTTGAGCCTGGGAGGCAGAGGTTGCAGTAAGCCAAGATTGTACCACTGC
Organism: Homo sapiens; assembly: GCF_000001405.40. Lineage (NCBI taxonomy): Eukaryota > Metazoa > Chordata > Mammalia > Primates > Hominidae > Homo > Homo sapiens. Next base: position 118,428,049 of record NC_000003.12, on the reverse strand, counting down.
ACTCTAGCCTGGGCAACAGAGCAAAATCCTATCTCAGAAAAAAAAAAAAAAAAGAAAAAAAGAAAAAAAAGCTTTCCCTACACAAAAGTTAAAAGGAATTCAACTGTAATTTCTCCAAACCCTAACAGCTAAAGAGACAAATAGTGTCTGACTTTGAGCTTAGTCAGTTTATTTCATTTAGGTCCCTGATCCAATAGGAACTTACTCTAGTTCATGGTGTGAAGTAAAGATACAATTTTGTTTTTTTCTAAATAACTAGCCATTCCAGGACAACTTAGAGTCTATCTTTGTCCCAGTGGTTTGAGATGCTACTTTTATGACATTCTAACTTTTCATATGCACTTGGGATTATTTCTGGGCCGTTTTATGCTATTTACTGGCATATTTGTTTATTCATTTTCTAGTAACACATCATTTTGATTGTATAAGTTTTACAGTATTTTAAAATATGCAATAAGGGAAAGCTACCCTTGTGGCTTTCTTTTTTGGTGTTTTCCTTTCTATTCTTGCATGCTTGTTTTTGCATATATTACTATGCATATATCCACATTACTAATGTGGATTTGACACAGTATCTTGATTCGTTCAGCAGATGTAAGACAACATTAGTACAAAAAAAAGTCTACTCAATGCACTAGTATCACCTTCCCAATGGAGAAAGAAACAGAATCCCCAAAGGCAAGTATTTAGGAACAAATCATTTATAAGAGTATGAAAAGTTTAGGAGGTGGTCTGACATTTTTCCCTATTTCTGTTTTGCCTCCACCTAACACCTTTCCCTAAGATTTGAAAAGTGTGTTAATGTTAATACAAGAATTGAAAAATCTACAAACAAAAAAATCAACAAAACATTTTTGCCTAAGAGGATGGAGCAAAGTGTCATTTAATGTGATTGCTGTTACATGTCTGTTATTGATTTCACCATCATTTTTTTCATGTCCTTCCTTCCGTCTTGGTGTCTCAGGAAGAACTTACTCCTGTGGGCAAGACAGTGGCCATTATTACTGACTAAACTCAAAGTCAGACACTTACTATTGGCCTCCTTAACTGTCAGGGTTTGGATAACATTTAAACCAGTGACTTTGGAGGATTATGGATTTAGTTTTCTTGCTTCCTGACACTGCAACTTAAATGGAGTGAATTCATTTGAGGGAAAAATATTTGTTCTATTTTGTGTTACATGTGTAAAGTAATTTATCATTGCATTAGCGTTCTGGGTTGCACCAAATCAGTGCTGGAACTTCTAAAGAAAGTTAAGTTGACAATGATGAAGAATATGATTTGAAAAAATAGCCAGTAAAATAATTATTTTTTTCACCTTCATTCTTCTTGACTTCCTCCACTCTAACATTTTGTTTCTTTTGTTTTGAGACAGAGTCTCGCTCTGTCGCCCAGGCTTGAGGGCAATGGCGCGATCTCGGCTCACTGCAACCTCCACCTCCCAGGTTTGAGCAATTCTCCTGCCTCAGCCTCCAGAGTAGCTGGGACTACAGCACTCCACTGTTTTTTAGTGTTCCCAACTTATGGGCAGTGACAGGCCATTGTTAGGAAGGAAAATAACAGAGTTCCTTGAAGCTAACTTACCAGACATTACATTTTTTAAAAATCACAAAAACACCACAAACATTTAATTATTGTGAGAAAGAAAGCTGATTGAGAGATTTTACTAAACTTTAAGTCAAAGTACATATTGATGGTGGACCTATTTATTGTGATCAATGTCAGAATTTAATTCCAGATTTTCCAACATGATTTTAATTTCAGAAAGAAGAGGCTGTTAATAATAAACTTCCATGAAAAATTAAAGAGACAGTCTATGTAGTTGAACAGATGGAAAATTTGAAAGAACGTTCCAAAATTGCCGTCTCTTTCATTTTTCTAACAACTTATCAAATATTCACACCAGAATTCTTTCTTGTACATCTTAAATTATGAATGAAAAATGTGAACCAGTGGCATTCAGTTGCAAACTTAGCCTTATTTCTTACCTTTTAAAAATATTCTTTTTCTCCCTGTGTGGTTCCTCTTCAAGACACTTTTATTTACCAATGCATTTTTTTGCATAACAAAGTTACTATTTACATACTATCAAACTTACCCTTTTAAAATGTACAACTTGGTCATTTAAGTATGTTTACAAGGTTACAGCACCATTACTACTATCCAGTTTTAGAACATTTGTTCACTCCAAAAGAAAATCCCCTTTCTGTTAGCGGTCATTTCCCAATCTTATCTCCCTCTACTTCATGGAAACCACTAATCTATTCTCAGTCATTTTATATTGCCACATACCATATGATTATATATATTTGAAATGCAATCATATGATATGTGTTATTTGTGATTGGCTTCTTTCACTTAGCATAATGCTTTTAAAGTATATTCACTTTGGAGCATGAATCAGTGTTTCATTCTTTTTATTTCCAAATAATATTGCATTGTATAGCTATGCCTCATTTTGTTTTGCCCTTGTTCAGTTAATTAATATTTGGGCTGATCTCACTTTTTGGTTATTATGAATCATGTTATTATGAAGATTTGTGCACAAGTTTTATTTTTGGCAGATGTATGTTTTTATTTCTGTCGGATATATACATAGGATTGGAATTGCTGAGTCATATGTTAACTCTGTTTACATTTTGAGGAACTGACAAACTGTTTTCCAAAGCAATTATAAAATTTTACATTCCTACCAGCAATATAACGTTTTTCTATCTCTTCGCATCCTTACCAACACTTGTTATTGTCTGTGCTTTTAATTTTGGGCATCCTAGTAGATATAAAGTGGTAAGTAATTGTGATACTATTTTGTATTTCCATAAAGCCTAGCCTAAATGATAAAGCATATTCCCGTGTGTTTATAGACCACTTATGTGTCTTATTTGGGGAAATGTTTATTCAGATGCTTGGCCTATTTGTCAGTTGTGTCATTTGTCTCATTATTATGGAGTTGCAAAATTTTCTTATGTATTTTTTCTGAATACCAGCTACTTAATAGATACATGATTTCTGAATACTTTCTCTGCTGTGTGTTTTCACTTTCCTTATGGTATTCTTTACAGATAAAATAGTTTTTAATTGTAATGAATTTCAACCAATCTATTTTTTTATTTGTGTTTTTAGTGTTTTATCTAAGAAACTATTGCCTAACCCAAGGTCTCAAAGTTTACTACTGTCTTTTTCTAAGACTTTTATGTTTTTAGCATTTACATGTATATTTATTATTAATTATTAGTTAATATTTGTGCATCATGTGTGGTAGGAGCCCAAATTCATTCTTTTTAAAATTGATGTATAACAGTTGTACATATTTATGTGGTACATATGATATTTTTATATCTGTATATAATGTGCAATGGTCAAATCAGGATAATCGGGATATACATCAACTGAAGCATTTATCTTTTCTTTGTGTCGGAAACATTACAATTCTTCTCTTCTAGTTATTTTGAAATGTAGAATAAATCATTAACTATTTTCCTTCATACTATGAAATATTGGAACTCATTTTTTCTATCTAACTGTATTTTTGTACCATTTAACCAACTTCTCTTTATCCTCTCCTCCCCCTTTCCCTTTCCAGCCTCTGGTAATCACCATTTTCTCTCTACCTCTTTGAGATCCAGTGTTTTAGCTCCTGCTTATGAGTGAGAACACGTAATATTTGTCTTTCTGTGCTCACAATGACCTCGAGTTCCTTCCCTGTTGCTGCAAATGACAAGATTTCATTCTTTTTTTCAGCTGAGTAATATTCCATTGTGTATACATATTACATTTTTTTTTTATCCATTCATACACTGATGGACACTTAGGTTGATTCTATGTCTTAGATACTGTAAATAGTGTTGCAGTAAACATGGGAGTGCAGATATCTCTTTGATATATACTGATTTCCTTACTTTTGAATATAAACCCAGTGGTGGGATTGCTGGATCATGTGGTAGTTCTATTTTTATTTTTTAAAGAAAACTCCATACCTTTCCATAATGACTACACTGGTTTACATTCACGCTAATGGTGTACAAGCATTACCCTTAATCTGCATTCTCTCCAGAATTTGTTATTTTTTGACTTTCTGATAATAGCCATTTTAGCTGCAGTTGATATCTCATTGTGGTTTTGATTTGCATTCCCCAGATGATTAGTGATGCTGTCCTTTTTTTTTTTCCATATACCTCTTGGCCATTTATATATCTTCTTTTGAAAAATGTCTATTCAGATCGTTTTGCTTGTTTTTAAGTCAGACCATTTTTTTGATATGTGTTTGAATTCCTTATATATTCTGGTTATTAATCCCTTGTCAGATGAATAGTTTGCAAATATTTTCTCATATTCTGTAAGTTGTCTCTTCACTTTGTGATGGTTTTCTTTGCTGTTCAGAAGTTGTTTAGCTTAATGTTATCTCATTTGTCTATTTTTCCTTTTGTTGTCTGTGCTTTTGAGGTTTACTCCCCCAAAAAATCTTTGCTCAGACCAATGTCCTATAGCTATCTCATTAGGGTCGGTCACTGGCTTCTTGCTTTGTCCATTTGGGGAGGTCATGGTTGCCTGCCTGCTGCTGTTTCTTGTGGGCATATCTTCATATTGAATAATTAGTTATTTATTCCAGTCTTCTCTATCTGGCTTGTTTTGTTTTTCTTGGACATATTTACTTAGAGGTTCTTTGCAATTTACCTGTTGGATTTCCTTTCTGCTAAATTACTACATCCTTTTTTGGGATCGGATGGCACCTTAAGCTCCACTTTGCCTTGGCTGTAGAAAATTTTTGGAATGCTATCTGTCCCATATGGGGTACGTCCCATAGAGGATACCCCAGCTGTGTGGGAGGGCTATCTAGGGGTTTGTGCCCAGGAGACCAATGGAACATGCCTACTATATAGCATGATGCTGATGAACAGCCCATTCTGACCTGACAGCTCTTTTGGAGATACAGAGCAGAGATTTTATGGGCTGGGGATTGTAGTCCACCTCTTCTCTTTGTCTCTGGCGGCCCTAAGGGGTTTTTCTCTCCACAGGCACTTTCAATGTTTTCCTTGAGTGAGGCAGAAACAGTTCTCCTGAAAGCGAACATCAAATGGTGGGAAAGTTGGTTGTCTACCTCAATCTCACTTTTTCCAGTGTAGAAACTGTGAGTCTGGGGGAGATTTTACATGTGTAGTGCCTAGTATATTAAACAAGGGGCATCATCAACATAGAAGTCTGAAACTCTTATCATCTGCTTGGAGTTTTATCACTTCTCTGTGGCCCCAGGGATTGTCTCATCCTTAGACTTGACTTCTGAGATATTGCTAGTGATAATCCTGGTGCTGGGTATTTGTTTTTGGCTTTCTTGGGCTTGGGGCGGGGAGTGAAGCTGGATTGCTTCTATTCTGTCATTTTGGTGACAAAACTCTCCCAAATGCTTCTTTTTTAAATGTCTACTGTTAAGATCATGTGTTTTTGGTCCTTTAATCTATAAATATGGTCTATTACACTGACTGACTTTGGGATATTAAACAGATTTTTCATTCTTAGAATAAATTCCATTTGATCATAGCATAAAATTATTTTAAAGTGTTGGATTCTGTTAGTATTTTGTTGAGATTTTTGCATCTATGTTTATAATGAATATTGTTGGGTAGTTTTCTTTTTCTTTTAGTCTTTTTGTATGGTTTTGTTGTGAGGGCAATACTCGCCACATAGATTAAGTTGAGAAGTATTCTTTTCTCTTTTTCTGTTTTTTTGAAGGAATGTGTAAGTATTGGTATTAATTATTCTTTTAATATCTGGTAGTTTTCACCTGTGAAGCTATCTTGCCTGGGATTTTCTTAATGGCAATTTTATTTACTAAATCAATCTCTTATATGTTATATGCGTATTCATATTTTTCATTTCTTTTTAAGTCAGTTTCAGTAACTTTTGTCTTTTAACAAAATTTTGCATTTTATCAAAGTTGTCTAATTTGTGGGTATGCAGAGATTTATACTGTGCCCTTATAATCCTTTTTGTTTCTGTCAGGTCATTATTGATGTCTGCTGTTTTAATACTGATTTTATTATTTTTCTTTTTTTTTTGGATAGTCTAGCTATAGGCTTGTCTATTTTATTGATCTTTTCAAATAATCAACTTTTGTTTTGCTGATTTTTCACCATAATTTTTCTATTCTCTATTTCATTAATTTATTCTCTAATCATAACTATTTCATTCTTCTAGTTTTCTTTGGGTTTATTTTGTGCTTTTTTTAGTTTATTAAGGTGGAAGTTTAGGTTATTGCATTGAGATCTTTCTAATTTGTAATATAGACATTTGCAGCTATACATTTCTTTTAATAACCTGCTTTCATAGTATCCCAGAAGCCTAATACACAGTATTTCTATGCTTTCTTTTTTCTATCTCCACTCTCTTTCTTTTCCTCTTAACACTTATTTGAGCTTTGTTCTAGACCAGTATTCATTCATTCATGAACATGGAAAAATTTCCTTCAGTTTCCCTATGCAATGATTAAAATTTTAAGCTCATTCATGAGTACCTCTAGAACCCAAAATTATATCAAGAGAAGCAGGAACACAGATTCTTAGCACCACTGATAAGCAAGAATCTGTAGTAATCATGCAATCTGAGAAAAACGACTTGACAAGTTAATTAATTTGTCTTTTCCCTTACTTATGCTCCGCTACCATTCAAATCCTCCCCAACATTTTCAACAGTTTCTGTTTTTCTCTTCAAAAAGTAAGCAGTAACACAACTCACAAATCTTCAAAGCACTCAGATGTATTTGTCTTTCGTTTTAAGGCAAGAGAAATAGAGGTGTTTTCCTAGAGCTAGAAAATTATTAGTTACAAGAGCAGATGTTCAAGGTAGTAGATTTTGCTGTGGTAAAGCTATGTGTTTACCAATTGTCACCCATATTTTCTTCAATAAATTTATATTTTGTGTATTTGTGATATGGGGGTCTTAAGAGAGTGTAAAGCCCAGGATACAACTCTTTGACCCACGTCTTGTTCCAGTCACATCATGGTCCAAATTTGTTTTCACATGAATATTTTAGGAATTTGAAAAAAAAGAGATAATATTAGTCTCTCCAAATAAGGCTTGTCAGAAATCAGCTCTTGGTTGTTCAATATCAAACAATTAATATCATTTTAGGACTAACATATGTGATGACTTTGTGAAGCCAACTTGGACAAATTTTTCTTCACTGTCTATTCAAGGACATACAGCTCTCATGTGGTGGCCCCATTGCCATAGGCACAGATTCTGTGGAAGGAGAAGAACAATTGTATTATTAGAAGTATTACCTTTTGAGCAATCAACTCTGTTCCTAACTCTATGTATCTGCGATAGTCTTTAGCGAATTTATATTTTGGTCATTAAGTTTAATGCTTTTATTTATATATGTTGTGTACTTGAAATGTAACTAATACTGCATTCAAAAGTTAGAGTATAAAGAGAGGGTTAAACCACTGCTAATGTTCTCAAAGATATTTTAGTTACAAACTAAAGAAATCCTACTAATAGTGACTGTGGTGCTCAATAAAAATAATAATTCAAAAATAATAATTCAAATAATAATTCAAAAATAATTCAAAATAATTATTATTTGAGCACTTAAAAGATAAATACATGAAAAGTGAAGTTTCAAGAGGGTAAATAACCTCCCCTAGATTAAATAAAAGTTAAAATTAGCAGTAGAAATAACCACACAAGATTCTTGTAAAAAGAATGAATGATCCTAGAAGGTGACTTCAAATTTATTTGGAAAGAGAAGAAAAAATGAAACACAGATGAACTTGAAAAATAAAGCTCAGCTGTATTTTCTCTAGCTTATAAGCCCTTCTTTGTATGCATTGACCTCCTTCCTTGAAAATTTAACTCTAACACATCATCATACATAATAATAACATCAGCACATTGTCTTCCATAGACAATATGGGCAAAAATTGTGTTCAATGCAGGGCCAAATAACCTCTTAGGCCAGGAGACTCCTGACATATGATTTGGGTATTGTTCTAGTTTACGCCAAGGTACCTACAGCTATAATGTTTATTTATATCCTGTCTTTGCATCTGTCTTAGTGTCATAGTTTATTCAGGCTGCTATAAAAATGCCTTAGACTGGTTACTTTTAAATAGTGAAAATTTTATTTTTCACAGTTCTGGAGGCTGGGAAGTCCAAAATTGGGAAACCAGCAGATTCAGTGTTTGATGAGAGCCTATTCTTCCTAGATGGCATGTTCTATGTGTTCTCACATGGTGAAAAATCAAGGCATCTCTCTGAGGCCACTTAAAATAATTCTGTAGGTACCTGGTAGGTGTATATATTTAAGGGCGGTATGGTTTGGCTTTGTGTTCCTACCCTAACCTCACCTTAAATTTTAGTTCCCATAATCCCCATGTGTCATGAGAGGGAACCTGTGGGAGGTAATTTAATCATGGGGGGCTAATGTACAGCTCAGTCCATTGCTTCAGAGGGTGGAAGCCCCAAGCCTTGGTTGCTTACACATGGTGTTGGGCCTGCAGGTACACAGAAGTTGAGAATTGAGGTTTTGGAACCTCTGCCTAGATTTCAGAGGATGTATGGAAACACCTGGATGTCCAGGCAGAAGTCTGCTGCAGATGCAGAGCCCTCATGAAGAACCTCTGCTAGGGCAGTATGGAAGGGAAATGTGGGGTTAGAGTCCCTACACAGAGTACCCACTGGGGCACTTCCTGGTGGAGCTATGAGAAGAGGTTCACCATCTTCCAGACCCCAGAATAGTAGATCCACCAACAGCTTGTACCATGTGCCTGGAAAGGCCACAGTCACTCAACGCCATCCATGATGGCAGCCTGGAGAGGGGCTGTACCCTGCAAAGCCACAGTGGTAGAGCTTTCCAAGGCCATGGGAGCCTACCTCTTGCATCAGCGTGACCTGGATGTGAGACATAGGGTCAAAGGAGACCATTTTGGAACTTTAAGGTTTAATGACTTCCCTATTGGATTTCAGAGTTACATTGGGCCTGTAGCCCATTTGTTTTGGCCAGTTTCTTCAATTTGGAACAGGTGTATTAACCCAATGCCTGTACCCCCAATGTATCTAGGAAGTAACTAACTTGCTTTTGATTTTACAGGCTCATGGGCTGAAGGGACTTGCCTTGTCTCAGATGAGACTTTGGAGTTGGACTTTAGATTAATGCTGGAATGAGTTAAAGATTTGAGGGAACTGTTGGAAGGGCATGATTGTGTTTTCAAATGTGAGGACATGAGATTTGGGAGGGGCCAGGGGTGGAATAATGTGGTTTGGCTCTGTCTCCCCACCCAAATCTCACCTTGAATTGTAGTTCCCATAATCCCCACATGTCATGACAGAGACTCAGTGGGAGGTAATTTAATCATGGAGAAGGTTACCCTCATGCTGTTCTTGTGATAGTGAGTGAGTTCTCATGAGATCTGATGGTTTTATAAGGGGATTTTCCCCTTTTCTTGCATTTTCTCCTTCCTGCTTCCATGTGAAGAAGGATGTGTTTGCTTCTCCTTCTGCCAAGATTGTAAGTTTCCTGAGGCCTCAGCCATGCTGAATTGTGAGTCAGTTAAACCTCTCTCTTTATAAATTATCCAGTCTGGTATGTCTATTAGCAATGTAAGAATGGAAAAATACAAAGGAATATTTTGATATGGGCATACAATGTGTAATAATCACAGCATGGTAAGTGGGATATCCATCACCTCAAGCATTTATCTATTTATTGTGTTACAGACAATTCAATTATACTTTTTTAGTTATTTTAAATGTATAATAAATTATTGTTCACTATAGTCCCCTATTATGCTATTAAATCATAGATTTTATTCATTCTATTTAACTATATTTTTGTCCACATTAACAATCCCTACTCCCCTGGCCCATACTACCTTTCCCAGCCTCTGGTAGCAATCATTCTACCATCTATTTCTACAAATTCAGCTGTGTTAATTTTTAGCCCCCACAAATGAGTGAGAATATGTGAAGTTCTCTTTTCTGTTCCTGGTTCCTTTTACTTAACACACTGTTCACCACTTCCATCCATGTTGTTGCAAATGACAGGATCTCATAATTTTTTTATAGCTGTATAGCACTCCATTGTGTATATGTACCACATTTTCTTTAACCATTCATCTGTTGATGGACACAGGATGTTTCCAAATCTTGACTATTGTGAATAGTGCTACAATAAACATGGGAATACAGATATGTCTTTGATATACTAATTTCCTTTTTTTTTTGATATATACCTAACAGTGGGATTCTTGGATCATATGATAGAGCTAGTTTTAGTTATTTGAAGAACCTCCAAAATGTTTTCCATGGAGACTGTACAAATTTACATTACCACCAACAGTGTACAAATGTTCCTTTTTCTCCACATTCTCACCAGCATTCATTATTGCCTGTCTTTCAGATAAAAGCCATTTTAACTGGGGTGAGATGCTATCTCATTGTAGTTTTTATTCACATTTTTCTCTGGTTATCAATGATGTTGAGCACCTTTTTCATATGCTTGCTTGCCATTTTATGTTATCATTTGAGAAATGTCTATTCAGATCTTTGGCCATTTTAACATCAGATTATTAGATTTTATTCATATTGAGTTGTTTGAGCTCTTTATGGATTCTGATTATTAATCTCTTGTTAGATGACTAGTTGACACGTATTTTCTTCCATTCTGTGGGTTGTTTCTTCATTTTGTTGATTGTTTCCTTTACTATGCAGAAACATTTTAACCTGATGTAATCCGATTTGTCCATTTTTGATTTTGTTGCCTGTGTTTGTGGGGTATTACTCAAGAAATTTTGGCCCAGACCAATGTCTTATAGCATTTTCCCAAAGTTTCCTTTCAGTAGCTTCATTGCTTTATGTCCTATATTTAAGTCTTTAATCCATTTTGTTTAGATTTTTGTATATGGTGAGAGATGGGGGTTTGCTTCATTTTTCTGCATATGACTTTCCAGTTTTCTCAGCACCATTTATTGAATAAACTGTCTTTTCTCCAAAGTATGTCCTTTGCACCTTCGTTAAAGATGAATGAGGTGAAAGTGTGTGTATTTATTCCTGGGTTCTCTATTCTTTTCCATTGGTCTATGTATCTGATTTTATGCCAGTATCATGCTGCTTTGGTTACTGTAGTTCTGTAGTATAATTTGAAGTCAGATAATGTGATTCTTCCAGTTTTGTTCTTTTTGCTCAGAGTAGCTCTGGCTATTCTTGGTCTTTCATGGTTACATATAAATTTAATTTTTTTTACTCTTATTAAGAATGTCATTGGTATTTTGATAGAGATTGCATTAAATCTATAGATTACTTTGTGTAGTATGAACATTTTAACAATATTAATTCTTCTAATCCATGAACACAAAATATTTTTCCATTTTTTGTGTCTCTTCAATTTCTTTCATCAATATTTTATGTTTTATTGTAGATTAAGCTCACTTATTTGGTTAATTTTTTCTAGATATTTTATTTTATTTGTATTTATTGTAAATGGCACTAATTTCTTGATTTCTTTTTCAGATTGTTCACAGTTGGTATATAGAAATGCTACTGACTTTTGCATGTTGATTTAATATCTTATAACTCCACTAAGTTTACTAGTTCTAATAGATTTTTGGATGAGTTTTTAGGATTTTATAAATATAAGATTATGTCATCTGCAAACAAGGATAACTTAACTTCTTTCCTTTCAATTTGGATGTCCTTTAGTTTTCTTTTCTTGTCTGATTGCTCTAAATAGGACTTCCAGTACTATATTGAATAAAGTGGTGAAGGTGGGCATTCTTATGTTATTCCAGATTTTAGTGTAAAAGCTTTCAGTTTTTTCCCATTCTGTATGATACAAGCTGTTGGTCTGTCATATACGGCTTTTATTATGTTGAGGTATGTTCTTTCTATACCCAGTTTCTGAGGGTTTTTACTATGAAGAGATGTTGAGTTTCATTATATGCTTTTTCAGCATCGGTTGAAATGATCATGATTTTTGTCCTTCATTCTGTTGATGTGACATATCACATTGATTGATTTGCATATGTCGAATCATCCTTACATTCTGGGATAAATACCACTTGGCCATGATAAATGATCTTTTAATGTGTTTTTCAGTTCAGCTTCCCAGTATTTTATTGAGAATTTTTGCATGAATGTTTATATATATATATATATATATATATATATATATATATATATTTTTTTTTTTTTTTTTTTTTTTTTTTTTTTTTTTTTTGCGGGGGTGTATCTTTTTCTGGTTTTGATCTCAAAGTAATACTGGTCTCATAGAATGATTCTGGAAGTATTCCCTCCTCTATTTTATAGAGTATTTTGAATAGAATTGCTATCACTTCTTTAAATGTTTGGTAAAATTCAGCAATGAAGTCATTGTGTCCTGGGCTTTTTTTTTGCTTGAAGACAATTTATTACAGCGTTAATCTTGTTAGTTATTACTGATCTGCTCAGGTTTTGGATTTCTTCACGGTTCAATATTGGTAGGTTGTGTGTGCCTAAAAATTTATTCATTTCTTCTAGATTTTCCCATTTATTGGCATGTAGTTGCTCATAGTAGCCACTAATAATCCTTTGAATTTATGTGGTATCAGTTGTTATTTCTCCTTTTTCATCTCAGATTTTATTTATTTGGGTTTTCTCTCTTTTTTTCTTAGTCTGGCTAAAGATTTGTCAATTTTGTTAATCTTTTTACAAAACTGACTTTTTGTTTCATTGACTTTTTGTAGTTTTTTTCATTTCAATTTCATTTATCTCTGCCCTGATCTTTATAATTTATTTTATTCTACTAATTTTGTGTTTGATTTTCTCTTGCTTTTCTAGCTCTTTAAGATGCATCATTTGGTTATTTACTTGAAGGTTTTCTTCTTTTTTGATGTCGGCATTTATCTCTATAAACTTCTCTCTTACTACTACTTTCATTGTATCCACCAGTTTTTGTATATTGTATCTCCATTATTATTTCTTTCAAGAAATTTTTCAATTTCCTTCTTAACTGCTTAGTTTACCCTTTGGTCATTCTGTAGCATATTGTTTAATTTCCATGTGTTTGTATAGGTGCCCAAATTACTCTTATTGATTTCTAATTTTATTCCATTGTAATCAGAGAAAATACTTGATATAATTTCAATATTTTGAATGTTTTAAGACTTGTTTTGTGACTTAACATATGGTTTACCTTTGAGAGTGATCTACAGGCTGAGCAAAAGAAAGTCTGTTCTGCAGCTCTTGGATAAAATGTTCTGTAAACATCTATTATGTCCATTTGGTCAGATTAAGTCCAATGTTAGTTTGCTAATTTTCTGTCTAGATGGTCTGTACGAAGGTAAAAGTGAGGGTGTTGAAGCCTCCAGCTATTATTGCATTGGGGTCTCTCTCTCTTTAGCTCTATTAATATTTGCTCTAGGTACCTGGGAGCTCCAGTGTTGAGTGCATATATGTTTAAAATTGTTATATCTTCTTGCTGAATTTACTGCTTTATTATTATATAATCTTCTTTGTCTCTTTTTATAGTTTTTGTCTTTAAATTTGTTTTGTTTGATTTAAGTGTAGATAGTTTTGCACCTTTTTTGTGTCCATTTGCAGGAATACGCTTTTCCATCCCTTTATTTTGAATTTATATGTGTCATTACAAGTGAAATGTTTTTCTCATAGGCAACAGATCATTGGATCTTTTTAAAATTCATTCAGCCACTCTGCCTCCTGATTAGAGTTTAGACTATATTGAGTGTTATTATTGATAAGTAAGAACTTACTTTTGCCATTTTGTTATTTATTTTCTGGTCGTTTCACAAATTTCTCCTTTCCTTCCTTCCTGTCTTCTTTTCAGTGAAAGTGATTTTCTCTGGTAGTATATTTTCATTTTTCTCTTTTATTTTTGTGTATTTGTTGAAGATTTTTCTGATTTGAGGTTACAATGAGGCTTGCAAATAATGTTTTAGAAGTCATTATTTTAATCTGATTTTATAAACAAATTAACAACCAAAGAGAAAACTAATACTCTACACTTCAAATTCACTCCCCACTTTTTAACTTTCTGTTGTTTCTATTTATATCTTATTGTACTGTCTATGTATTGAAAAGTTGTAGTTATTATTTTTGATAGGTATATCTTTTATTCTTTCTACTCAAGATATGAGTAACTTATATCCCACAATTACAGTGTTATAATATTCTGCATTTTTCCATTTTCTTACTATAACCCACGAGTTTTCTTCCTTCAGATTTTTTTATTGCTCATTAATATCCCTTTCTTTCAGATTGAAGAACTCTTTAGCATTTCTTGTTGGACACATCTGATATTAATGAAATCCCATAGGTTTTGATTATCTGGGAAAGTCTTTATTTCTCCCTAATGTATGAGAGATATTTTTGCTGAATATTCTATTCTGCGATAAAACTTTTTCTCCTTCAGCACTTTAAATATGTCATGCCACTCTCTACTGGCCTGTAAGATTCCCCATGAGATGTCTGTTGCCAGACATATTGGAGCTCCTTTTTATGTTATTTGTTTCTTTTGCTGCTTTTAGGATACTTTCTTCCTCCTTGACCTTTGGGAGTTTGATTATTAAATGTCTTGAAGTAGTCTCACTTGGGCTAAATCTATTTGGTGGCCTGCAGCCTTCTTGTACTTGAATATTGATATCCTTCTCTAGGTTTTGAAAGTTCTCTGACATCCCTTTGAATAAACTTGCTGCTCTGATCTCTGTCTCTTCTTTACAGTCAAGACTCTTAGATTTGCCTTTTTGAGGCTATCTTTTTTAGATCTTATGGGCATGCGTCACTCTTTTATTTTGTCTCCTCTGTCTCTGTATTTTCAAATACTCTTGTTCTCAAGTTCACTAATTTATTCTTCTGCTTGATCAAATCTGCTATTAAGAGACCCTGATGTATTCTTTGGTAAGTCCATTGCATTTTTCAACTGCAGAATTTCTGCTTGATTCTTCAAAAGTATTCCAATCTCTTTGTTAAATTTACCTAATAGGATTCTGAATTCCTTCTGTGTATTATTTTGAATTTTGTTTAACTTCCTCAAAATAGCTATTTTGAATTCTCCATCTGAAAGGACACTTACCTCTGTCTCTTCAGGATTTGTCCCTGGTGCCTTACTTAGTTCATTTGGTGAGTTCATGTTTTCTTAGATGGTCTTGATGCTTGTGGATGTTCATTGGTGTCTGGCCATTGGAGTTAGTTAATTATTGTAGTCTTCACAATCTGGACTTATTTATTCTTCTTGGGAAGATTTGCCAAGTATTCAAAAAGACTTGGGTGTTGCAATCTAAGTTTTTGGTCACTGCAGCCATATCTGCATTGGGGGGCACCCTAAGCCCAGTAATACTGTGGCTCTTGCAGACTCATACAGGTACTGCCTTGGTGTTTCTGGGTAAGACCCGGGTGAATTCCCTGTATTACCAGTATGAGACTGTTTTTCTCTTTCTTTACTTTCCCCAAACAAGTGAAGTCTCTCTGTGCTGAGCTTCCTGGAGCTGGGAGAGGGGTGACATAAGTACTCCTGTAACTACCATTACTGACATGGCATTGGGTCAGACTTTAAGCCCACACAGCACTGTGTTTCAGCCAAGTCCTATGATGATCACTGCATGGCTACTAACCGTGTTCACTTAAGGCCCAAGAGCTCTACATTTAGAAGGTGGCAAATCTAGTCACACTCGTGTTTTTTCCTTTGGTGTAGCAAGTTCCCCCTGGTCCTAGGTGTGTCCAGAGATGCCATCTGTAAGCCAGAGTCTAGAGTCAGAAACTTTAGGAATCTTCTTGATGCTCTATTTACTGCTGCTGAGCTGGCACTCAAGCTGCAAGGCAAAGTCCTTTCTACTCTTCCTTTTCATTTCCTTAAGCAGGATCTATCCCCATGGCCTCCACTGCCCCAGGCCTATGGCAAGTACTGCCTAATTACCGCTGATATTCATTCAAGAGCTAAGGGCTTTTCAGTCTTTAGTGGTGAATGCTTCCAGTCCTGAGTCTCTCCTTTTAGGGTAGTGGGCTCCTCTTTAGTTTGGGGCCACGTCTTGGAATCAGGGGACGCAGAAATCTGGGGCCACTTTTATAGGGCATTAATCTCATTCACAAGGTCAGACCTAATCTTAAAGCCTTCACCTTCTAATACCTTCATATTGGTGATTAGGTTTCAACATATGAATTTGAGGGAATACAAACATTCAGACCATAGCACTTAATAATAAACTTATAATAGCGACTGAACCTCTGTTTCTCAGTTTTTTCACCTGTAAAATGAGAATAATAGTTCCTATAGGGTAGTTGTGAAGATTAAATTAAATAATATATGCAAAATGCTCAGAATAACTATGCCTTGCACAGAGTAATCTATAAATGTTAGCTCTTATTATGGGTGCTTACACTTTGATATATTTTGCTTCTCAGCATATCAAAATGAAAGTAGGAAATTTGCCTTATAGGGTGAAATAAGGATGATTATGCTCATTCAAAAAGGTACTGCCTCACACACACACAAAAATAAAAACAGAACTAATAAATTTAGCAAAGTTTAGGATATAAAATCAACATGCAAAAATTGGTTACATTTGTCACTAGAAAATGAGTTATCAAAAAGGGAAATTTAAGAAAAAATAATTTACATTAGTATCAAAAAGAATAAAATGCCTACGAGTAAAGCTAACCAAAGAGGTAAAAACTTGTATACTGAAACTACAAAACATTGCTGTAATCAAAGAAAACACAAGTAAATGGAAATACATCCCATGTTTACGAACTGGAAGACAACATTTTTAAAAATGTTAATATTGCTGAAAGCAATCAACAGATTCAACAAAATCCCCTTTAAAATCCTAATTGTATTTTTTGCAGAAACAAAAATAAATTTTTCTAAAATTTATACATCAAGAGGCTGTCAATAGCCAAAATAATTTATAAAAATAAAGTCAGATGACTCATACTTCCTGAATTTGACACATATTACAAAGCTACAATAATTGAAGCTGTGTGGTACTGACATGAATGCAGACATATTCACCAATGGATTAGAATACAGTCCAGAAATAAACCCTAGTGTATGTGGTTCAGTGATCATCAACGAGGGTATTCAGTGGGGAAAAGACAGTCTCTTCAGTAAATGGTGTTGGGAAAACTGAATATTCACATGCAAAAGAATGAGGGTGGGCCCCGATCTTACACCATACACAAAAATTAACTCAAAATGGATTACATACTTAAACATAAGACCCAAAGCTATAAAATTTCTAAAAGAAAATATAGGAAAAAAACTTCATGACATTCAATTTGGCAATGACTTCTTAGATATGACACACAAAAAAGTGCAGGCAACAAAAGCAGAAATATACAAATGAGGCTACATCAAAATTAAAAATTTTTCTCTATCAAAGGCCACAAGCAACATAGTGAAAAGGCATCCTATGTAATAGGAGAAAATATTTAAAAATAATATATCTGATAAGGAGTTAATATCTAGAATATATAAATAACTCCTACAACTCAATAACAAATATAAAATGCCCTAATTTTAAAATGGGCAAAAGACTTGAGTGTACATTTCTCCAAAGATGATATACAAATGGCCAAGAGGCATATAAAAAGGTGCTCAACATCACTAATCACCAGAGAAATACAAACCAAAAATCACAATAAAATATAATAAATATAACTTCGCATCCAATAGGGTAGTCTATTAGTTCCTTTTCACACTACTATAAAGAAACTGCCTGATACTGCGTAATTTATAAACAAAAGAGGTTTAATTGACTCACAGTTCTACGTGGCTGGGGAGGCCCCAGGAAAGTTACAATCATGGTGGAAGGCAAAGGGGGAGCAAGGCATCTTTTACATAGTAGCAGGAGAGACAGAAATAGCAAAGGGGGAAGTGCCCCACTTTAAAACTATCAGATCTCCTGAGAACTCACTTACTGTTACAAGAACAGCAAGGGGGAAACTGTCCCCATGATCCAATCACCTTCCACTGGGTCCCTCCCTCAACACATGGGGGTTACAATTCAAGATGAGATTTGGATGGGAACACAGAGCCAATCCATATCAGGTTGTTACTATCAAAGATAAAGAACAGAAAATTATAAGTGTTGGCAAGAATTTGAGAAACTTGGAAAACTTCAGCAGTGTTGGTGGGATTGTAAAATGGTGCAACTACTATGGAAATAGTACTGTAGTTAAAAAAAATAAAAATAGAACTCTTATGTGATCCAGCAATACTACTTCTTGGTATACATCCCCCCAAAATGGAAGCAATGTCTTTGCCTACCCATAATTGTAGGAGCACAATTCATAATAACCAAGAGGTTAAGGCAACTCAAATCTCCACTGATATATACATAGATTAAAAAATGTGAGACATATATATATATATATATATACACACACACACACACACACACACACACATACACATACACATACAATGGACTATTGTGCAATCTTAAAAAGGAAGGGAATCCTGTCACATGCTACAACGTGAATAAACTTGAGGATACTATGCTAAGTGAAATAATTCACTTATATGAAATATATAATGTAGTCAAATTCATATAAATAGGAAGCATATCAGTGATCAGCAGGAATAGGAAGAAAGGAACAAGGGAAATTTTTGTTTAATGGCTATAGGGTTTTGGTTCTACAAGATGAGAAAATTCTGGAGATATGTTTCATATCAACTTAATGATACTGAAATGCTACTAACCTGTAAACTTAAAAATGGTTAAACACATAAATTTTATGATATATGTTTGTTTACCACAATTTTAAAAAATGGTATCAGCTGCTACTATGAGGGATTCTGAGTTAGAGGTAAGAAAGTGAAAAATGAGCAATGTGTCATTGTGATTTAGTTTAAATGGGTGTGGTGGCTCTGTTGAAATAAAGATACATCATGGATTTTTAACAGAGGTTTCTCTTAGATACAGCTAACTTTTTTAAGTATCAGTTTTCACTTTTTTGGTGTTTCGCATATTTTCTCCTGCTTATGGTTTCCGTAGATATTTTAGTGGGACATGACAGAGGCTGCCTCCAGGGTTATTATCAAGATTTCGGACCAGAAGCTACAGAACAACTTTTTTTTCCTCTTAAACTAAAATCTAAGTGAACGCTATTGTGTAGCATACAGGATTTGGTAAGAATTTGACTATGCCTCATCTCCTCTTCCTACCCTTATCTATGCAGACCCGTCAGACAGTGCCCTATATGAAGAAAAAAAATGACAAAATAATCAACTGACAATATCAAATAGCAAAGATAATTTTAAAGTAATAAAACTACTTTATGATTTATAGATGACTATGAAAATTGAGTTTGACAGTGATTGAAAACCTTGAGGGTTTCTCAGCTTCATAAGGTTGGAATGATCTCTTTCTTGGTGACTGCCAGGTCTCCCTGAGCCTGGCATAGTGCCTGGCACATAGTGACTACTCAATTAATCATTGTTGAGTAAATGTGGAGCTTCCAGAATTAAAAAATCATGCAATAGTATAGGATGATTAATAGGACAAGAGAAGGAGGCAATGGTGTATGTAAGGCTTGACCAGCAAACAATCCTCAACAAAGTGAAAAATATGTAAAAGCAATAGACTATACATCTTATATTTAAGATAGAAACTAAAAAAAAAAAGTTAACTGAGGTTTGGCAACCAAATTAGATGGAAAAATAACCCAGAATATTTCAATTAACCACCTGATGGAGACTGAGCCAGGATGAAATACTAAGTTGAAAAAAGGTCTGTGTATGAGGCCTGTCTACTTTCTAGAATAGGCCATCTTAAAATTCACAAATAAAATCTCTATCGACTCTTATAGGTAACAAAAATGTGTATCTTATTTATCTGTAGAAGCACCAAAATTTAACACAATGATCATATGGTCAACAGAAAATAAAGAAGCAAAGAGACATGCATCCTAACATTGAAATTTGAGAGTGAAAAATAACAAAATAAGATGTTAGAGACACCATGAAATTAATAAAATTGAAAGCAAATAACTCAGTGGAAGCCTGAAAGTCAAGTTTTTAAAAAGGATCCCTGCAAAGAGGAAAATTATCTTTTCAGAAAGGAGAAGATCAGGTAAGGCATGAGAACAGGGTAGTTCAGAATTATGGCAGCTCAAGGGCATAGTAAACATTAGGCAGACTGAAAAAATAATTTGAGGAAAACCTGTAAGACACTCTAATGCCAGTAGTAATTTCTTTAAGCAAATCAAAGGCACAGAACCAAATAGAAAAACACTTGGCATGGCCGGGTGCGGTGGCTCACGCCTGTAATCCCTACACTTTGGGAGGCGGAGGCGGGTGGATCACTTGAGTTCAGAAGTTTGAGACCAGCCTGGCCAATATGATGAAACCTTGTCTCTACTAAAAATACATAAAAATAGCTGGGTATGGTGACGTGTGCCTGTAATCCCAGCTACTCAGGAGGCTGAGGCAGGAGAATTGCATGAGCTCTTGAGCTGAGATCATGCCACTGCACTCCAGCCTGGGAAACAAGAGCAAAACTCCATCTCAAAAAGAAAAACACTTGGCAGTGGTGGTGTGAAGGATGTGCTTGAGAGTGAAAGGGAGAGAGCAGGAAGAATAAATGAATTATTTGCTTGAGAGTTTTCTGAGAGAGACCTTAAAGGAATCTCTACTCCCAAATTATCTTTTAACAAAGACAGATCAGAGATACTAGATCAAATGCCAGTAAATGCTAGGTATGTTTTACATGTAATTGAAAAACTAGATGAAGATAAAAAACTGCAACTGCTATCATCCATCCATTTTTAATTTTCGTCAAGAAAATGCCTTTGTTCCACCTAACGTTATACTAACTGCCCAACATGGCAGCTGTTTGCAAGCATCTCCCTATGGTCAGGTTCACTACAGACTGGCGCACACCTAGGTGAGAGGAACATGAAGGCAGCTGATCAGTGTTTCCATATCCCAGCCAGGGCCTTGATTTCCTTCTGCTTTGTGCTGTATCCCTATTTCTTCCCTACCTTTCAAACCATTTTCAGACTGTCTCCCTGTGTACACAGCCACTGACCTTCTGGACTTTAGAATCCCTCTTACTCTGCTCTATATAGGTCTATATACTCGAGACCTATTGCATATCTGGCTCATGACTTTGTTTGCCCAGGTCCTAGTGCTTGGAGTAAGGGATCTACTTTCTCTTCCTCCTCTCCTGTGCTGTGGCTCCAGCATCTCTCTGGTCCCCTAGGCTCTCTGCTGTTAATGATGTGTAGAGCGAGTTTTAAAGGTACTCAGGGGTAAAATTGCGGAGTCATTGGCATAAATATGCAAGCTTCCATAAACAGGCCAGTCTGCTGTGTGATTGTTAAGGCAACTCCCAATCATGAGTGAAAAGGGTTCCCTGGGGACACAGGAGTTACAGACCAGTAAGTCTCATTCTTTGTTGTACTCATAGATAGGATTTTAACAAAACATCATTTGACTAATCACTGAAGCTAGCACTTTTGAGACTTTCTCAGAGAAGAATTATAATGAAAGAGTAGATTGAACAGGTACAACCTGAGAGTTGAGGGGCATATTTTGAAAAAGTCTGTTGCAAAAAGAAAATGTGTCTTCACTTTTAATTATATCTGATATGTTCACGTGAACCTTGCGTTCTATTCCATAATAGTATTTGCTTCAGGAGGTAAATTTTATTTTGAATTTTGGTCCCTCAATAAAGTGATGTAGCAAAAACTGTTAGCTCCTTCTCTAGGGAAGCTCAAATCTGGAAACTAACATAAAAATAACAAGAAACCTTGAGCTGACATATAGGGGAAAGGGATGGAGGTTTCAGTAGCTTAGAGTAGAGGTCAGCCAGACACAGCAGTGGAAGATGGATGGGGGGTGTTTTTGAAATTATGCTTTATTTTTTCGCCATACTGAGTTGGACAATAATTGCTGACTCCATCATCTCAGCAACAACTCAGGCTACCTAGTCTTGGAAGACAATATCAAGCAATATAAAGAAATCTGTTGGGGCAAAGTAGTAGATGACCAATGGCATGGCTGACTGGCTACTCTGTGACATTCATTCCTGCATCTCACTCTCCTCCAGATCCTCAGGGCTGCTGGATAATTAGAGTGGCTACCTTATCCACTGCTATTATTTTTTTTACCAGTAGTTAGAAAATGAATCCCTATTTAGTAAAAGTGGCAGCAAATGGGAGCAGTAAATGCAGCCTATGATGGAATCTTCCCCAAGGCTCATTCCTTCACTTCTTTTGCAACTCACCACAAACACAAACTAGGACTTAGGCCCTTACATATTACCTGACGTAATAGCTGATCTACTCATGGGAGCACAATCCCAATTACCAAAATAACTAGATATTTTAGAAGTTGAACTACAAAAAGGAAAGACAACAGATTATATACAGCACAAAGCAGAATTATTGGAACTTATTAACCAATAATTTTCAATAAGCAAAATAATATGCTTAATGAACTATAGAAGGCTCAGAAGCAGAAAATGTCATACAAGAAATCAAGCAGAAATAGTCGGTCTGAAAAATGGTAGTGGAAATCAAGAACACAATAGCTGATGTAAACAGCAGGATAAATATAGCTGATGAATGAAGCAGTGAGCTAGAAGTTTAGTGTGAGGAGATTTCTTAGTGGGTGGCAAGAAAGAATAAAAGCAGTAAAAATGAAAGTCAGAGAGAGAGATAGAGAGAGAGGGAAGGAGTAGAAGTAGTAGATAAGGGTAACAAGTGTCCCAGGAAGAGACAAAAATTGTGTTTTAAAATTATCACCAGTTATTTGATAACATTCATTTTTCCTCCAAATCTTGTAGTAAAGTTGATATTCCAGGAAAATGTATTACATTTATCCTACAGATTCATATACTGCTTTTCCTACAGAAATATCAGGGGGAAAGACATGCTAATCTCACACTATGGTAGCCTGCATTATGTATTGATGAGGGAACAGAAGAGGTGTGCTGGAGGCCATAATGTGAAAATAAACACTTGGAAAAAGAGAAACCAGAAAAATATATTCCATTATAACTTAAACTTTTTGACAAAGATTGACCTCAAAGGTATACTCATGCTCACACACACGCACCCTCACACATGGAAGTTATTCTGATGTTGGTGGTTGGTGGTGGTGTTTATGTCTAAGTAATTCATATAGGATAAGAACTGAGGAAGTCAATAAACCAAAATATCTTTGAAAAATTGTTATTTCTCTGATTCTAGGACTGTTAAAGTGAGTTCCTTCAGGTATTTGGCATGATTCATCCTATGGAAAACTGTCAATAAATTTCTTAGGAGTTTTCAGTAAAGCCTCCATATTTACTATTCCTAGCAGATGTGCTGAGAAGTTGGGCAGATTGGTGTTGTGTAGCTCTGTGTCTTGGTAATGTTAAACTAATCTCAGATCAAGACATCAATCAAAGTTAACATAATACAGTTTTCCTTAACTTTCATATCTGAATTATTCTAGCAAATCTAAGAAAGGTATAATTGCTTGAAGAAGAGGGCCTATGCTGTGAGGAGAGATGAAAATTGTATGTGTGTTTTCTTAATCCTGGGAAACCTAGGGCTAAAATAAACTAATGTTCTAGTTTAATTTATTAGAACTAAGACATTCATGAAAAGCTCATATGAACTCTAAAATGAATCTCTTTATATGTATGTCCTATTGGTTCTCTTTCTCTGGAGAACAATGACTGATACAGACCACAAAATCACAGAATAATCTGGATAAATAGGCACTAGACAACTCGATTTACTTAAATATAGTTGTCAGGCAAATGACATAATTGAAATCTATTCAAATCCTATCACTTTTACCATCTAAGTATCTCTTAAATACAACCAATTTCATCAGTTCCATGGTCAAGCCAACCTAAGCTTCCCTTCTTTTGAGTAGACTAGCAGAATGGCCTCAAAACTAATTTACTGGCTTCCATTTTGCATGACTGTACCTCTCCTCTTTTTCCAAAGGATCCATGACACTTTCAAATGCAAATCATATCCCAATCATATTTCCTACCCACTGCTTTGAAGGGCATGTGTGGATTTACTCTTAATTATTTTTTTCAGGCTTATCTCACTTCGATCTTCATTATTGTTGTTGTTAAACTGTGCCCGTCTCTGTTCTAACCACACAGACCTCTTGTAGTCTCTTACACTTTTACAATGTTTTATATATGGAGTGATTTTTTAAAAAATCTTTTTTTTTTCTTTGGGGGAACTTTTATTCATTCTTTAGAGAGGCTCTAGTGTCACTTCTGGAAAACAGTCCCAGACCTTGACCAGGTCAAATCTCATTATTAATATACTCTTAGAGCACCCTATAGCTCTCGTTTGTAGCAGCTATCATAAATTAACTTTTAGGTTTGATTATGCTATAATATATGATATCTATCTGCTCAATGGGATCATAAGCTCCATGCGGACAGACGTCATTATTGTTTGTGCTTATCTCTTATTTCCAGGGCTTAGCACAAGCTGTGACATGTAGCCACTTAATAAAAATTTAATAAATAATTATATTTATTGATTTATGAAATATTCATTTAGAATGATGGAAACTAGGGCTATTTGGGGTTATATCTTAAACATCTAAATTTGGCGAAATATGGTGTGGTGTAATTTATAAGTAGATATTTAGATTAAATGGGTCAGAGAAACATGTTATTTTTATTCCATTTTATACAATCAGTTATAAATGAAAGTTCCAAGAGTATAAGATTCCCTGAATCCAAGTAAGCTTAACTTGGTTTTTGCTGTTAAAAGGTTACATGGTTTTAGATTATTTATGCTCAACAGAATATATTTAGATATCTCTTATGATTTGCTTGGCAATCAGTAGAGAAAGGAAGAAGCAACTTAAATCAATTAGAGAGCTGCTGATTCACAAAATGTAAAAGTTTAATGGAGACTTTGGCCAGCACATTAAATGTTATTAAGTGTATGATAGTAGCATGCTAGGTGGATTAGCTGAGTTGGTTAGATTGAAAGATAGAATGGGGGAAAATGTGAGTCAACCAGAGGCAAATACAAGAGACCGAGAGTTTGTGTTGTTGTTG
Source organism: Homo sapiens (assembly GCF_000001405.40). Classification (NCBI taxonomy): domain Eukaryota; kingdom Metazoa; phylum Chordata; class Mammalia; order Primates; family Hominidae; genus Homo; species Homo sapiens. Next base: position 118,403,027 of record NC_000003.12, on the reverse strand, counting down.
TTCTTCAGGTGGTTCAATAATTTTTAAGAAATAGACAATACCAAATATATGCTGCTATAGAGAAGGTTTATAAAATACATGATAATAAATATGATATATTTGATTATTAGTATCATTAATAAATCAATTTGTAAACAGCCTTAAAGGTCAGTTAGCTCAACTTCCCACCCCCTTTTAATGGGGCGGCGTCTAAACACCAAAGTGGTGATTATCATGAATATTTGTAGTGATCAGTGAGTACAGTGTTTCCATAAAGCTTCTGTTTCAGACAGCTCTGATCATTAGAAAACCATTTTTCTTCTTAAGCTCAAACCTATATCTCTCTAATTTCCATCCTTGAGTCCCAGTTTTGGATCTACATAGAATAAATTTAATGCCTCTTTTATGTCTTCATTTCTTCCACTAAATAAGAGAGTTGCCGTAGACTGATTTTCCTGAGGCTAAACAGTCTCAGATCATTAACCTTTACATGCTTTTTTGATAATTGTCTTTTCACTCTTATAGAGTCTTCCACTTTTAAAAATTTATTTCTTAAATAACAACTGAACACAAGACCTGTATTTTCTCTGGCAAGGGGAAAACATAGTTGAATTACTACTTTAGCTGATCTGTAGATTCTACTGCTGTTAAAATTGCTTTTACTTGTCTTTTTTTTTCCTCTTGGTGATAGAGGAAAAAGTTGAGTTTGCATCCAGTTGAAATCCCAGGCTTTTATCCATGATTTGCTGTTGGACTCTTTTTCTTTGTCTGCTTTTATGCAATTGACTCTTAGTTTTTGTGTAAAGCTATTCATTTCTACATATAAAACAAAATCTCATCAATTGCAGCTCATTTTCTAGATAGTGTAATATCTCTAAATCTTCATGTTTAAAGTTATATAATTTTTGCTGACTCCCAGATTTGTGGATGTGAAAGTTGATAAGTATGTCATTTGTATCTTAATCTAGGTTTGTGGTAAAATGCTGACTAGGGCAGAACAAGAGAGCTGGATACAAAATCCTTCTCTCAGGTCCATAACTATGATTTATCTAAATTCTGTGTGTAAAATGAATATGCAGTTGGGAATCTATGTAAATGCACCATCTTCCAGTTCAATTTCTTTATGATTTCTCCAGCAATGCTAAAACAGAGTTCATCAAACTCTATTGGGATTTAATAATAAAGATAATTTTTTAACATCTAAAACATAATAAAAATATTATTTTGTAAAAAACTAAAGGTACCCTGGTTTAATTATAGCTTGATAATTCTGGGGATAGGGTTACATGACAGCATCAGGACCTGGTTCTCTTACTATCATAGATCTGCTCTCTCCTGGGTTGCCCTAACTCTCATTCAGGTTGTTTCTACCTGGTGATCCTCAGCAGCTCTAGGATATATACACCAACTTCCATGTATAGTTCATGGGTAGCAAGGAAAGGAAGTAGCCTTCCAGTTGCAAGAATTCTGTCTGATTTTTTGTCTGTTTGGATCTTGTGCTTATTCCCAACCAATTTCTGTAGCCAAGGGGATGTGATACTTTCTTATGTGATAAACCTTATGTAAAATAATTATTCCTCATGTTGAAGGCCAGATAACATAGTACTTTATTTGATAACTATATGCAGCAAAATATATGTTTTTGCTTCATTATGATATATCCAATTCAAGCAAATTTATTTTTAATTAGTGATCCTAAAGTGTAATTTTTGTCCTTACTTTTTCTCTTCTCTTTCTCATTTTTCCCAAAACTTTTTATTATGGAAAATTTAAAACATATACAAAAGTAGGTAGAATAGTATGATGAACCTCCATGAATCATTACCCAAACTGAACAATTGTCAATTATAGCTAATCTAGTTTTATTCTCACTGACTCACTCCCTCAATATTGAATTGAATTTTGAAGCTAATCTCAGGCATCCTGTTACTTAATTTGTAAATACAATCATGCATTGCTCAACGACAGGGTTATGTTCTGAGAAATGTGTAATTAGGTGATTTCATCATTGTGTGAACATCATAGAGTGCACTGACACAAACCTAGATGGCATAGTCTACTACACACCTAGGCTATGTGGTACAGCCTATTGCTCTTAAGTTCCAAACCTGCACAGCCATGTTACTGTACTAAATTCTAGAGATAACTGTAACTCAATGGTAAGTATTTGTGTAGCTACACATATATAAACATAGACAAATACTGTATTATAACCATGTAGGGCCACTATCATATAGGCAGCCTGTCAGTGACCTAAATGTAGTTATTGGGTGCATGATTGTAAATCAGTATGTCAAAACTTAAGGTATCTTTTGAAAAGTAAACATAAAACTATAATTTTTAAAAACCCAATAATTCCTTAATGTCATGAAATATCTATCAGTGTTCAAATTTCTAATTTTTGAAAAACTGTTCTAATTTGTTTTAATAATATATATATTTCTTCAGATTCCAAATAAGATTCAGATGTTATGACTGATTTAATGGCTTTTAAATGTCTAAATCTTTAGGCTTGCTTCTTTCTACTGCTCCCCTTTCTCCATTACTCTCTCTCATATATATAAAATATTATTTATTTGTTTTCCAATTTATATGTTGAAGAAACCAGATCTTTTTTTTTCTGGAGAATTTTCTACACTCTAGGTTTTGCTGGTTGCATCCTGTTGGTGGAATTTATTTTTTATTTTCTGTAAATTGGTAGTTTGACCTAGGAGCTTGATCGGATTGAGTGTCATGTTATCAGCATGACAGTTTTGTAACTGATGTTGTCTTTTTCCATTAGGAGGCACATAGTGTCTGGTTGTTAAGCCAGTCCTTGATATTACCATCTAGATCAATTATTGATTTTTTTAGGTATTTTACTCTTCCTTCTTCGTTTTATTAGCCAGAGTATTTCTATAAAAAGAAGCTGCCCTTATCTTGATTTGGTTAAGTGTATGAGAAAGTTATAGCATGAATGCCTGATTCTTTCCTTTTTTTCTTAGTTCATTTCCATAATTTCCAATTCAAATAATGATTTGAATTGTTAGTATATTGACCAATGATGTCTTCAAAAAAATTTGATATTATTTAAAGCAATAGTTGAAACATATTTGTATGTTTCAATTCATTGCAATTTTAAAATTCTACTTGATGTTGAAATTTCCCCATGTTTGATAGTGGGAGACTTTACAAATTGACTCCTGAGTTAATCTGACTCCAACTTAATAGTCTTTGATAGTTTTCTCTGGTTTGCCAAAATGTCCCAGATACGTATAGAAATGAATCAGGTAGGCCAGGCATGGTGGCTCACCCCTGTAATCACAATACTTTGGGAGATTGAGGTGGAAAGATCACTTGAGGTCATGAGTTCCAGATCAGCCTGGATCACATAGTGAAACCCCATCTCTATAAAAAACTTATGAAGAATAAAATTAATAAATAAATGAAGGAGCCAGTTATCTAAGAAGTTCTGGTTCCTTTTACTGTAATATGGACAGACACTACAATCTAACAGAAATGCATATTGCTACTGGTTTGGGCATTGTTTTTGAATCAGTGAACAGAGGTAGGACATATTTTAAAGGTAAAATGCATCATGCGTATTCCAATAATTCCAAGTTTCAAAGTAAGGATAACAGGGGTTTTACCTGGCTAACTGGATTAAATATAGATCTATATTTCCTTTATCCCATGGCAAGAATTACAGTTCTTGATCATGCTGGAAATAATAGAATGTCCCACAGTTACTCACTTGCTTTATCCTCTAATACACAGAAGCAATGATCTCAATGCCAACACTACCACAAATAATGATGAATGAAAACAGTTTAAAATGTGATTTGCACTTTTTCTCCCCTTTAGGATATATTTTACTAGACACGTATAGCTGAATTGGTGTGCTTTAAACTGTCCTGGAATAGTTCATCCAACTGAATACAAATTTAGGTTCATTTATTTTATTTTCTTTTTACTTGAATGGATTGATTTATAATTTTAATACTGCTAATATTGTTTGGGTAAAATGTTATAGTTCCAAACTCAAAACTTAAGAAGATATATTCAAAGAAGTAAAACTTCTTTTTCTGTTCTCTTCACTCTATTATATCTCTACGCCTATATAACAAATAAAAAGTTATTACTTATTCTTCTATTATTTTAAAAAATCTTTCTTGATTATATATTTTCGTGTCCAGGAGAGCTGCATTTTTGTGCTAATGTTTACTTTTATATTAAAAAGCTTTATATGATAGTCTGAGTTTTTTTACTTAGTTATTTTCTATTAGTTTCTTACTATTAGCAATATTAGAACTAGCTATTAACCACTACTTTCTGTCCTCTCTTTCTTCCTCAGTATCTGATTTGAAGTAATATTCCTTTACTCTGGTTAAAAGCTGTAAGGCAATCAACAAGCCTGTTCTACTTTCATATTTTCTCCCTATCTGCCCATTTTTGATTATTGTACTTCACCTACATTATTAGGGCACAAAGTGATTATACACTATATTATTTCCCTTATAACAATTATGTAGTCTTAGTTCCACATGCAAATATATTTAGTGCTTAATATAGTTTTTTCACATTCAGAAAAGTTTGTTTGTGCTTACCGGTCTGAATAGATATAAAACTTTAGCTCACATTTACTTTCCTATTACTCCATTTTCTTCTGCTACAAAGCATTGCTGTCAAAAATTTGGTAAAAATCAGATTATTAGTCTTATAAGTAACTGAGTATTTTTATCCTCGATGTCCAAAGGTATGTATTTTTTCAAGTCTTAAATACTTACCAGAATTTGTCTGGGTGTTGACTTGTTTTCTTTCTTTGGCATGTCAACCGCAATAATTTTTTTTACCTCTTTTATAAAGTTTGATAGGCCTGCTAGAATATGTCTTGGTGTTAGGCATTTTTGGTTGATTTTTCCAGGTATGTGACTTACCTCTTCAGCATGTAGTTTTAAGTCAAAATTTTTCAATAAATTATTCTTGATTCATATTGTTTAGTACATATTCTCTTTCATTGTTTTCATTTTCTTTATCAATGCCTGTTATACATATTTTGTATATTAGTTTATTTCTATACTTGTCTGTTTTGCTTGGATCTTTTAAATCCCTTTCCTCATCTTTTGAACTTACTTTGTTCTTATGTTTATTTGCTCTAGTGTTCTTTCTAGTAGTTTTCATTTCGGAAATAATTTTTCTTTTTATTTATTTTCTGCATTTTATTGCCTTACTTTTGAATTCTTCCCAAATTTATATTGTTTTTAGTAGCCTTTATTATTTTTCTTAACTTGTTTTAGCTTATTTTGAAATATTAGTTTAGATTTTGAAAATCTATTGTGTAACTATGCCTTTCTCGGATGTTTTTATTGCTGTTTTTACTGTAGAAAATTATTCTGCTCCGTATTTATTTTTGTAATAACCTAGTACGGTATTTGACCTCAAATGTTCACAATTTAAAATGTTGCTTGCCGGGCGCGTTGGCTCATGCCTGTAATCCCAGCACTTTGGGAGGCCAAGGCGGGCGGATCACGAGGTCAGGAGATCGAGACCATCCTGGCTAACACCGTGAAACCCCGTCTCTACTAAATATACAAAAAATTAGCCAGGCGTAGTGGCGGGCGCCTGTGGTCCCAGCTACTCGGGAGGCTGAGGCAGGAGAATGGCGTGAACTTGGGAGGCGGAGCTTGCAATGAGTCGAGATCACACCACTGAACTCCAGCCTGGGTGACAGAGCGAGACTCCGTCAAAAAAAAAAAAAAAAAAAAAAAAAAAAGGTGCTCATTTTAAATTGTGAAGATGAGTTTTTCCAGACTTTTAAAAGAAAGGAGTAGGTCAGGGCTCTAGAGCCATCTCTTCCATTGTTTTCATTAAAGGGTCAAATATATAACCTTCTGTTTTCAAATGTACTGTATCTGTTACCCTCCCCAATTTTTATTTGAGCTTTGTCTTTTAGTAAACATTAATTATGCTTTTGTCTGTAGGAAGTTATTCTGCTATTTATTCATCATATTTTTATAATAATTTATTATGGGGTTTGCCATCGCATTTTTACTGTTCTTATTTCTTCTTTTTTCCCTGTGTTGCTCAATCAGGGCTCTTCTCTCAGACGTTTCCCTCTGTGTGGGACTGTACATGATTGTTTTGCTTTGAGAGTTCAAAAGCCCAGACTGCTCCAGGTACTTCAGCTCTAGTGGAGGTATCCTTGCTCTCACCCTCAAATTAAAGTGAGTGAAATCTCCTGCTAGGCTCAGTTGCTCTTCTCAAACTGACGTGACAAACTTTATAAAGAGAGTCCTTTATCTATTTGGGGATTCTTCCTGTTGCTTCCTCCATTTCCTCTCATGCATATTGTGGATGCTGTAGCTACAGTTGGTTTGTCACCATCTGCTTGTGTTTTGGCAGCTCAAAGATTTCTTGGACAAAGTTTTATTGAAGACATTTTCCATGAGCTTTGGGTTTTGTTATCCTAATTGCTGTATTTATTTTTATAAGGGAATTTTGGAGATATAGTAACTCAGCTGCCTCTGCATCAGTTCTTCCTCTTCCCCACATTTATTATTAGGGTAAAATATAGTGTCTATGAGAAGGCTTAGAATACTTTTGAATTTGATTACATTAATTTAGGTGAAAGGACATAGGGCTGGCTTTTAAAAATTTATTTCACAAAGTTTTCAAGAAGAGGTCATTCAAATGTTGTACATAAAATTTTCCTGCAATGACTTTCTCACTTACCAGAAGTGTTTCTCCTCTTTCTACAAAGATTAGAGTTAAAGAAACAAATATGCACAACAAAAAAGCCGACCCCCAAATAAAAACACCGTATTATTAATTTGTTAGCCTAGGAAGTATATTATATTCTAAATTTATATTTAATATATTTACACTTATACTTAATATGTTTATATTTAATATATTTATATTTGTGTAATAAATATTATATTCATCCAATAATTTCTATTTAATATAAATTTTTAATGTTGAAATACAAAGTTTAAAAAGTTGAAAAATTGATGAGCAGGTAAATTGTAATACAGAGAAGAGATAAAATGTCAGTTGCCAATGATTTAAATATAATACAGATCAATGGTATGTTTAAGAAATTGGGATCCAATGATTTATCTATAATATCTTTGTTTAAATCACTACAAGAACTTTATAAAGACAAACAAAAAAGACTTCAAGTTTTGAAATAATATTGTCACATTTTTAAGCATTGAAATCACTCCGTCATTCAGGAGAAACAGAAGGAGAAATACAAACTGTCTCTTTTCAGTGAAACTAGTGAATATCTACAATATTCAAACCTCAACATTTCATGAGAAGCTGACAAATACTTTGCAGATTAGGCAGGAATACGGGAACATAAGAGGGAAGTACACATGTGGCTGCAGATCTTATATGCAACTAAGAGATCACATTTCCCTAAAGTGGACAACACATCCTGAAATATTTAACTAATAATGCCATGATTTGAAGTATTGGAACCTTGTGCATGACTTGGTAGCAGGAGCTTTTCTGATCCTCCTTTGGTATCGTGACAAATAGGGAAGATGGGGGTGAATAATAAAACCTAGACCCATGCCATCTTCACTGGTGGCAGTATTTGACTGAAGTTAGAGAAAAGGGACTCTGAATTTGGAATGTTCCACAACAGCTTCTCTGGACATACGCAGAGATAAGTAAGAGCTACAATGATTTATTTACAGATACAATTTTATGACACAGGGATTTGACTAGCCTAGAAAACTTTCCTTGTCCATAACCAAAATAAACTTTCTTTTAAATATTTGGTCAAAAAGATCTTAACTAATTTGGAAATGATTAATAGCATAAAATGGCTCTGCATAAAATATATTAAAAGTATTATAAGAAAAGGGATCCACTTGCTGTGCCACTGGATCCTGGCAACTGCAGCTGCTGGATTCCAGATTCTGGGTCCCCAATCCCTCTGCCCAGTCCCTCAATGTTGAAACCTCATCTCTTGAATGCAGACCCTGATATTCCAAGGCACTGAATCCCAAGCCCTTAATCCCTGGTTTCTGATCTGAATCTTCCAGGCGCCGGGTCCCAAATGTTCAGGCCCCAAGTCTAGATCCTGGCAGCCCAGTCACACAGTATCCCACACACACTGGTGCCCAGAGCCGGCTTCTCATGACATGAAATTGCATGGTCGAGGGAGTCTGTGGGGAAGGAAGCCCAGGTCCTGGCTGCAACCTGCACGGATGCTGGATTCCCCCTCACCCCACCTCTGCAGGGCCACCCCCTCCCAGCCCTGTGGGGAAACTGTTCCCTGGAACCACTCCACTCCCTGCATCCCCACACTTCACAGCATCTTCCATCCCCCTCCCACCTTCTAGGCGAATAGTCCCCAGAGCTGTGTTCCTCCAAGGGGTCCGAGGAATCACTCACTCCTGGAGGCTGGCAAGGAGACAGTCTGAGGCCAGGGACACATGAAGGGATGTCCCCACCCCAGCACTATCAGGGCCTCCCCAGGCTTCCAGAGTTGAAAGCCAGGAGAAAATCGGCAAAGACCACCCTTCCCTAAACCCAAGCACCCAATGATGCAAAAAACAAAAACAAAAAAACCCCGCCAAATCCCCAAATTCATTCCAGATCTATTTTTCTACCAGAGAGAGGAGCAAAGTCCTCCTCCCCTACGCCCTTACATTCTGCACTTCATAGTTGGATTCTGAGCTTAGGATCATCTGGAGACCCCATGGAGGGACTTGGAAAGGGGAACTGGGATTTGGGGAGGGGCTGGAGGACTTCCGCACGCTTCCACCTCCTTCGACCTCCACTGCGCCCCACCTCCCTGCCTGTGTGTGTTATTTCAAAGGAAAAAAACAAAAGGAATAAATTTTCTAAGCTCAAAAAAAAAAAAAAAAAAAAAAAAAAAAAGAAAAGGGAGTATAAAAGTTAGAATGATAAGAATAATAAAATAGGAACTAGAATAGGAATGATAAATAGTAAACAAAGAACTAAGCAAAAAAGTATGTTGACATAAAAAAGATAAATAATATGATAAAAATATCACCATGAATGAAAAAGAAAAACTTAATAAAAAATGTAATTTTTTAACAAACATTTAAATTGGAAACACAAGAATTTTGAAAAGATACAGGGAAACACCAAAAGCAAATGATATATGAGCTAGTAAAGTACATGAAAAATACTGCAGAAATAATAATAAGAAAAATGAAAGCCCTAATGAAAGCAGAAAAGAGTAAATAGATTCTACTGAAAGCATGATGAGAGACATGGAGGATAGGTTTGAGAATAATGAGCAAAATGAAATGGAAAATAGGTAGATTACAAAGAATAGAAAAAATGGTTACTATGAAAAGAGAGACTAAGAGACCTAACAAATTTATAGTTGTTTTAAAGATGGAAACAGACCAAAAGAACAGAAAAAAATGAAATATGAAATTTGATAATCTTTAAAGTAATACATGATTTATAATTGCTAGGCCATGTGGTGGTTTTAAAAATCTGCCAAACTGGTTTTTGCAATGGTTGTACATTTCCATCAGGAATGTGTAAGTGATCCAGGTTCTCTGTATTCTCACCAGCATTTTGTGTTCTCACTGTGTTTTATTTTAGCAAATATGATGTGTGTAATGATTTTAAGTTGCATTTCTTTAGTGTCTAATGATCTTCAACATCTTTCCACGGACGTATTTTTTATCATTATATTTTCTTTGGTGAGATGTCTCTTCATGTCTTTTATCTATTTTCTGATTACTTTGTTTGCTTTTTTTACTGTTTCAAGAGTTCACCATATATCCTATTAGTTCTTTGTTGGATATGTGGTTCACAAATATTTCCCCCCACACTACACATTTTCATTCTGTATCAAGGTCTTTCACAGAGCAGAAGATTTTAGTTTTGACTAAGTCCAGAGTATCAATTTTTCCTTTTATAGGTCATACTAGATGACCCATAAAATTTAGGAACTCTTTGGCCTTAGATTCTGAATATTTTCTCCTGTATTTTTTTCTAAAAGTTTTAAGTTATATACTTAAGTCCATGATCTTTTTAGGTTAATTTTTGTGTAAGGGGTTAGACTTAGGTCAAGGTTCATTTTGTTGGTTATTGAGATACAATTACTCTAGCACCATTAGTTGAAAAGACTATCTTTCCACCACTGACTTGCTCCTACATCATTGTCAAAAATTAATTGGAAAAATTTGTGTGAGTCCATTTCTTGATTTTCTATTCTGTCTCATTGTTCTATGTATCTCTTATCCTTCAAAATCACGCTGTCTTGACTGCTGTTATTATACACTAAGTAATAATACCAGGTAGAGTGATATCATTTTAGCTACTCTAGGTCCTGTATCTTTCCATATAAACATTTAAATAAGCTTATCTATGTCTACGAAACACCTTGCCATGATGGTTGTTGGAGTTGCATTACACCTATAGAGTAATTTGGGTAGAATTGACAACTTTTCACATTTTGAGTCTAGAAAATCACAAATGTGGTATTTATCTCCATTTATTTAGATGTTTGACTTCTTGTAGTACTTGTAGTACTTGTAGTTTCTCTTATAGTGTTTTGCATAAAAATTTGTATATATCTGTTAGCTTTATAACTATTTCATTTTTGAGTGATTATAAATGGTATTATATTATTAGTTTTGGTGCCCAGATGTTTATTGCTTATATATAGAAATAAAATAAATTTGTATATGTTAATTTTGTATCCTGAGATATTGTTGAACTAGTTTATTAGTTCTAGGAGTCTTTTTGCAGATTCCTTGAGTTTTTCTATATATACAGTTATGCCGTCTTCAAATAAGGACAGTTTTTTTTCTTTATGATCTGTATGCATGCTTTCCTTTTTTCTTTGCCTTATTGCATTGGCTAAAACTTCTATCACTATGGCAAAAAGGGATTATGAGAGTGGATATCCTTGCCTGTTTCTAATCCTAGAGAAAATGTTTTCAATCTTCCACTATTTAAGTACAGTATTAGTCAACAAGGTGACTATAGTCAATAACACCTTAATTGTACATTTTAAGATAACTAAAAGAGTGTAATTGGATTGTTTGTAACATAAAGGATAAATGCTTGAGGGGGTGGATACCTCATTCTACATGATGTGATTATTTCACAGTGCATTCCTGTATCAAAGCATCTCATGTACCCCAAAATATATACACCTACAAAATTTAAAAACTAAAAATGAAAAAAATTATAAATCTGTGCAGTGTTAGCTAATGATTTTTTTGTGGGTGTGTCTTATCAAGTTAAAAATGTTCCTTCAGGCCAGGCGCGGTGGCTCTCGCCTGTAATCCCAGCACTTTGGGGGGCTGAGGCGGGCAGATCACGAGGTCAGGAGATCGAGACCATCCTGGCTAACACCGTGAAACCCCATCTCTACTAAAAATATAAAAAATTAGCCGGGCATGGTGGCGGCCGCCTATAGTCCCAGCTACTCGGGAGGCTGAGGCAGGAGAATGGTGCGAACCCGGGAGGCGGAGCTTGCAGTGAGCCGAGATTGCGCCACTGAACTCCAGCCTGGGCGACAGAGCAAGACTCCATCTCAAAAAAAAAAAAAAAAAAAAAGTTCCTTCATATCCCTATTTTTCTGAAAATTTTTAATCATGAATGTTGAATTTTATTAATGCTTTTATTATAATTGGTAATAATTATATGATTTTTAATTTTTAAATGGATAATACAATAAGTTACAATGTTTGATTTTTGAATATTGAACCAAGCTTACACTTTTGGAATTCTACCCACTTGGTTATGGTGTAGAATTCTTTTAAAATATAGTCGAATGCTACTTGCTAATACTTAAAAAAATTTGCATGTCTATACACGAGAGATATTGGTAGTTTTATATTTCTTTTACTGTCTTTTTTAGGTTTTGGTGTCATGGTAATACCAGATTAATACAATCTAGGCAGGAAGTGTTTCTTCCTGTTTTATTTTATTTTCAAAAGGAGTGTATTGAATTGGTGTTATCTCTAAAAGTCTCAGAGAATTTGCCAGGCCCCATCTTGGTCTGGAGATTTCTTTTTGAAAATGTTAAAGGCATAAATTCAATATCCTTAATATTGTAAGACTCTTAATATTATCTATTTCATATTGGGTGAGATGCAGCAATTTATGCTTTTTTGAAGAACTGGTCAACTTTGTGTAAGTTGTCAAATTTAAGTATGTAGTATTCTATGTAGTATTCACTTATCCTTTTGATGTCTTCAATATCTATACTGACATTTCTTCTTGCACTCTTTTTTAAATTAAAAAGTATTTTATTATAGAAAAATTCAAGCATTACTTTTTATCATTAATTTTCTTTTTTTGTTTGTTTGTTCCCTGCTCCCCTTACAATTTGATAGATTTCTGCTCTTAACATTTTTTTATTTTGTTTCCTTTAGGTTTATCGTTTTCTTTTTCTAAGTTCTCAAGAAAAGACTGCATTTTTGACTTAACAGTTTTTCTCTTTTTTAATATATGTATTCAGTACTATAAATTTACTTTCAGCACCACTTGGGTGTGTCCCCACAACCTTTGATATGTTGTTGTATCATTCATTTTCTAGGACTGTCATAACAAAGTACCAAAGACTGGGTGGCTTAAACAACAAAAATTTATTTTCTCACAATTCCAGAGGCTAGAAGTCGAAGATCAAGGTCTCGCTGGGGTTGGTGTTATCTGAAACCTCCCTCCTTGGCTTACAGATGGCCCACATCAGGTTCACGTAGCTTTCTCCTTGTATGTGTGTCTGTGTCCAAAACTCATCTTCCAATAAGAATATGAATCACATTTGGATTAGGGCTCACCTTAATGGACTCATTTTAACTTACTTACCTATTTAAAGATTCTATCCTTAAATACAGTCACATTCTGAGAAAATAGGAGTTAGAGCTTCAACACAGGAATTTTAGGGGGACAGAACTAATCCTATAACCGTTTATTTTCATTTTAATTGAATTAAATGTATTTCTAATTTTTTTTGATTATTCCTCTTACCCATGGATATTTTTAAAACACGTATTGTTTAGTTTAGAAGTGTTTGGATATTTTTCTCTCATTTATTTTTTATTACTTTCTAGTTTAATTTTATAGCAGTCAGTGAAGATACTTTGCACAGTTTTAATTCTTTTAAGTTATTTGAAATTTGTCTTATGGCTTAGAGTATGGTCTCTCTTGGCCTGTATTCTGTGGGCATTTGGAAAGAATGTGTATTCTGCTGTTGTTAGATGGAGTGTCTTATCACTGTTCATTAGATTCTGTTGGTTGATGTTGAGTTGTTTTATGTTCTAGTTGATTTTCTGTCTGGTTGTTCTATCAATTGTTGAGAGAGAACATGTAATTATTCATCTATAATTGTGGACTTGTTGATATTTTTTAGTTCTAATAGTTTTCGCTTCACAAATTTAAAAGACCTGTAGTTTGATGCATACACACTTAGGATTGCTATGCTTTCTTGGTGGATTGACTGTTTTATCATTATATACATACTCTGCCTTTGGTTGGTTTCTTTGCTTTGAAATCTATTTTAATAATATAACTACTGTTGCTTTCCTTTGATTAATATTTGCATATATTTTTTCATCCTTTTACTTTCAATATACTTACATCATTATACTTGAAGTGAGTTTCTTATAGAGAATATAGAGTAATGTCATGGTTTTAAATTCCTTCTTCCAATGGATTAAATCCATTCTTATGTGCACTTACATCATATAAGTTTATTGTAATTATGAGTATCTTAAAGGCTTAAGTGTACCATTTTATATTTTGTTTTGAATTTGCTATTTTATATCTTTCGTTATCCTGCTATCTTTTGGGTTAGGAGAATTTTTTTTTTCAGAATTACATTTTGATTTATCTACAGTGCTTTTTAGATGGCATATTAATCCATTTTATGCTGCTATAACAGAATGTAACAGATTGGGTAATTAATAAAAAGGAAATTTATTTGCCTCATGGTTCTGGAGGCTAGGAAGTCCAAGACTTTGAGGACACATCTGGTGAGGACCTTCCCGCTGCATCATAAAATGGTAGAAGGCATTGTATGGTGAAAGAGAGCAAGAGAGGGAAGAGTATGTAACACAGAGAGAGGATGGGGGCCCAACCTTATCCTTTTATTGGAAGCCTTCTCCCATGATAACTAATCTACTCCTGCAATAACTAACCCTCTCCCTTGGTAATGGTATTAATCCACTTATGAGGCAGAACTCTCAGGACCTAATCACCTTTTAAAGGTCCCACCTCTCAGCACTAACAATGGCAATTAAATTTCAGCATAAGTTTTAGAGGGGACATTATAACAGATTTAGATAATTGTTTAGCTTTAGCTTTGTTGGTTATAGCTTTAGGTATTATACTAAAGTAACTTTCCACAATCTGCTAGTGTCCTCATTTTGGCAGTTCAAGTGAAGTGTAGAACCCTTAAATCCCTTTATGTCAGTTTACCCTTCCCCACTCATACTATAATTGTCTTAAGTACTTCCTGTGTGTATATTTATAACCACATCAGAAAGTGTATGATTGTTGTTTCAACAAACATAATTTAGAAAAGTTAATGGAAGATAAGCTTATTGTAGTTACCAGTGTTTTTGCTAACCATGTTCTTTCTTCCTTGCTGACACTGCAAGGTTCTTTATTGTACTGTTTCATTTCTGTTTAGAGAAATTCATTTAGCCACTTTTATAAAGGTAGGTCTGTTGGTGACAAATTCTCTTAGTTTTTCTTCACATGAAAATGTCTTTGTTTCCCCTTTCTTTCTAAAATATATTTATTTTGCCAGTAGAAGATTCTGACTTAATAGTTCTTTCCTTTCAGCATTTGAAAAATATTGTGCCACTTCTTTGTGGCCTCCATGGTTTCTCATGAGAAATACACTACCATTCTGGTTTTGTACTATAGGTCATCATTTTTTCTGGGTGTTTTCAAGACTTTTTCTGCTTTCTTTAGTTATCAAAATTCAGCTGTGATTTACCTTGGCATATATGTTTTTAGGTTTTTCCTGTTTGGGGTTTGCTTAGCATTTTGAAACTATAGGTTTATTTCTCTTGCCAAATTTGGGGTGTTTTCAGTCTTATTTTTTCATACTTTTACAGCCCCACTGTTTCTCTCTCCAATTGGGGGACTTCAATGACATGAATGTCAGGTCTTTTGTTATAGCCCCACAGGTCCTTGAGACTCTGTTCATTCCTTTTTCCCAGTCTATTTTCTCTTTGTTGTTCTGATTGAGTAATTTCTATTAATTTGTCTCCCAGCTCACTGATTGTTTCCTATGCCCTTGCTCCGCGGCAACTCTACTGTTGAGTCCATCCACTGATTTTTTATTTCCATTATTATACTTTTCATATCTAAAATTTCTATTTGGCTTTTCTTTATATCTTCTGTATATTTATTGTGACTGTATTTCTTTGCTTGGCCTTTCTAATTTTTCTTTTGTTTGAAGCATGTTCACAATTGTTCATTGAGGCAATTTTATCATAGTTGTTTTAAAATCTTTGTCAGATAATTCTAACATTTCTGTCATTGTGGTTTTGGCATCTGTTGATTATGTCTGTAACTTGCTTTGAGACTTTCTAGTTCTTGGCATAATAAATGTGTATACATATATATGTGTGTGTATATATATATAATTTTTTTTTGTAGAGATGAGGTCTCACTATGTTGCCCAGGCTGATCTTGAACTCCTGAGTTCAATCAGTCCTTTAGCCTCAGCCTCCCAAAGTGTTGGGATAATAGGCATGAACCACTGTGCTCAGCCTGATGAATGATTATTTTATTAAAACTTGAAAAATTTTGTATTATGTTATGAGACTCTGGATCTTATTAAACTTTTTGTTTTAGCTGTTTTTTTCTAATAATGGCTTGGCAAGTGGTGAAGGAACCGCCTTGTTACTATGAAGTGGTGGTAGAAACCCACTTTTTCCACTTGGTCTCCATTAAGTCTCTAGGGGAAGTGGGCTCCTAGTTACTGTTGGGGGGCAGTGGAGTGCTGACATTTGACATGGTCTCCACTGACGCTGTGGTGTAGACTCTCTCATTACTGTTGGCTGATGGTGAACGCTTTGACTTTCCACTAGGCCTCCTCTGATATACCCAGGCAGGGAGGAAGAGGGGTTCTTCCTAGCTTTCAGGTCAGGGTGGGAAGGAAGTCCAGACTCCCCATAAGATTTCCACTGACACCATGGGTCAGGGGAGAGTCAATAGTGGCCAGCAGGTATTAAAGTCTAGGCTTTCCTCTCTGCCTTTGTAGGATGGGGTCAAAGATTATTCTGATGTGTTTGGCTAGTGTAGAGAGGTTATTGTCTAATAATTTTGTTTTGCTAGGCTGCCCCTATCCTGGTCATTCAACTAGAGCAGACTTTGATAGGTGCTTTTTTTTTTTTTTTCTGCTCCTCTTGGTGTTTCTAGATTATCAGCTTCTTCAGCTCCTAGTCTGGGATACATGGAGCCAAAAGCATACCTATATAACTCCACATCACGTCCTTCCCCAGGTCCTGAGTTCCCTGACCTTTTATCTCTTTTCTCCATTTTTCAGAATCTTGTTTTGGGCAAGGATATTACAAATTTGACAGTGTGTTCTTATCTTTACACTTTATAAGGTGGTCCATTATTTTAATTTATCCCATAACTGATGGTTTTATTTTTAATTACTTAATAAAGTTGATATATACAAGAGTTTTCCATTGTAAATTAATTTTTCCTTCGTAATTATTAAGTATTTTGGGAGTGGCTGTATATCACGAGAAAATCGGTGTGGTGAAGTAGCTACTCTACTATATTCTTGAAGGAATGTAAACTGGCTCAACCTCTGTTAGGCCAATTCTACAAAGCTTTTCCAAAAAATAAAATGTAAATGTCTTTTGATCCAGCAATTATATTTCTAGGAATTTATTCCACAAATATACTTTCATATGTCCCACATGACACCCATACAAATATATGCATTATAACATGGTCTGCAATAGCACAGGATGGAAACAATTCAAATATCTATCAACAGGGGAGTGATCAACAAATTAATGTTAATCCATTAAATGGAATACTACACGTGGGCACTAAAAAGAATGAAGCAATTCTGTATGTAGTAAAATGAAATAATTTTTTAGATATACAATGAAGTGAAAAAATTTACAACAATTAAGTCATCATTTTCTGTGTGCATGTTTATATTTATATCTCCACATGCTTGCCTAGGCATTGAATATCATCAGTAGGATATACTAAATATTGGAAACACCCTTAACCTCTAGGAAATATAACTGAACGGCTGAGACAGTAGTAGGGGGGACACATATCTATGTTATGGTACACGTTTTTGTCTCTTTGCATTTTCCCTATTTACATATAATGTCTATTTAAAGTAGTTCAATTAAAATATAAAAAAACAAAGCTCCAAGTAAGATGTCATCTATTTCAATTGCATAAGCTAGAGATAAAGATATAAAATGGATGGCTGCTGAATGTCAAATATGGATCAGTTAGAAGGTGCATTTATCAGGAATTATCAAATAAATGCAGCACCTTACCTTAGAAAATGTATCTAAACTCAAAAATCACACCTTACAAACAATAGAGGATTTGTGTTAAATATTTTTAGTCCTTACTGGAAATTAGCATGTTAACATGTAGTGATAGCTCTTTCTGCAAAAAAAAGGGATAAGATAAATAAATTAATTAGCAAATTAATGTAAACATAGACAATCAAATGTGCCCCAAACCATAACTAACTGTGAGAGTCCAAGGAAATAGATTGATTGCTCCTCTGTGCTTTCAGACATTTAGTATAGTACGTACTTTTTATTTGATTATATTATAGTTAGTTTACACTGGAGGTAATTTTTGTGGATTTGAACCTCTGCTTTACCACATACCAGGTGTATGAATGTATTATTCTGTTTTCATGCTGTTGATAAAGACATACCAAAGACTGGGAAGAAAAAGAGGTTTAATTGTACTTAGAGTTCCACATGGCTAGAGAGGCCTCAGAATCATGGGTTGAGGCAAAAGACACTTCTTACATGATGGTGGCAAGAGAAAATGAGGGAGAAGCAAAAGTGGAAACCCCTGATAAGCCCATCAGATATCGTGAGAGTTATTCACTATCACGAGAATAGCACAGGAAAGACTGGTCTCCATGATTCAATTACCTCCTTCCAGGTCCCTCCTACAACACATGGGAATTCTGGAAGATACAATTCAAGTTGAGATTTGAATGGGGACACAGCCAAATCATATTATTCTGCCCCTGGCCCCTCCAAATCTCATGTCCCCACATTTCAAAACCAATCATGCCTTCCCAACAGTCCCCCAAAGTCTTAACTCATTTCAGCATTAACCCAAAAGTCCACAGTCCAAAGTCTCATCTGAGACAAGGCAAGTCCCTTCTACCTATGAGCCTGTAAGACCAAAAACAAACTAGTTACTCCCTAGATACAATGCAGGTACAGGTATTTGGTAAATACAGTCATTCCAAATGGGAGAAATTGGCCAAAACAAAGAGGTTACAGGGCCCATGCAAGTCCAAAATCCTGCAGGGCAGTCAAATTTTAAAGCTCCAGAATGATCTCCTTTGACTCCAAGTCTCACATCCAGGTCATGCTGATGCAAGAGGTGGGTTCCCATGGTCTTGGGCAGCTCCACCCCTGTGGCTTTGCAGGGTATAGCCCCCCTCCTGCCTGCTTTCACAGACTGGCATTGAGTGTCTGCAGTTTTTCCAGGTGCGCAGTGCAAGCTGTCGGTGGATCTACCTACCATTCTGGGGTCTGGAGGATGGTGCCCCTCTTCTCACAGCTCCACTAGGCAGTGCCCCAGTAGGGACTCTCTGTGGGGGCTCCAACTCCACATTTCCCTTCTGCAGTGCCCTAGCAGAGGTTCTCCATGAGGGCCCCAACACTGTAGAAAACTTTTGCCTGGGCAAAAGGCGTTTCCATACATCTTCTGAAATCTGGGTGGAGGTTCCCAAACCACTATTCTTGACTTCTGTTTACTGGCAGGCTCAATACTATGTGGAAGCTGCCAAGGCTTGGGGCTTCCACCCTCTGAAGCCACAGCCCGAGCTGTAAGATGGCCCCTTTCAGCCATGGCTGGAGCAGCTGGGACACAGGGCATCAAGTCCGTAGGCTGTACCCAGCACAGGGACCCTGGGCCTGGCCCATGAAACCACTTCTTCCTCCTAGGCCTCCAGGCTTGTGATGGGAGGGGCTGCTATGAAGGTCTCTGACATGGCCTAGAGACATTTTCCCCATGGTCTTGGAAATTAACATTAAGCTTTTTGCTACTTACGCACATTTCTGCAGCTGGTTTGAATTTCTCCCCAGGAAAAAGGTTTTTCTTTTGTGTCACATAGTCAGGCTGCACATTTTTCAAACTTTTATGCTCTGCTTCCCTTCTAAAACCGAATGCCTTTAACAGCACCCAAGTCACCTCTTGAATGCTTTGTTGCTTAGAAATTTCTTCCACCAGATACCCTAAATTATCTCTCTCAAGTTCAACGTTCCACAAATCTCTAGGGCAGGGGCAAAATGCTGCCAGTCTCTTTGCTAAAACATAGTAAGAGTCACTTTTACTCCAGTTCCCAACAAGTTCCTCATCTCCATCTGAGACCACCTCAGCCTGGACCTTATTATCCATATCACTATCAGCATTTTGGGCAAAACCATTCAACAAGTCTCTAGGAAGTTCCAAATTTTCCCACATTTTCATGTCTTCTTCTGAGCCCCCCAAACTGTTCCAACCTCTGCCTGTTACCTAGTTCCAAAGTTGCTTCCACATTTTTTGGTATCTTTTCAGCAACACCCCACTCTACTGGTACCAATTTACTGTATTAGCTTGTTTTCATGCTGCTGATAAAGACATACCTGAGACTGGGAAGAAAAAGAGGTTTATTTGGACTTATAGTTTCACATGGCTGGGGAGGCCTCAGAATCATGGTGGGAGGTGAAAGGCACTTCTTACATAGTGGCAGCAAGAGAAAATAAAGAATAAGCAAAAGTAGAAACCCCTGATAAACCCATCAGATCTTGTGAGACTTATTCACTATCACAAGAATAATAAGGGAAAGACTGGCCCTGATGATTCAATTACCTCCCCCGGGTCCCTCCCACAACACGTGGGAATTCTGGGAGATACAATTCAAGTTGAGATTTGAATGGGGACACAGCCAAACCATGTAAGAGAGCATAAAGGAGTTTCTCAACCTACTAACGCCTCAGTTTATTTATATGGTGATAATAATAGTAACTACCTCTAGGGTAGATGTATGTAATGTGCAGTAGATATATGTAAAGTATAATTAGTATAATAATAAACTCTCAATACGTTCCCTCCTTCTCATCTTTCTTCCTTTCATTTATTCTTTGCCTGTCTTTATGTCTTTCCTTATGTATATAGCTCTGTTTTCTACATTCCTCCCTTGTTCCCTTCTTCTCTCTTTTCCTTCCTTTCTCTCTTTCTTTCTTTCCTCTTTTTTCATATATTTATTTATCTTTCCTCACATTACTGAAATATATTTTGAGGTGCTCCACAACTCACACAGCATAGCCATCACAGACTATCTGTGAAGAGGGCATCACTGCCATCTTCCATAATAGACTTAGTGTGAGTAGGGTTACTTTGGCACAAAGCTATTCTCTATTGTCCTGGGTTCCAGGACCCTGTGGTTTCAATGCTTACCTCGCTTGGGTCAGTCCTCCAGAGAGACTGTGGGTGTCTGGCTACTTTCTTACTCGCCTTCTCACTTTAGCAGCACTTAGTTCTCTGACCATTTTGACCACCAGTGGAAATCAGTCTAATTACTGGGCTGCTGTCCCAATTTCCACTTATGTTTTGTTGCTTCAACTTTCTGCATTTACCCATAGCAGGTTCACTTAAAAGGGATAATTAGAGG
The DNA here is from genome assembly GCF_000001405.40 of Homo sapiens. Lineage (NCBI taxonomy): Eukaryota > Metazoa > Chordata > Mammalia > Primates > Hominidae > Homo > Homo sapiens. The sequence goes on along the minus strand of NC_000003.12, from coordinate 118,382,197 downwards.
ATGAAGAGCAAGTACTTTGGGGAATTGTTAATCCATAACAAAAGTAAATATTTGTCTAATTTCCCCATTTATACTTCAGAAAAGAATTGCTTATAGAATAATCAGTTGTACCTATCAGCACTTTAAGTAATGTTGGGCACAGTTGGGACACCAATAAATTTGCCTAAGCCTTTTTTTTAATACAAAAATAAGTCCAAAATGGCATAGCTTCTTCCCTTGGTACGAAAGACTGTGGTTTGTCAATTTTCCCTAGGACTAGCTACATAATTTACATTCACTCATATCTTGGTGTTCACTTACGCAGGACCTCAACCCTCAGTTCAGAAGTTAGGTTTCTCTAAAAAACTGATCTCTCTAGAAGTGTCAGGCTATGGAAATGCCTAAATTGTTTGATGTCTGCAAGACTCAGAGGATGCAAAGGTGGAGAAAATGGCAAGTGAAGTGCTTAGGAGCAGAGAGAAGCTGTCTACCAGATCTCCATGGGGAGGGATGTAGGCTTGTGCCTTCTGGGACCAGAGGGCCCTATGGCTTTGAGGATGCACACACTCATGAGTAACAAGGAAATTACAGTTTCCCAGCTCCAGTGATGGATTTGGAGGAAATTAAAACATGAAAACGAGTGCATTTTCACGCAGAATGTGTTCAGCTGAGCTTTTCTAAGAGAAATAAAAAAGAGATAACATTTTGTGAATTTTGTATCTCCTTTAAACTAAGTAATATGAGGCTAAAAATTAATTAGAAGTGTAAACTTAATATGATGAAAATAATGTAATGGATTTCTAGACCAAATATTAAAAATAAATGGAATTATCTGCTGTTTTTAATTCCCCCACCCCGTTCTCTTATTACAGAAAATAATGGGTTATAAAGAAATGATCCCTCTAAGTATGACAAAAATTCAAGGTTTTTGAAAGCAACACCTGGTGATACTTTTAATTTCCTTCCTAAGAGTTGTTTATTTTGCATGACCTTGCCATCACATGAGCAGCTTTCTAATCATTCTGGCTTATTCAACTTTGTTAACTGGCTGTAGTGCTATCTCTGTCAGGATTCTGGCTAGTGTTTATTTTTAAACTATTTTATTTATTAATGTTTAGATAATGATGAACAACACTAGTAAATAATTTAGTAATGTACCCTCAGTCAAACACATAAAGTCACAAACAACCTTCTTACAATTAAATCATATATTTATCTACTTATTCTTGTTTGCTATGTTTAATTCTTTGACATGCCTGTCAGAAATATGTCAAATCTTTTATGTTCATCAAACTCTCTATTGGTTTAGAGAGTTTTACTTGTCTTCGATACTATACAGTTTTTTTAATCTCTGAAAAGGCCACTCTTTATCTGAAAGCTATATTCTTTCAGACCGTACTTATCCCTGCCAGTTTCCTGTCTGACTCACAGCTGTCACACTCTTGAAGTGCTCTGACAGGCTACCTGCTGGCTGTCTCTGAAATGGAGAACCATTCTATCACATTTAACATTTAAACAAACCAAAAACATATTTCTTTCTCTTTTATATATTAAAGGTATGCCCAACTATACCAGCACCTGATTTAAAGAGCATTCTATTAATACATTTAGAGATGCCCATTTAGAGATGTCATTTCTTCTCCCATCAGTCATAGCAGTGAGCAGTTGCATATAATGTGGCTGGTGCAATGGAATATGCCACCAGCATATGTTTTTCTGTCACCCTTTTCCAGGTAACTTACTAAATTATACGTCTAAGTAATTATGTTAAGTGCACATGCACCACTTCTCAAACTGCCCTTTTAAAAATCCCTGCCATTACTACAGAAAATGTCTTTCACTCCCCTGCCTCCCCCTTCCTTTTCCTTTTTCTATATGTTTGCCAGGGACATAGCAAGGAAGCTATGCAGCATAAAAAAAGAAGGGATTTGGGGTTAAAAAAAAGATTTGGTTTCTAATCCTAAATTTTCTACTTACTAGTGATGGAAATCACATAGCCTTCAGTTTTCTCTTCTGAAAATTGGGAATTATATCTATTAATATACCCTCATATTATGGGTACATTTGGGTACATTTAGTGAGTTTATATATAGGTGAGCCTGACTGGCACACAATCATAGTGGCATTACTGTCTGGACATAAGGAAATCCATGCTTTTTTGAAGTACATTCAGCATAAATAAAAGATCAGGTAGACCAGTCAGGGAGTGACTACCATTGTCCATAAGAGTGATGATGAGAACCTTAAACAAGGTAGAGGCAATAAAGATAGAGAAGACAGGATGAATATATGGTATCCTAAGGTGACAGACTCATCTTATTCTGAAATGACTGGGAAAATTGTTTGAGCTTCTTCAAGGATTAGTAATAGCTTCCTCTATTTTATCTAACTCTAACTCTTGGTAAATTAGTCAGAGTAGAGAATAAAGAGAGCTGGACGTTTTCTTTAAAAAATACATTGTTAGTTTTAGCTGAAAGTTTGATTTGCTATAGGATGCAGTAGATTATTTTTAAAAATTTGTAAGTGGACGAACAAAATGTATGATAGAAAATTGTATATATAGCTCTGAATCTCAGAAAAGATTTCTGGGCCAGAAAGTCATGATTTGGTAATCATTACTACCTATAGTGGGAGTTGAAGTCATGGGAATCAATGAAACTGCAAGAAAACACAGAGTAAGACAAGCAACATTATAATTACTGAACTTAAGGAGTTTAAAATTTGGTGTTTTAAACACCAACACTCAAGATTTTAGAAAATAATATTGCTTATTCATTTAAATTGTTTTCTGTAATAAATAGCACTCCCAGATATTAATATGTTTTGTTAAGACAGCATTCTATCAGGTGTAATTAGATGTAGACTTACATAGTGTTCTACTTCCTGGACCTGACTCACTATAAATATTTCCTTGTAAAATGCCATTGACTATAATAGAAACCACTGGGTGGATAACAGCTTTTCAGAAAAAAAAATCAAATCAGGAAGGAGATTACCATTATAATGTTAAACTGTAAAAAGAAAACATGCATTTTGGAGCTGAACAAATACTGTACTATATACAGTAATACTAGGAAAATTATTTAACTGAAAACTTTATGAAGGACCACCCCATGAAATGAGAATACATATATTTTACTACACAGATAATCCGAGCAATTGTAAATAATTTATAGCAGAGAGTTGTTATCAAATTTTAGTGTTTCTTCACTAAAGTAATAACCCTTAACAAGAAAATTTAAGAGAATAGTGATTGGTTCTGTGGGGATCCCTTTCTTTCTTCTTCCATTGTTCTAAACTGTAATCAGCCTTTTCTCTGTGTGTGCTGCAATTTCCTACCATGTTGTTCGGAGTACAAAGGTCCTTACTATTCCTTGCATTCAGATTTTTGTGCCTAATAGTGCTGTTTGGGTTTATTTGTAAGCATGAAGCCTTTATCAGCTTGCTTATTAAAGAGAAGATTAGCTTCCAGATTCTATTTTCCTATATGAATTTCCACAAATGAAAGCATTTGCATATTTTTTTATTGTAATATTTCACTGGAATGATGATTTTGAATTTTTTGAATATAATAACAGTTACATAAGGGAAAGTCAGAAGTGAATGATAAATTAGAAAATATGAACATGTGTTTTTAATTCCTCTTCCTTAATTAATCTTTATTAATAAATATGTGATCAGTATCTCATCTGCTTATACCCCCAGGCATTTTAACTAATCAAGTTAGTATTTTATCTCTCTCCAATTTTATCTAAGGCTAAGATCTCTGTTCAGAAAAGTGTAGCTCTTTCCCAAACATTTTGCAGGATTTTGGGGTCTAGAAAATGTGAGTACCTCTACCTCCCACTAATGGTGTGAATTTGGGGTATTTCTAAGGTGAAGGATTTAGAGGACAATCTTTATAAACTTTGTTGGGGGGCAGTTTCTATATGTTAATTATAGTGCTTGACTACCCAGAACATTTCACTCATACTTTTTTTCTGAGAGAGTTTTTCCAAATGTGAAGTTAGAGGGAAAGTAGCTCATAGGATCATCCTCACTTCTGTCACCAATTGCAAGTTTGGGATGCAGGGAGTTATCAAACCATACTTGGTTTCAGTAATTCCTTTGAAAGTCCCACAGAACTCATTGAAAGCTATTATACTCACAGTTACAGTTTATTACAGGGGAAGAATACAGATTAAAATTGGCCAACTGATTTTATATGAAATAATGAAATGCATAGAGTCTAGAAATAGTACCTAAAACTGAGCTTCCAATTATCTTCTCCTTGTGGAGTAAGGACACAGTTACATTACTGGTATCAAAGTGTGGGAATACACAGAGAGTTTTGCCAACCAGAGATGCTTTCCTGAGCCTTGGTGTTTAGGTCCTTATTGGGGTTCCATCATGTAAAATGTGGTTTGCTATTACATGGCAGACCTGTTTCTAGCCCCTTAGGAGGTCAAGTTGTGTGACCAAAGGTACCCAACCCACATCACATTATTAATGTGGCTTGGATCCTCACCTTAAATCACATTGTTACTCTCTTGCTGACCCAAGGCCCCCAGCAAATAGAGACACTCGTTTTGGGCATAACATTCCATCCAAGGGCTTAGAGATTACCTCTCTGAAGCTGAAGGCAAAAGCTAGACTTTTTTTTTTGGTCAAGATTGCATTCTTTACTGCATACTCTTGTGTTTTTTTTCCCATTTATAGAAGAGCTAATAATTTTGTGGTTGTACTCTGGCTACTGCAGTGGAAAGTGGGCCCCAAGCTGGGCCAGTCAGAGCCCTCCCTGGGGCTTTTCTGTTGGATGTGAAGATATAGCTTAGGGTGTCTTTTAGTCACTTTTCTGTCATGTGGAGAAAATCAGTGCACAAAAGGAGAAAATCTAAGAGAATTAGAAGGAGAAGCAGAAAGCCAGAAAGCAAGGGAGCAAGATAAGAAGGGAGTATTACCAGAACCCCATTTGAGGCTTTGGGTTAGTGTGAGGCCAATTCTGGATCAGTTGGGGCCACCCCTGGGATTCCCCTTAATATATAGTACTACATTTCATTGTTTGCTTCAAATATTTTGAAGTAGAGTTTCTCACCTGCAACAGAAAATCTTCTGACTATAATGCTGAAGTCCAAAGCATAAATATCTGTTGTTGTAAGTATACACTGAACTAAGGAGCTCACTAAGCAATTGACACCCTTAGATCTAGGTGAAGGGACAAACAGGCTCTTCCTTGATACTAAATTCTAATGACCTAATCACAGCATTAATCCTTAGGGATTATGACTCTTTTCCAAACTAAACTCGCTGCCTTTTGCATTACTTCTCAGCTAGGTCGTGCATCCTTCACAAGAGACATTACTTGTGTACTTACTAAGTTTCTTTAATAACGCCTTAGAGAAGAGGTTACATCAATATCTCCAGAAAGACTGCATACATCTATCTTGTCATTAGTAGACAGTCCTATATCCACTTTTTTACTAAAAGGTAACTCATAAAATAAATATGCTAAAACAGATTTGGGAAACAGAAGTGAAACTTAAAGTAATAATATTTACTATACAATGTGTTAAAAGCAATGGTTCTGAGGTATAATCCGTGCCTCTCTAGTGTTCAGGTCCTTAAAAAATAAATGTAACCTAAGTTGTAACCTTTATCTATGCATGCAGGCCAGAAACACCTGTTTTAGGGATGTAATGTTGTATGGCATAGCCTTGACAGGAATCTTAGGAATAGCTACTTTTTTTTTTTATACCCAATCTTGCACATGGCGTATAACAAAAGTTCTTAAGGTTAATTTACACAGACACACACACCTCACATGGAGCTTTGATATTTAAGAACTGAAGGTCTGGATTCAGAAATACATGAAACTGTTTGTGGATAGTAGATGATTAATATGCAGCCTTATGTGTTCCCCTTTACAAAACTAATGGAAAAAGATGTCCAAATGTCTGTTAAGAATTGTAAGTAAACTGTAATATAGAAATACCATGAAACAACATGCTGCACTGAACATGATGACTTACAGTACAACTGTCTCTTAGTATCTGCAGGAAATTGGTTCCAGGACCCCCATGAATACCAAAATTCATGAATGCTCAAGAACCTGATATAAAATGGCATATTACTTCCATATAACCTATGCACATCTTCCTTTATAACTTAAATCATCTCTAGGTTACTTAAAATACCTAATACAATGCAAATGCTATGTAAATAGTTGTTATACTGTATTGTTTTTAAGTTTCGTATCATAAAAATAGTGTTGTATTGTTATTACTTTTATTTTTCTGAATATGTTTGATCTGTGATTGTGATTGGTTGAATACACGTCTGCTGATATGGAGAGCTGACTGTACGTACAATGAGTGAATGATAAGATATGATATTGAATCCAAGCGACCAGACATAGTATAATGAATATTTTATTGTTCTATTTATATTAAGTTCAAAAAACAGGCAAAATTCAACTATATTTTAGTAGTGTACAATTAGGTAGTAAAGCTATGTAATAAATACCGCAGAAATTGGATTTCATAAAATTCAGCATAGAGGTAACTCCAGGGAGGAGGGAAGGGTTTTTTTTTTAATAAGGGACTTGCAGAGGGCTTTTGGAGTTCTGTTAATATTCAAGTTCTTGACTTGGGCAAAAGTTAAACAAGTGTTTATTCTATAGTTCACTAAGTTATACTTTTATGCTTTATGCACTTTCCTATACGTTTGTAATATTCCAGATAAAAGAAGCCTAACAAGTGACTATTAGTAATGTGGTCTATGACAAAGAAGAAGGAAGGAGAAAAGAAGTCTGCTTAGCTCCTTTTTGCCATGCAAAGTGCTCAGCACTTTGCCTGCAGTGTTTGACAGAGCCACTTCTGGCTCTTAACTTCTCAGTATGGTTGCTGATTGCTTCTCTTTTAGTGGCCTCCAACCTTCTGCCTATGCCCACTGGGTGTCATACTCACTAAAGGGATGTACGCTAAGTTCTCCAGTTAAAAAGGGCACCTCACCCTGTCCTCCTGGCTACATTCAGGCACTACCCTCCTTATGGTCATATAATTACTGACCCTCTCTGATGTCCACCCTACCAGTTTACCTTGGATGTGAAGCAGGTGGAATAAAATCTGTATTAGAGCAATATCTGACTAAAAAGACTAAGAAAATCCAAGAGAGAGCATTACAAGAGTGACATAATACAGACAGATTGGACACCACAGTCCCACTCTTGTATGTACTGAAATCTCAGAAAGGAGGAGAGGTAAGAGTGGTTCTTGTAAAGAAAGTGGCAAAACTGTGGGCCCATTTTGTATTCTCTTATTCTCCAAAGGAAGCATCCTTGGTTTCTGCACAAGGGCCCTGTTTTCTCTCTCTCCACCCTCCCACCAACCACTTCCTTGGCATAAAAATGAGACAGAACACGACTCAGTTACACCCCCACTTGGCCAGCACCTTGACCACTTTCGGAAGTTTCTTTCTGTCAGATAAGCCCCAGCCTCCCCTTCTGCACCAAAGAAGGTGCACCTGCCTCCCTTGGCTCAGGTGGTGGTAGGGGCAAATATTCTCAGTTTGGGATCTTACATAGTGGTGATTTTTCCTTTCTCTACTCCACAATACTTCTGTCTACAAGGGACCAAAGGAAAAAAAAAAAAAAGAACTATTGCTGTGGCTATTGGAAGACATCAGCAAACTCTCCCCACTGGGCCTTTCTGTTCTAAATTTTGTTAACAATTTCCCTAGCAACAGACTTCATGACTCCCACCAGAATTTGCTGGGGATAGAATTGCACTCACTTAAAGATAATGCAATTTTCCTTTACACAAATTTATGATCAAGAAAATCTAAGACTATTTTGGAATGAGAGAATCTAGAGTTGAAATTTCTTCTGTAATTATCTATTGAAGAAACACCTTACATGGTAGAGATAATATTGATCCTTCCGGGGTTGTAAAGAGGTTCAGGTAAGAGTCCCTTCCTTTCTCTAAAGTAGCATTTATTACGTGTGTGGGGAGGCAAGATACAAAGAGCAAGAACATAAATTACAACATGAAAGTTTGAAATAAACTGTTTAGAGAGTTTGAAGGAGAGAGAGAGAGATGTCATTAATTAAAGCAAACTGTACAGATTTCAGAGAAGAGTTTGCATCTAATGTGGACTTGAAAAACAGGTGGTTTATTAATCAGCCAATAAGTTTTCATGTAGAAGGAACAGTACAAATAAGGGTACGAAGGTAAGAAATATGGGGTGTAGTCCCATATGCCAGGGTACAGTGTGAATGCAAGGGAGGCTTGGGTAATACAGTGAAACTACTGGAACCAGATTGTGAAATGTGTTGTATGTTCAGCTGAAGAGCTTGGTTTTAAGGTTGAATGCAACATAGGTTCACTGAAGTTTTGGGATAAAAGACGGTGAAAAATAAACTCATGTATTGTTACAAGACACCTTATTTCTTCTTTTATGTCTACTTTTCTGGGATGTAGTCATTGTGATTTGTCTTTGCTATTTTATATGAGTTTCTTTCTTTCTTTCGTTTTTCTTTCTTCTTTCTTTTTCTTTCTTTCTTTTTGGAAACAAGTATATGTGGTCATATTCTTGTGTTACACTTGGTTAACTATCAACAGAAAACATCTAGTCCCCTTTCAGATTCCTGGCCTGGAAAAAATATCCCCCAGGCTTATAGTTACATCTGTGTTGTAAAGTTAACATTAAACTGAACCTACAAGAAACTCAAACAACTCAATAACAACAACAACAACAAAAAAAACCACACCAATAACCCCATTAAAATGTGGGCAAATGATATGAACAGACATATTTTTCAAAAGAAGACATACAAATGGTCAACAAGCATATAAAAAAGTTCAATTCATTAATCATCAGAGAAATGCAAATTAAAACCACAATAAGATACCATACCATCTTATACTAGTCAGAATGTCTATTATGGCTATTACTAAACTGTCAAAAAATAACAGATGTCGACAAAGATTTGGAGAAAAGGAAACAATTGTATACTCTTGGTGGGAAAGTAAATTAGTATAACCTCTATGGAAATCAGCATAAAGATTTCTCAAAGGACTGAAAATAGAACTACTATTGGACTCAGCAATCCTGTTACTGGGTATCTACCCAAAGGAAAAGAAATTGTTATATCAAAAAGATACCTGCAGTCATATGTTTATCACAGTATTATTTGTAATATCAAGAATGTGGAATCAACCTAAATGTCTATCTATGGATGATTGGATTAAATGTTTTATATATATATATATCACATATGTATATATATGTGTATATAAGTATATACAGATATATATGTACATATGCGTATATATATACGTATATATGTGTATATACTTATATATGCACATATATATGTTTTATGATGAGAGAAAACAGATAGAAACAAAACTAGTCACATGAAGATTTTTATTACTCTTCAGGATGATTTAACCAAATAACATTTTTTTCTGTGTATGTAAATAAAGATATTGATTATGGAAAATGAAATAAGAAAGCATAAGTCCACAAAAAATTGTACTGCAATACTTCTTAGAATAATAACACTATTTATGTTCATATTTGGATTTCTATTAATTTCTAATTTTGTGGCAAAATTGCCCTCCCAACCTTAAAAGTTAGGTGAAGACTGCAGGAACAAGAATTATTATAATGACTTCTGAGGAGAGGCAACCACTAAATCAATACTGCCTATAGCTTTATTTTTTATTATAAACAAAATTATACTTTGACAAAAAATTGTGAGACCAATTTTTACCACTTGGAAGTCTGTACATTCTACAAGTTATTTTGAGGTGATAAAAGGATTTTGCAAATGCTGTCAAATGAAATATGCATTTCCAACTGCTACTGGGATGACCAAATGTATTCTTATATGTAAGATGTGCCTTGCAGTCATTTAAAATTTTTAATTTTCTCAGACAGGAACTTAATGATGCAAATGGAAATTTTCATTGAACTCAGCTAAAAACAAATTCAGTTGCTGCCATTCCTTCAGTACAAACAGCACCAGCCATATAGGGTATCTACATATCATGTTATACAACATTAAGAGTAGCCACATACAAGCACTCTTGATGGTACAATTTTTGCCTAAAATGAGTCTGAGGATTATCTAAAAAATTATGCTACACTTTTTTCCAGAGCTTATTTTTCTAATTTCCAACCCAGAAAATTTTCATTAAAATCAGAAAAAAGCACATTTGTATTCATAATCTACCTTTGATATCAGTAACCAATGTTTTCTAATACAAATGTCAGTATAAATTTTAAAAATATTGAAAATTAAAGTATATAAAATGTTGAATGCCACTTATATTAGTCATGGTCTTTTAAAAAGATTTAAATGCAAGCAATATAAAAAAACAAATTCTGTAGTAAAAACTGGTGAAGAAGAATCGTAGCGCTATCTAAGATACTACTAAAAATCATAGCATCTCATCAATAAATGATAATGGTGGAGGATTTTAAAGGAAGTAAAAATGTTTCATTTTATTTAATGAGAATACTTTCTGGATTCATATACAGAACTCCTCCAAGGTTCTAAAGACAATTTTCTCAGCAGTCATCCAACAGTACTGTCACTAAATATTCCTTACCAAATGGTCTAGACAAAAACCAACTGTTCTTTAGAAGCAAAGTTTATCTTTTCTCAGAACGATATAATGGAAGTTTTATTAATAAATACAACTAAATACTTCAAGCTAATCCATGCTGACAAAATGCCCTGAATCTTAAATATAAATATTTCCCTATAAATGCTAATATCATTGTGCTACATTTGATTAGATTTATGCTCCCCCAAATCCCCCCTCAAAAAATATGAGAAATTCAGAACATCTTTGAGTATTTAGATTAGAAATAAAGTCTGGCAAAAATCGCCCAAAGGGATTCTGAAGTGATGGCATGAAGAGTGCCAAGAACTCTTTTCCCAACAATACAATTATTTGACTGGAGGAAATTATTTAAAAAATACAATTATTTAAAGTTTCTTGTAATTGTCCTAAGGGAGTGCAGCAAGTGAAATATTTATTCAAGAAAATTTACTAAATCTTGTTAAGAAGTGTAAGAGACTGTGGCTCTTGAGCCATAGTCTGCTCTTTTATCCCCCTCCCAGCTCTGATTTATGGAACTTTAAGTAGGATGCTTTACTCTGAATGGGTGCAGAGTAAAGCACCCTATATAAAGAAGGCAGGGCTCTCTACCCACCAGTACCCACTAGGGCTATGGTTTCAATTTAGAAGGGGCATGACACCAGAGTTTCTTATTTGCTCTATAGAAGTTGCAGGAGTTCTGTTTCTGTTTGGTGTGATCAAGAGAATTGAAATTCCCTTCTATCATCCACCTCCGACTTATAGTGAGGAAACTCCACTCCAAACACAGCAGGCAATGGATACTAGACACGTGACTGTCCCTGCCCCAGTTTAATCATAGGGAAGAGTTTCCACAATGTAAAGGCAAGTCAAGATGTCAGAGACTATCACCTTCCCCCAGTGCCCATTGGTAGAGCAGGGATGTTACTCTGGGAGAGGAAGAGCATCGTTTTTATCCTCAGCTTCTGTTCAGTGGAAACAGTAATTTTGCCTGGGTAAGAGGCAGCTGATAAGGATGAAGAGCTCCACAGCTATTTCAGGGAACTGACTTCTTTGGATCAGAGCATGGAGAAATTACTGGCTGTGAGTGTTATTAAAAACAATACAAATCTTAATGGAGAGCAACCAAGATTATCATAGTTTTATAATACTGATTAGAACAAGTGCAATAGCCCCAGGAACAAGAAGTTTAACAGAGATAACAAGAAAAATAGCCAGAAAGAGTTCTCCTGGGATTGAAGTCAATCCTCAGGAGTGAGAACTCTGAGCACACGCATGAAGCTATAATTACTCAGAAACAGTGAAAATAAGATGTGGGGAAGACTTGAAAACTTTCCCAAGCTGCACACAGATTCACAAACAAAAGTGTGAGCTTCATGAACACAATGGGCTTAAGCAAAGATGTTCATGCTTGTATACATTATAATCAAAATATTGGAAGCCACAGACAAAAAGAAAATATTGAGAGCACCAAGAGAAAAATGACGCATCGTGTACAAAAGGAAAACCAACAAGATTAACAGCAGACTACTCATCGGAAACAATGGGGCCAGAAAGCAGTGGAATGACATTTTCAAAGTACTGAAAAGTAAACATCTATTGACCAATTATGTGTGGCAGTTAAGGTGAAATAATTTTTTTTCCAGACAAACAAAAGCCAATAGAATGTGTTATCACACCTGCCTTAGAATACTTAAAGTTCTTCAAGCTAAAAGTAAGCAACACCAGACAGTAATTTGAATTCACATCAGTGAACAAAGTACCAATATGTTAATTATGCTGATAATTATAAAAGACTGTGTGGTTGAATATTTCTGTTTTGTCCTCTTAACTAACTTAAGAAGCAGTTTATGAAACAGTATGTATACAATTGTATTGCTAGGCTTACAACATATACATAAATATATTTAACAATAGCAACACAAAGGACAATGATGGAAACAAAGCTGTATTGGGGTAAATAAATGATATAAAATAATTAAAATTCAAAAAAATAAATGAAGAGAATTAAAAATGGTAAACTCGAAAGTTAATATTAACATAACAAACTCCATAAATACATGATTGGATTGCTTTCCTTTCTTCTCTAAGCTTCCTTAAAGAGATAAGATTATATAATTTATCATTTTTTCAGGGCATAGTATTCTAACATATATAGAGGTAATATGCATAACATTAATAGCACACACAAAGAGTAATGAAATGGAGCTATAGAAGAGTAAAGTTTCTATATTTCACTGGAATTAAATTACTACACATCTGAAGTGTACTTTGGTAATTTAGGCAATTACTAACATTTAAAAAATATAATTAAATACTATTTATTGAATTAAAATTTTATACTAGACAGTTTCTACTTAGTACATGGAAGGCAGTAAAGGAGAAACAGGGGAATAAAAAGGGCATATAGGAAACAGAAAAAAAATGGCAAATGTAAACACATTCATATAAATAACAACAAGTGTGAATAGATTAAACAATCTAAAGGGAGAGTATGAGATAAAAACTAATGAAATCCAAACATATGCTGTCAACAGTAGATATGTTTTAGGCTCAAAGATACAAATAGTTTTAAAGTAAAATAATGGGAAAAGATAAATAATGCATACAAATAGTTTTAAAATAAAATAATAGGAAAAGATAGATCATGCAAACAGTAAACATTAGAAAGTATAGTAATATCAGATACATAGATGTTAACAAAAACATTGTTACTAAAGAAAAAGGAGGACATTCAAAAATAATAAACAATCTATCAAGAAGATATAGCAATTGTAATTATGTATACGTCATATGATTAGGCTTTGTGACCCCCACCCCAATCTCATTCGGAATTGTAATCCCCAGGTGGGAAGAGAGAGACCTGGTGGGAGGTGATTGGATCATGAGGGTGATTCCCCCTGTGCTGTTTTCATGACAGTGAGTGACTTCTCATGAGATCTGGTAGTTTTATAATTGTTTGATAGTTCCTTTCTTGCTCACTCCTCTCTCCTGCTACCCTGTGAAGAGGTGCCTTCTGCCATGATTTTAAGTTTCCTGAGGTGTCCCCAGCCATGTGGAACCATAAGTCAATTATGCCTCTTTTCTTTATAAATTACCTAGTCTCAGGCAGTTCTTTATCCAGTGTGAGAATGGATTAATACAATACACTTAACAGGAGAGCTCCCAAATACATGAAACATAATCTAAGAGAATTAAAGGGAAAATGGCAATTCAACAATAAAAATTGAATACCTTAATACTTTACTTTCAATAATGGATAGGACAACTACGTACAAGAATAACAAGGAAATGAAATACTTGAACACAAATATAAAACAACTAGACCTAATAGACATCTGTAGAATATTCCACTCAAAAACAGCAGAATAAATATTTTTCTCAAGTACACCTAAAACATTTACAAGATAGGGGATATGGTTTGGCTGTGTCCCCACTCAAAATTTCGTCTTGAATTGCTATCCCCACGTGTTTGGGAGGGACTTCGTGTGAAGTGATTAGATCATGAGGGCAGTTTCCCCATACTGTTCTCATGATAGTGAGTGAGTTCTCACAAGATCTGATAGTTTTTGTTTTTGTTTTTTGAGACAGAGTCTCATTCTGTCACCCAGGCTGGAGTACACAGGCATGATCTAGGCTCACTGCAACCTCCGTGTCCCAGGTTCAAGCAATTCTCCTGCCTCTGTCTCCTGAGTAGCTGGAACCACAGGCATGAGCCACCACACCCAGCTAATTTTTTGTATTTTTAGTAGAGACTGGGTTTCCCAATGTTGGCCAGGCTGGTCTTTAACTCTTGAGCTCAAGTGATTTGCCTGCCTCATCCTCCTAAGGTGCTGGGATTACAGGTGTGAGCCACCATATCTGGCCAGTTTTATAAGGGGCTTTTCCTCCCTTCACTCTACATTTCTGTCTCCTGCCATCCTGTGAAGAGGTGCATTCTGCCATAACTGTAAGCTTCCTGAGGCCTCTCCAGCCATGTGAAACTGTGAGCCAATTAAAACTCTTCTTTATAAATTGCCCAGTTGCAGGTATTTCTTCATAGCAGCCTGAGAATGGACTAATACAATAAGGCATATGCTAGACCACAAAAATTAATAAATAAATTTAAAAAAATTAAAATCATGTAGTACATGTTCTCTGGTCAATATGGAATTAATGTGAAATAAATAACAAAAGGTAATTTGTAAATTCATGAATATGTGGAAATTTAGCAGCATACTACTAAATAACCAGTGGCTCAAAGGAAGATATGAAACATTAAAGTTATGCCATGTAGCTAACCAAGTGATCAGAGGGAAATTTATAGCTATAGACTCATAGTAAGAAAGAAGAGTGATCACAAATCAATTATTTTCTACCCTTCCACATTAAGAAACTAGAGAAGAGAATTGGAAATAATATTCAAACCAAGCAGGTAAGAGTATTAATGAATGAAAGAGAGATTAAAAACTCAATAGAAAAAACAGAGCCAAAAGTCAGTTCATTGCAAAGATCAACAAAACTGACAGACTTTTGCTGGAGTAAGTGAAATAGAAGAAATAAATTACTAAAATCAGGAATTAAAAAATATTACTACAAACCTTTCAGAAATTGAAAGGTTTTAAGGGACTGCTATAACCGACTGTGTGCCAAAACTTAGATAAAATAGACAAATTCCTATAAAGACACAAACTAATGAAATTGACTCAGTAAGAAATAGATGCTTTGAATAGGCTTATAATGAGTAAAGAAAATGGAATATTATTTAAATAACTTCCTATCAAGAAAAAACACCTTCAGATAGCTTCTAAAATCATTCTGTGAGGTGAATATTACCTATATACCAAAACCAGATAAAGACATCAGAAGAAAAAAAAATTTCAATAGACTATCCCTTATAAATATAGACACAAAAAATATTTAAAAAGAAGTAAATCAAACCCAGTTATGTATTGATATGCTTTGGCTGTGTTCCCACCCAAATGTCATCTTGAACTGTAGCTCCCATAATCCCCGTGTGTCATGGGAGGGGACTGGTGAGAGGTAATTGAATCATGGTGGTGTTTTTTTCCCATGCTGTTTTTGTGATAGGGAATAGCCTCATGAGATCTGATGGTTTTATAAAGGGCAGTTCCCCTGCACACACTGTCTTGTCTGCCAGCATGTAAGGCATCCTTTGTTCCTCCTTCACCTTACACCATGACTGTGAGGTGTCCCCAGCCATGTGGAAATGTAAGCCCATTAAATCTCTTTTTTCTTTATAAATTACCCAGTCTCAAGTATTTCTTCATAGCAGTAAGAAAATGGACAAATACATGTATAGACAGGATTATAGGTCATGATTAAGTGTGATTTATCTCAGGGTTACAAAATTTGTTAACATCTGAAAATCAATCCATTAATATACCATATAACAGAAAGGACAAAAATACCTGGTCATATTAATGAACACAGAAAAAGTATTTAATGAAACCCAACAGCATTTCATGATGAAAACACTCAACAAAATAGAAATACAGAAAAACTTTCTGTATCTCATATAGAACATCGATGATGAGGCCACAGCTAGAGTATTTTTAATATTTAAAAACTGAATGCTTCCTAAGATTGAGAAAAAAATGAGGATGTCTAGTCTTGTCATTTTTATTTAATATTGCAATTGATTCTAGTTAGAGCACTATGCAAGAGAAAGAATTTAAAAACATCCAGAGTGCAAAGCAAGAAATAAAGTATTTTTGCTTGCAGTTGACATAGTCTTGCATGTAACAAATCCTTAAACACATCCTAGAAAATATCAGAACTAATAAACACATCTGGCAAGTTTGCAAGAGAAAACATGGATATACAAAAATCAATTGTAGTTTTATATATGAGTAACTAACAATCTGAAAATAAAAGCAAGAAAGCCTTTTATTTAAAATAGCATAATAAAGGATATATTTAGTAAATTTAACAAACCAGATAAAGATTTATACATTGAAAACTACTAAGCATGCTGAATAAAATTAAAAAGTCTAAATAAATAGAAATACATTCATTGTTTATGAATTGGAAAATTTAATGTTGTTAAGATGGCAGTACCAACCAAGTTGATCTATAGATTCAATGCAATCCTTAATAAGTCCTAGCAGGATTTTTCACAGAAATTGGCAAGCTGATCCTAAAATTCATATGGAAATGCAAGGGAAACAGAATAGTCAAAACAATTTAAAAAAAAGAGCAAAGTTGAATAACTTCCCTATTTCAAAACTCACTAAAACAGTACAATATTCAAGATAGTGTGATGATAATCACATTAAGGTAGGCATATA
Source organism: Homo sapiens (assembly GCF_000001405.40). NCBI lineage: Eukaryota > Metazoa > Chordata > Mammalia > Primates > Hominidae > Homo > Homo sapiens. The sequence continues at coordinate 118,365,339 of NC_000003.12, read as the reverse complement.
GATCAATGAATAAAATTTAAAATCCACAAATAAACTCACATATTTGTAGTCACTTGATTTTCTACTAAGGTGAAACAATGAAATGGAAAACAAATTATCTTTTCAAAAAATGATGATGGGATAGCTAAATATGCATACACAAAAGAATAAATTTGAATCCCTATTATGCACCAAACGCAAAAATTAACTCAAAATGAATCATAATTATAAATACAAGAACTAAAACTATGAAACACTTAAAAAAAACATAGGCGTGTAATCCCAGCACTTTGGGAGGCCGAGGTGGGTGGATCACGAGGTCAGGAGATTGAGGCCATCTTGGCTAACACGGTGAAACCCCATCTCTACTAAAAATACAAAACAAAATTAGCTGGGCGTGGTGGCAGACGCCTGTAGTCCCAGCTACTCGGGAGGCTGAGGCAGGAGAATGACGTGAACCCAGGAGGTGGAGCTTGCAGTGAGCCAAGATTGTGCCACTGCACTCCAGCCTGGGTGACAGAGCGAGACTCCGTCTTAAAAAAAAACAAAAGTAGGAGTAGACCATCATGACATTTGCTTATGCAATTGTTTGTTAAATTTACCACCAAATAGATAAGCAACAAAAATTTTAAAATAGCTAAATTGGACTAAATCAATATTTAAAATATTTATGATTAAAATGCTACCATCATGAAAGTTAAAAAGCAATTCATAGAATGGGAGATAACATTTGCAAACCACATAGCTGATAAGGAATTTGCATCTAGAATATATAGCATACTATTAGAAAGTGTGATGGTTAATACTGAGCGTCAACTTGATTGGATTGAAAGTTACGAAGTATTGATCCTAGGTGTGTCTTTGAGGGTGTTGCCAAAAGTTTGATATTTGAGTCAGTGGGCTGGGAAAGGCACATCCACCCTTAATCTGGGTGGATACAATCTAATCAGCTGCTGGCACAGCTAGAACATAAGCAGGCAGAAAAATGTGAAAAGAGAGACTGGCCTAGCCTCCTAGCCTACGTCTTTCTCCTGTGCTGGATGCTTCCTGCCTTCCAACATCAGACTCTAAGTTTTTCAGTTTTGGAACTCAGACTGCCTCTCCTTGCTCCTAAGTCTGCAGACAGCCTATTTGGGAACTTTGTGACCCTATAAGTTAATACTTAATAAACTCCTTCATATATATATATATATATTCCATTAGTGTGTGTGTGTGTGTGTGTGTGTATATATATATATATACGTGTGTGTGTATATATATATTCCATTACTTATGTCCCTCTGGAGAACCCTGCTTAATACAGATTTTGGTAGCAGGAGTGATTCTAGAGGAACAATATAATAAGAATAGAGTTTTTTCACTGGTTTTGTGGTTTCTGGAGTTGGCTGCTTAATATGATTAGACCCCAAAATGCTAAGGACTCTACTTCCAGTAGTATGAAGAACACTGATAGTCCTTGGTATAAAATGTTTAGAGGGATATGAAAAATAAATGCATTTGATCCTCCTGATTCATCACTCATGAGAGGCAAGGAGTTTGGTGACTCTATACAGAATACTTTTGATCATATGTGGAGAACCAAGGAACATAATGAAGCTGGTTTGTTGCTCTTAAGTTCAGTAGACAAAGTGATGAAAGAAAATGATGAACTCAGAAATTCTATCTCCCCACTTGAGAAGCAGATACCAAGCCTCAAATATGCTAAGATTGCCCTGAGTGAGAGTCTTATCTCCTGTAGAGAAAGAGCTGAAATTGTGGAAAAACAGACACAAGCTCTTAGTGTGAGAGTGGCTGACCTGCAACAAAAGGTGCATGCACAGCCTTACCAGTTGTCTACTGTTAAAGTGAGGGCATTGATTGAAAAAGAATGGAACCCTGCAACTTGGAATGGGGATGTGTGGAAAGACCCTGATGAAGCTGGGGATGCTGAGTTTGTAAACTCTGATGAACCTTTTTTTGTCAGAAGAAACAGTTTCCTCATCCCCAGCAGTGGCAACAACTCCTCCCCAACCCATGCTGCCATCAGCCTTCCCTGCACTGCCTGAGGAATCATGGTGACCTCCCCTGAGGCAGTTGCCCAGAAAGATAATGTTGATTCTCCTCAGGAGCCATCCCCAACATTCCTGTTTGCTTCTAGACCTATAACTAGACTAAAGTTCTGGCGGGACCCTAGAGGTGATATTGAGAGTGTGACTCATGAGGAGGTGGGCTACACTTGAAAAGAACTGCTTGAGTTTCTAATTTATATAAACAGAAATCTGGGGAACAGGCATGGGAATTGACATTAAGGGCATGGGATAATGGTGCAAGGAACATAGAGTTGGATAAGGCTGAATTTACTGATTTGGGCCACGAAGTAGGGACTCTGCATTTAATGTTTCAGCTCAGGGAGTTAAAAAAGGTTCTAATAGTTTATTTGCTTGGTTAGCCGAAATATGGATTAAAAGATGGCCCACAGTGAGTAAGCTGGAAATGCCTGATCTCCCTTGGTTTAATGCAGAGGAAGGGATCCAAAGGCTTAGGGAGATTGGGATGGTGGAGTGGATTAGTCACTTTAGACCTACCAGCTGGAAGCATCCAGAAGATACACACTTGACCAATGCCTTACAGAATAGACGTGTGAGGGCAGCACCTGCATCTTTGAAGAGCCCTGTAATTGCTCTTTTCTGTATGTCAGATCTAACAGTGGGAGCCTCAGTCACTCAACTAAAAGATTCCCAATTTCAATGGGAATAATTGGATCCTGAGGTGGGAAGAACCAAGTGGAGGTAATCACCCATCAAAGGCAATTGAGTGTAGCTACTGTAATGGACAGCAGAGGCAAAGTGACAATCTGAATAATCTGACTCAAGTAGAGCTCTAGCATTGGCTAATGAATCATGGTGTTCCTAGAAGTAAAATGGATAGGAAGCCTACTGCATTCCTACCTAATTTATATAAGCAGAAAAAAACTTCTAGGTCGAATGGACAAAAGACTTATTTGAATTATAAAAACAGAGAATCATGGCCCCTCAATCAATTTCCAGACTTGAGCCAGTTTACAGACCCAGAACCCACTGAATGAAAGGGTGACTGGATCCCCTTGAGGAAGGACTCCACTACATTACTGACAATTTATGCTATGAATATTTCTTCCATCCTTCCCCAAGGATACCTCCTGCCTTTACCAGAGTAACTGTGTACTGGGGAAAGGGAAATGAACATACATTTCAGGGACTACAGGACACTGGCTCTGTGCTGATATTGATTTCAAGGGACACAAAACGTCATTGTGGTCCTCCAGTTGAGGTAGGAGCTTATGGAGGTGAGGTAATTAATGGAGTTTTAGCTCAGTACTGACACACAGTGGGTCCTGTGGGTCCCCAGACATATCCTGTTGTCATTTCCCCAGTACCTGAGTGCGTAATTGCCATACACATACTTAGCGGCTGGCAGAACTCCCACATTGGCTCGCTGACTGATAGAGTGAGGACTATTATGGTGGGAAAGACCCACTGGAAGCCATTAGAGCTGCCTCTACCTAGAAAAATAGTAAATCAAAAACACTACCTAATCTCTGGAGGCACTGTGGAGATTAGTTCCACCATCAAGGACTTGAAAGACACAGGGGTGGTGATTCCTACCACATCCCCATTCAATTCTCCTATTTGGCCTGTGCAGAAGACAGATGGATCTTGGAGAATGACAGTGGATTATCATAAACTCAACCAAGTGGTGACTCCAATTGCAGCTGCAGTACCAGATGTGGTTTCATTGCATGAGCAAATTAACACATCTCCTGGTACCAGGTATTCAGCCATTGACTTGACAAATACCTTTTTCCTCATTCCTATCCATAAGACCCACCAGAAGCAATTAGTCTTCAGCTGGCAAGGCCAGCAATATACATTTACTGTCCTACCTCAGGGGTATGTCAACTCTCTGGCTTTGTGTCATAACGTTATTTAGAGAGATCCAATCACTTTTTGCTTCCTCAAGATATCACACTTGTTCATTACATTGATGACATTATGCTGGTTGGATCCAGTGAGCAAGAAGTAGCAAACACAGTGGACTTATCGGTGAGACATTTGCATGCCAGAGGATGGGAAGTAAATCTGACTAAAATTCAGGGACATTCTACATCGGTAAAATTTCTAGGGGTTCTGCGGTGTGGGGTCTGTTGAGATATTCCTTCTAAGGAAGGAAAAATTGCTGCATTTGGCCCCTCCTACAACCAAGAAAGAGGCACAACGTCTAGTGGGCCTATTTGGATTTTGGAGGCAACACATTACTCATTTGGGTGTGTTACTCTGGCCCACTTGTTGAGTGACCCAAAAGCCTGCCAGTTTTGAGTGAGGTCCAGAACAGGAGAAGGCTCGACAACAGTCCAGCCTGCTGTCTAAGCTGCCCTGCCACTTGGGCCATATGACTCAGCAGATCCAATGGTGTTTGAGGCATCAGGGGCAGATATGGATGCTGTTTGGAGCCTTTGGCAGGCCCCTCTAGGTGAATCACAGTAGAGGCCTTTAGGATTTTGGAGCAAGGCCCTGCCATCATCTTCAGATAACTACTCTCCTTTTGAGAGACTGCTCTTGGCCTGTTACTTGACTTTGGTGGAAACTGAAGGTTTGACTATGGGTCATCAAGTCACTATGCGATCTGAACTGCCTATTATGAACTGGGTGCTTTCTGACCCATCTACCCATAAAGTGGGTCATGTATAGCAGCATTCCATCATCAAATGGAAGTGGTATATACTTGATTGGGCTTGAGGAGGTCTTGAAGGCACAAATAAGTTACATGAAGAAGTGGCTCAAATGTCCATGGTCTCCACTCCTCCCACCATGCCTTCTCAACCCCAGCCTGCACTGATGGCCTCATGGGGATGTCCTTATGATCAGCTGACAGAGGAAGAGAAGACTAGGGCCTAGTTCACAGATGGTTTTGCATAATATACAGGCACCACCCGAAAGTGGATAGCTGCAGCACCACCTGAAAGTGGACAGCTGTAGCACTACAGCCCCTCTCTAGGACATCCCTGAAGGACAACTGTGAAGGCAAGTCTTCCCAGTGGGCAGAACTTCGAGTGGTGCACTTGGTTGTGCACTTTGCATGGAAGGAGAAATAGCCAGATGTGAAATTATATACTGATTTATGGGCTGTAGCCAATGGTTTGGCTGGATGATCAGGAATTTGGAAGAAGCAGAATTGGAAAATTGGTGAGAAAGAAATTTGGGGAAGAGGTAAGTGGGTGGACCTCTCTGAGTGGTCAAAAACCATGAAGATATTTGTTTCCCATGTGAGTGCTCACCAACAGGTGACCTCAGCAGGGGAGGTTTTTAATAAGAGGATAGAATGACCCATTCTGTGGATACCACAAAGCCTCTTTCCCCAGCCACCCCTGTTATCACCCAATGGGTCCATGAACAATGTGGCCATAGTGGCAGGGATGGAGGTTATACATGCGCTTAGCAACATGGACTTCCACTTACAAGGGCTGACCTAGCTATGGCCACTGCTGAGTGCCCAATTTGCCAGCAGCAAAGACCAACACTGAGCCCTTTATATGGCACCATTTCTAGGGGTGATCAGCCAGTTACCTGGTGGCAGGTGAATTATATTTGGCCGCTTCCATCATGGAAAGGGCAGAAGTTCATTCTTGCTGGAATAGACATTTACTCCAGATACGGGTTTGCCTATCCTGCATGCAATGCTTCTTCCAAGACTACCATCCATGGACTCACAGAATGCCTTATCCACTGTCATAGTATTCCACACAACATTGCCACCGACCAAGGCACTCACTTTACAGCTAAAGAAGTTCAGCAGTGGGCTTGTGCTCATGGAATTCACTGGCCTACCATGTTCTCCATCATCCTGAAGCAGCTAGATTGATAGAATCATGGAATGGCCCTTTGAAGTCACAATTAAAACATCAACTAGCTGATGATATTTTTCAGGGCTGGGGCAAAGTTCTGCAGAAGGCCATATATGCTCTGAATCAGCATTCAATATATAGTACTGTTTCTCCCATAGCCAGGATTCACCGGTCCATGAATCAAGGGGTAGAAGTGGAAGTGACACCACTCACTACCACCCCTAATGATCCATTAGCAAAACTTTTCTTACTGTTCCCACAACATTACGTTCTGCTGGACTAGAGGTCTTAGTTCCAAAAGGAGGAATGCTGCCACCAGAAGACACAACAATTCCATTAAACTGGAAGTTAAGATTGCCACCTGGACACTTTGTGCTCCTCCTACCTTTAAGTCAACAGGCTAAGAAGGGAGTTACAGTGTTGACTGGGGTGATGGATCCTAACTATCAAGATAAAGTCAGCCTACTACTCGACAACAGAGGTAGGAAGAGTATGCATTAAATATAGGATATCTATTAGGGTATCTCTGAGTATTACCATGGCCTGTGATTAGGGTCAATGGGAAACTACAACAGCCCAATCCAGGCAGGACTGCAAATGACCCAGAACCTTCAGGAATGAAAGTTTGGGTTACTCCTCCAGGAAAAAACCACAACATACTGAGGTGCTTGCTGAAAGCAAAGGGAATACAGAATGGGTAGTAGAAGAAGGTAGTCATCAACATCAGCTATGACCATGTGACCAGCTGCAGAAACGAGGACTGTAATTGTCAAGAGTATTTCCTCCTTTTGTTAAAAACATGTTTGTGCATGTATGCACTTGTACTAATAAACATCTTCATTTTATTTCCTTTCACTGTTATCATGTGACATAAGATTTATTGACTTCACATCAGCATTTAAGTATTATAAACTTTATGTAACAGTATTTGGGTGGGGATTGGTGTGTTTCCAGTTGTACAAAAGATAGTTGTATTATGTTAGGTGTAATTATGACCTTATTATTGTCTATATTTGAAGATTATGTATGATCTCAGGATAATATCATGACTAATACAGTCACTAATTATGAGTAATACAGTGTCCAATATGGCAGTGGGGGCATATGCACCTCAGACCTTGGTGCCATTGCTGTCCTGGACACTGGAGGCTTGGACTTTCTACATGTGTCTGTGTTTCAGACTGGCTCTTTTGCCACTTTATGGCACTGCATATAACACACTGTTGCCACTGGTGCTGCAAGTGTGCCATCAAACCAAGAGGGATCTCCTTGGCAACATTTCCCTGGTGGGATAAAATAAGATCAGGAAGACCCTAGCAGCCCTTTCCATGAAAGATACCTATAGACCTCACCACCTCAGTGGATAGTGAGGACTTCTGTAATCTTTGTGAACATTGTCATTAGCTGATAGAGTTTCACAGAGACTACCTGCTGTGCCCTCACTGGAGCCAGAACTGTCACACCTCACACACTTGGTGCCCTTGCATCCACTTACAGTGGAAAGTATCTCCCGTCGAAAATAGTCTATAATGTCTGGGAAAGGGGACTGCTCCATTAAGGGTGAAGGAGGCAACACAAGAAAATAAGAAACATGAACAACCAAGGAAGAATAACATCTAAAAAAAAAACCCACAATAATTTTCTAGTAACTAAACCCCAAAAATGGAGATCTACAAATTACCTAAGAATTCATAATAATTGTCTTATGGAAGATACTGAACTTCAAAAAATCACAGATAGATAATTCAACAAAATCAGCAAAATAATACCTGAGTAAAATAAGATTAACAGATTAAAATGATAAAGAAGAATCAAAAAGAAATTCTGGAGCTGAAGAACACAATGAACAACGTAAAAAATGCAGTAAACACTCAACACAAGAATTAACCTACAGCATAAAAAAAGATGTCATGAACTCAAAGGCAAATTATTTGAAAATATATAGTCAGAGGAGGAAAAGGAAAAAAATGAAAAGGAATAAAGAAAGCCCACAAGATTCATGGGATAGCCTCGCGAGAGATAACATCATCATTTTTAGAACATAATAAAGAGAAGAAATAAAGGGACAGGAAGCTTATTTAAAGAAATTGTAGCTGAAAAATTAACAAATATGGGAAAGATGTAAATATATGAGTATGAGAAGCTCAATTATCTCCAATCAGATTCATCCAAACAAGACTACAACAAAACATATTATAAACAAGCTCTTAAAACTCAAGGACAAAGAGAGAATCTTGAAGGCAGCAAGAGAAAAAGATCCTCACATACAAGAAAACCTCTATGAGGCTCTCAGTGGATTTCGTAGTGGAAATTTTGTAGGCCAGTGTAGAGTGAGATGATATATTCAAAGTGGTAACAGAAAAACAAAACTGCCAACTAAAAACACTTTTAACTGCTAAGGCTATCCTTAAGAAATTAAGGATAAATAAAAATTTTCCCAGGCAAACAAAAACTCTCCATTAGACTTGCTTTACAAGAAACAGCAAAGGAAGTCCTAATATTAGTAACATGGAAATATATTAAACTATAAAATCACTTGTAAAAGTAAGTACATAGTCAAATTCAAAGTACTCTGATACTATAATTGTGGTGTGTAAATTACTTATATTTCTAGTATAAAGGTAAAAGGCAAAAGTATTAAATATAACTACAGTTACATCAATTTGTTAACAGACACAAATTATAATTTTGTTACAATTTACAAAAGTAAATTGTGACATCAAAACTTAAAATATGGCAGAAGAATCAGAAATACAGTTTTTATATTTGATGGAGGTTACAAGTTCTCATTAGCTTAAAATGGCCTGTTTTAAATATAAAATGTTTTACATAGGCCTCATGGTAGTTACAAATTGAAAACCTATAGTAGATAAACAAAAGATAAAGTGAAAGGAATCAAAGCACACCAAAATCGTCAATTCACAAGGGGAAAGAACGTAATAAAAAGAAAGGATTGAAGATCTATAAAACAGAAAACAATAACAAAATGGCAATAGTAAGTCCTACCTATCAATAATTACCTTAAATGTAAATGGATTAAATTCTCTAATCAAAAGACATAGAATGGCTAGATTAAAAAGAAGAAGAACCAACTGTATGTTGATCACAGGAGACTCACATCACCTGGGGACAGAAAAAGATATTCCATGCAAATGGAAACCAAAAGAGAAAAGAGTAGCTATACTTATATTAGACAAAGTAGACTTTAAGTCAAAAACTGTAAAAGGAGACAAAGATCACTATATAAAGATAAAGGGGTCAATTAATCAAGAGAAGATATCAATTGTAAATACATATGCACACAATATTGTACTTAGGAACAAATCTAATCAAGGAGGTGAATGATCTAAATGCAGCACTCCACCCCCCCAAAAAAATTAACACAGATTAAAATAAGCCAAGAGAAGTAGCACATAGGGTAGATATATTAGTCCGTTTCACACTGCTATAAGGAACTACCTGAAACTGGGTAATTTACAAAGAAAAAAGGTTTAATTGACTCAGTTATGCCAGCTTAACAGCAAGGATGACTGGGAGCCCTCAGAAAATTTACAATCATTACAGAAGGTGAAGTGGAAGCAAGCATGTCTTTACCATGGTAGAGCAGGGGAGATAGAGTGAAGGGAGAAATGCCACATGCTTTTAAACCATCAGTTCACTTGAGAACTCATTATCATGAGAACAGCAAAGGGGAAACCTGCCCCCATGATCCAATCACCTAACACCAGGCTTTTCCTCCAATTAGACATGAGATTTGGGCAGGGACAATATCATTTTGCCCCTGGGGCAAAATGGATTTCCTCCAATTAGACATGAGATTTGGGCAGGGACAATACCATTTGCCCTCCCAAACCTTAGGTCATTCTCTTATTTCAAAATGCAATTATGCCTTACCAACAGTCCCACAAAGTCAACTCATTCCAGCATTAACCCAAAAGTCCAAGTCCAAAGTCTGATCTGAGACAAAGCAAATCCCTTCTGCCTATCAACCTGTAAAATCAAAACCAAGTTATTTTCAAGATACAATGTGAGCGTAGGCCTTGGGTAAATGCACCCATTTGAAATAGGATAAATTGGCCAAAACAAAGAGGCTACAGACCACATGCAATTTCAAAACCTAGCAGAGTTGTCATTAAATCTTACAGCTCCCAAATAATCTCCTTTGATTCCATGCCTCACATCCAGGTCATGCAGATGCAAGAGGTGGGCACCCAAAGCCTTGGACAGCTCCACCCCTGTGGCTCTGCAGGGTACAGCCCCTGAGACTGCTTTCACAGGCTGGCATTGAGTGTTTGCAGCTTTTCCAAGTGCACAGTGCAAACTGTCGGTGGCTGTACCATTCTGGGGTCTGGAGGATGATGACCCTCTTCTCACAGCTATACTAGGAAGTACTCCTGGGGGGACTCTGTGGGGGTCCAACGCCACATTTCCCAACTGCACTGTCCTAGTAAAAGTTCTCCATGAGGATTCTGCACCTCTAGCAAACTTTTGCCTGGACATCCAGGCATTTCTAAAACGTCCTCTGAAATCTATGTGGAGATTCCCAAACCTAAACCCTTTCCTTCTGTGCATCTACAGGCCCAACACCACTTGGAAACTACCAATGCTTGGGGGTTGTACCCTCTGAAGCAAGGGCCTTAGCTGTACCTTGGACCCTTTTAGTCATGGCTGGTGTTAGAGTGTCTGGGATGCAGGGCACCGTGTCCTGAGCCTTTACAGAGCAATGGGTCCCTGGGCCCAGCCCACAAAATCATTTTATCCTCCTAGGCCTCTGGGCCTGTAATAAGAGGGGCTGCTGTGAAGATCTCTGACATGCCCTACAGACATCTTTCCCACTGTCTTGAAAATTAAATCTCCTTTTTACATATGCAAATATCTACACCTGGAGGCTTGAATTTCTCCCCAGAAAATGTTTTTTCTTTTCCTACCACATGGTAAGCCTGCATGTTTTACAAACTTTTACACTTTGCTTTCCTTTTAAACGTAAGTTCCAATTTGAGGCCATCTCTTTGTGTATGCATGACTGTATGCTGTTAGGAGCAGCCAGTCCACATCTTGAATGCTTTGTTGCTTAGAAATTTCTTCTGCCAGATATCGTAAATCATCTCTCTCAAGGTCAAAGTTCTACAGATCCCTAGAGCAGGGGCACAATGCCACAAATGTCTTGCTAAAGCATAGCAAGAGTGACCTTTGCACTAGGTCCCAAAAAGTTCCCCATCTCCATCTCAGACCACCTCAGCCTGATCTTCATTATCCATATGACTATCAGAATTTTGATCAAAACCATTCAACAAGTCTCTAGGAACTTCCAAACTTTCTCACATCTTCCTGTCTTCTTCTGAGTCCTCCAAACTGTTCCAACCTCTGCCCATTACCTAGTTTCAAAGTTGCTTCGACATTTTCAGGTTTCTTTTTAGCAGTAACCCACTTCTAGTACAAATTTTCTATATTAGTCTGTTTTCACATTGCTATAAAGAGCTACCTGAGACTGGGTAATTTATGAAGAAAAGAGGTTTAATTGACTCATGGTTCTACAAGCTTTACAGAAAGCATGACTGGGAGGCCTCAGGAAACTTACAATCATGGCTGATGTTGAAGAGGAAGCAAGCACATCTTTACTATGGCAGAGCAGGAGAGAGAGATTGAGTGAAGGGGAACGTCCTATACATTTTTAAACCATCAGGTCTCTTGAAAACTCACTGACTATCATGAGAACAGCAAGAAGAAAATCTGCCTCCATGATCCAATCACCCTCCACAAGGCCCGTCCTCCAATTTGTCATAGGATTTGGGCAGGGACACAAATCCAAAACATATCAGTGGAGTCCAGAAGTACCAAATGTGAGGTTTCCCATTCTTCTTTCCCCACAGTGAGAATATAATAGTCTCCTGGCATTGCCAACCAGAAAAATTTATCCCAACCTTGGTGTTCAGAGTTTTATAGGGGATTCTTTACACAAACATGATTAATCGATTGACCAGATCTCTCAAGTGTGACCCAAAGCCCCAATCCTAAATAATATGGTTGCTCTATACGGAGTGGTAAACTCCCACTCTAAGACTGTAAAGTATGGGTAGCTTCTACTCTAATTTACATCATTAGACTATCCATCCTGATTGAAAGGATCCTGTTTCAAAAGGTAACATAATCCAGGCAAACAAAGATACTCCTATGAGGTTTGATATCTCCGAGATCACCTCCCAGACTCAGAAGAAGAAAGGCCAGACCTCTTTGGAGGAAGATTAAATTCTTTACTACACAAGAACCCTTTCAGCACCACATTGGTTGGAATTAGCTCCATTCATTCTCTACTGTATGCTCTTATCTATCTAAAACTATTTTTCTTTTGTAGTCAGTGAATGAACCTATTCCCTTTGTAGACATGCACTTATTAAGAACAAAGTGGAAGCAATAACAATGTACAATTATGGCACTGTTTATAACTCTAACAGGTCAGATCAATATTCTTGTGATTGTTCAGGTTTATTTGATTTATGTTACCTTTGGAAATGGCTATCATTTAACCAGAACAGTTGTTACTGTTTTCTAAACTGTACTATTCAAGCACTTTGAAGAGTAATATTAATATTTTTAAAGAATATATGAAAGCTACATCAACATTGATTTAGAAGCTGATATATGAAGATGTCAAATTCCACTTTTATATTGCTGATTTCTTCATTAAGATGAAAGAGTCCTTTTCTTTTCTAACATTCAAATTCTAACCCCAAAGAGATGCTCGACTATGTTTTGTGCTCCCCCAATTAGGAGGGGGAAAGACAACAAACAGAATGCCCACAGGATTCCTGAGTGGAAAATAACTTTTTCCTCTTGTTACTCCCTCTCTTTCACTCCTTTTCCTATTGCTCTTCCTACATCTCCCCTCATTCCCCACAAGCAAGTGTGTATTCCAGCTTCATGAAAAGTATTTTCTTTCTGATCCACCTCATCCAGCCATTTCTGCTCCTAATTACACCCTTCCCACACAGGGACATGTACACTTGTGGGTCAAACACCTTTATGGTCACATTCCACATTATTTCAGTAGAGCTGGAAAATACCTCAGAAAACTGGGTATATTCCAGAGAAATGAAGTGACTTGTTCTAGGTCACATGATTCTAGAACTCAGATCTCTGGCCCTAAAATTGGTTCTTTTTCTGCAATGGAAATTTATTTAGTTTTCAAAATAAAGCATCAGGTGAAGCAAAAGATGCTTAGAGAGATGGCCCAGAGATTGATTACTGAAGTCTCACATGACAAAAATATTTCATCAATATTTTTATTTCCTTTGTTCCCAAGTTCCTTTCCTGAAAATAAATGCTTTCTGTATGTGCTTGACATTGTACTAGAACACACTAATTCAAGAAAATATAATAACTTTCTTTGTCATAGTTTAATATTGATGATTTCTTGTTTTCACAATTTTGCCTATTTCTTATAAACTGGCAAGAATGAGAACATATTTCTTACAGTTTAGCAGCTTGTAGTTTAATTTACCACATTTTAAGAAAATTCTAGTAAATTTGTAATTGTCTGAGTACACAATATTTTAATATATAATACATGAACATTTTATGAACAAACAAGTAGATCTAATACATTTTTACGCTTCTACATTAACAAAATTACCTTAGAAATACAAGAGATATTAAAAAGTAAGAATTGCATTTATTTTCATATTTCTTGAAATATCTTTATTTTTATCTACAATAACAAAACAAGGAAAGATTTTTGGTGCCTGCTAAGTCTTTGTAAATTAAATCTCTCCTCCTGTGGAAGCCTAGTTCCTACCTCAGAAATTCTAAAGCAGGTACACATATGCTTTTTCCTATATGCAAAACAAACAGGGCAGATGATGCAAGAAACTTGTGTTTAAGCTCTTGAAATGCTTCCTACTTCCACATGCTTTATTGTGGTTTAGAAAGCCCAGCATCATTTGGCCACTGTTTTCTGTTCTGACCCTCAGCCGTTTTGAACTCCATACTCCAGAGTAACAGACTTTTGCTTTTTCAAGCCTATTGTGCTTTGTCTCCTGGATAGGCCTTTGCACATGTGATTTTCTCTATCTGGAACACTCTCCCCAACCTTTTGAAACACCAATACTTAGTATTTCACAGGGGGCAGTTCTATGCAAACCTATTCCAAAATCTGAGGAAGCTGAGAGGTTGAAGAAAAAGGCTGACAGATCTAGTTTCTTAGAAAGAAACATTTAATAGGTGCTTATGAAATAAACATTTAATAGGTGCTTATAAACAGAAGTCTGTGTCTCTGGTGGTGTTGAGACAAAATGGTGGATCCATGCACCATTACCCCATAGATTCAGGGAATATACACCACAGGGGAGGGGCACTTGTGTATCAAGGGAATAGGTAGGAATTGTCCCAAGGGCAAGATTTATGGTAAAGTTGAGTTTATTAAGGTTGATCTGCTATCAAGGCAGGATTTATCTTAATTACATTCTCTTAAACAAGGAAAAATAGATAAACTGGAAATCCTGGAACCAAGGCTGATCAGAAGTCAACATGGCAGATTAGCTTCTGAGATGGAGTTGCTTTGACTTCCACACTTGGCTTCTTTCTCATCCTCCTAGATGGCTCAGTTTAGATGTTGCTTCTTTTGTGTTTCAATGCCTATACATATAATAGTAAAAATAAATTTTGTCAATTATTTGTTGGAATGATGAATGAATGAATGAATGAGTAACAAAGACAGCATGTGGTGATGAGAGTATCCTCCACTCTGCCCTATACTTCTGGCATTGCTTCCTGGGTAACATAGACCAGGACTACAGAGAATGATGAAGGGAGGGGTGTGGGAAAGATAGAGTGTAGGTTGGACAATTTGTAGCAATGGGAATGAGAGCAAGAGACCAAAATACCAGGGAGAAGTCATATGACACAGGACTTGCTGAACACTTTGCAATTAACTCTAAGGTTCTCTCCTTCCATTTTCACCATATTGCTACACATCTACACAAAATACAAGAAGAAAAATTTCTTCTTATATTTTGCTTTGGTCTTCTTACAAATAAGGCTTAGCTGCTAATGTCCTGGAAGAACATAAATCTTGCGGTAATCACTATCCCAAGTGGTAATTTATCGTGCTCATTTCTGAATTCTGTCCCCTATACGCCCCAATGCACTGTTTCCTAGATTTGAACATCCGTAAGCTGTCTGTGGAACATACTTTTATCATTATAAATAGCCCTTGTTTTTGTCAAGTAATCTCCAGGGTCACTTCAAGATGATCAAGGATTAAGAAAGATTTCCCTGGCCAGGCACAGTGGCTCACACCTGTAATCCCAGCACTTTGGGAGGCCGAGGCAGGCGGATCACGAGGTCAGGAGATCGAGACCATCCTGGCTAACACAGTGAAACCCCGTCTCTACTAAAAATATAAAAAATTAGATGGGCGTGGTGGCGGGCGCCTGTAGTCCCAGCTACTGCGGAGGCTGAGGCAGGAGAATGGTGCGAGATGGGGAGGCGGAGCTTGCAGTGAGCCGAGATTGAGCCACTGCACTCCAGCCTGGGCGACAGAGCGAGACTCCGTCTCAAAAAAAAAAAAAAAAAAAAGAAAAGAAAAGAAAAGAAAGATTTCCCTTCATTTCTAGGTTTCGTTTACTGGGATCGCCAATGGCGTAGGGTACCTTTTATCTATATGCATGGATGCATTTGAATTCTCCTAACCTAGGCTTCTGTAATCAAGTAAAATTCTTATACATCCATTTGTTCTCTAGCATGATTGGTTCTCTTATTAAACCGTATTTCTGATAACTTATTGAAAATTCAGTGGGGGAAAATGGAACAAGGGGAACAGCATGTGTTGGTCAGAATGTTTGAATGAAGCCCAGTAGATACTAATGAGATCCAAACAGGATGTGGGTGTAAGGAGAACAGAGTGTCTGGGTTCCTTTCATGGCACTGAGAATGTTTTCCTTGGGCTCACGCCCTCTGGTCAGAGCACTCTAAAGTCCCACCTTTCACGCTGCCTGATCTGTTTAGGCAAAATTGCAATGAAATCTCCTCTCTCTGATGTCCTAAAGGACGAAAGACTATGCAACTTATGTTATAGTTTGTATTTTTGTATTTTTATTAATATATGTTTACCTAATGTCTTCAAATAAGACTGTACTTTCTCCAAAATAATACATTCTTCATGGTCAGAGCCACTTCTCAAATGTATTCTGTGCCTTTAATAATATCTAATACAATTTTAGATATAAATATAAAATGCAAATATAAATACAAATACAAATATAAAATACAGATATAAAATATAAAATGCCCAAGTCCATAAAATGGAGAAGAACTTAAATGGGTTGAAAAAATACAATGCCTATTAAGCAACTATTATATGCCAACTATTTTCTGAAATGAAATGGAAATTCCAAAGAACTAAAATTTATTTTAGGGAAGGATAAAGTAGGCAGTTTAAAAAGGGTATAAAGATATGCTGTGGGAATTTAGAGAATGAATTCTAACGTGAAGATGGGTTTTATCCAGAGAGACTCACAGAGTAAATCCTGAAGGATGAGTAGAATTTGATGGATGGTAAAGAGAGGAAGCACAATCTACAATGAGAAAAACGTTTGGAGCATTTTGTTTTTCCGATAAAGTGTATTCCATAGGAACTTTGCTAAATGAAAGATTTTGTATATAAATATGTTTAGAGAGTGCTAAGCTAAGAGTGTCCTTACTGTATTTATTATAAGATTTTACACAGTGTTTCTTATTCTGATATATAACATGAATTTTTGAGACCAGCATAGTGAAATCATCATTTTCATAATTTATTTGATTTTGAAACCATTATTTTCAAAAGTAACTCTTGGGACTAGTGTTCTCTAAGACATACTTGGGGAAATGCTGAGCTAGATGAAAGACTCAGAGACATGACCATGTTTGGGATGTTTTATGGATTCTCCAGTGGCTTCTTATGACCAATTCATGGTAAACTTACACAACAATAGCAATACTAATAAAGTGCTGATGTAATTATAGCTTAGAATATAATTAATTCCTAATTTTAATCTTCCTTCCTAGGTCATGGAGAGTCACTAAAGGATTTTGAGAGCCAGAGTGAGATTATGCAATGAGAAAGAGACTTCTAGTTTAAATGTAAATAATGCAATTGCAGAAACCACACTTACGACTGAAAAACCAATTAGAAGGCTATTGCAGTAGTGTAGGTGAAAGATAATGAGAATATGACCTAATGCAGGAGCATCAAGTGTAGCATGGAAAGGACAGATAAGAGGCTTCATAAAGACAGAATAGACAGGAATGTAGAAATTGTTCACCATTAGCAAAACTATTAGTAAAATTCACTGCTTTCATAGATTAAGGAGATAAAACATGCAATTATCTTGACTCTATCAGAAAATTAGATAAAATTCAACATTTATTCCTGTTTGTAAAACAAACAGAGAAAAAAAAAACACCTCATAGTAAATGTGGAGTATAAGTAAACATTCTTAATTTGATAAAGATAATTTACCAGAAGCCTACAGCAAACAGGCTATTTTTTTTGTCTTACATTAAAGCCATTTCAATTACAGTCAGGATTTATTGAAGGTCTTAGCCTGTAAATAAGATAAGAAAAGGATTAAAAGGAATAAGAACTGGTGAAACAAAGGTGTTTTTATTTTTGGTTGGTATGTTCTACATAGAAAATCTTCCAAATATTTAGACATATTATGATAATTTAACATAATTAATAAAGAATGACAAATTGTAGTTTTCTAAACATTATTTCAAACTTTTGTAGCATGACTTATTGGATGCTAAAAGCTGTAAATCCTAAGATTACATTTACCAGACACCCTTTCTGCTTATGTTCCACATGTGATCCAACTTCTATAAGCAGACATTCACAGGAGATATTTGGAACTGAAAATGAGGCAGAGAATGTGCTTCTGTTGTTGCTGGCAACCAGAGTTGGAAAAGCATTTTGTTTTCTAGGGTGGCTGTAGCAGCATCTCAGTGGTTTGATCCTAGGTAGTTTGCAACTGTTGACAGTTACATTCCATTTGGAATTTCCATCTTGAAGGCTAACAAAGTGTGGTCCTAGAATCAACAGCTATGGAGGAGCTTCCAGATACCTGGGTGATGGCTAAAGTGTAGTCTTGGGGTGAGCACTTGAACAGGGACTTTTTGATATTCCAACATTCAGTTTCTGGGTTCCAAAATGCTATTTTGGGTGTCACTACTGGAAGTGCAGCCTATATTGTGCTTCTCTGGTCCTTGCTACAATTTTCTAAGCATCCAATTCTCTATATTAAATCTTTTCTTGTGGGGGAGGAGGGGTAAAATATAGTGGTATCGATCACCTGTAAACCCTTGACTGAGGTAGTAAAGTTATCTAAGATTGGTTATATATAGGAATTCCACTGAATCTGCAAAGTGATCTGCAGGTTCAATGGAATTCCTATGTATAATCTAGTATATAAAATTGAATTAGGGCTTTCTATATATTGGATTATATTTTGAATCCAATATATAGGATTATATTTAGAATACAATATATAGAAATCCCTAAAAGTCCACCAAAAATGTTAGAACTAATGAACAAATTTAGCTAAAGTTGCAGGATACAAACTCAACATACAAAAAATCAGTAGTAATGTATACACTAACAATGAACTATCTGAAAAAGAAATCAAGAAAACAATTCCATTTATGATAGCTACAAATAAAAATACTTAGAAATAAATGTAACCAATAGAAATAAATGTAACCAAGGAGATAAAAGATTGCTACACTAAAAACTATAAAACAAGCTTGTCCAACACATACCCCATGGGCTGCATACCGACCAGGATAGCTTTGAATGTGGACAAATTTGCAAACTTTCTTAAAACATGAGATTTCTTTCTGATTTTTTTTTTTTTTTTTTTAGCTCATCGGCTATCCTTAGTGTTAGTGTATTTTGTGTGTGGCCCAAGACAATTATTCCTGCAATGTGGCCCAGGGAAGCCAAAAGATTGGACACCCCTGATATAAAACATTGATGAAAATATTGAAGAAGACACAT
Organism: Homo sapiens; assembly: GCF_000001405.40. Classification (NCBI taxonomy): domain Eukaryota; kingdom Metazoa; phylum Chordata; class Mammalia; order Primates; family Hominidae; genus Homo; species Homo sapiens. The sequence goes on along the minus strand of NC_000003.12, from coordinate 118,346,467 downwards.
ATAAATGGAGAAATAGTTCATGTTAATGGCTTGGAAGAATTAACACTGATAAAATGACTATACTACTGAAAGTGATCTGCAGATTCAATGGAATTCCTATGAACATACCAATGACATTCTTTACAAAAGTAGAAAAAACAATCCTAAAATATGTATGAAACCACAGAAGAGCACAGACAGCAAAAGCAATCTTGAGCAAAATGAACAAAGCTGGATGCATTATGATACTACCTGACTTCAGAACTACAGTAACCAAAACAGCATGGCACTGCCATAAAAAGAGACATGCAGATCATTGGAACAGAATAGAGAGCCCAGAAATAATTTACATATTTGCAGCCAACTGATTTTTGACAAATGTGCCAAAAAACACACACTAAGGAAAGGACAGTCTCTTCAATAAATGGCGCTGAGAGAACTGGATATTCACACAGAGAAAAAAAAAATGGAATTAGAACCTTATCTCACACCATATACAAAAATAAACTCAAAATGGATTAAGAAAATGTAAGGCTTGAAGCTATGATACTACTAGAAGAAAACACAGGGGAAAAGCTCAGTGACATTGGTCTCAGCAATGATTTTTGGGGTATGATCTCAAAAGCACAGGCAACAAAAGCAAAATAGACTTAAATTCCTGTCCTCAAGCAATATTCCTGCCACAGCCTCCCACAGTGTGGACTCAGAATTCTGTTTTGTTGATGTATGTGTCTATCTTTGCACCAAAGCCACACGCCATTAGTTACCTTAGCAGCTTTATAATAAGTATTGTTAAGACCAGCCTGGGTAATATAGCAAGAACCTGTCTCTAAAAAAAAAAAAAAAAAAAGAAAAAAAAATTAACCAGGCATAGTGACTAGCATCTGTAGTCCTAGTTATTTGGGAGGCTGAAGCAGGAGAATTTCTTGAACTTTGGAATTTGAGGCTATAGTGAGCAGTGATCATGCCACTGCATTCCATCCTGGCAGCAGAGCAAGACCCTGTCTCAAAATAAAAATTACAGTGTAGGTAAAAATCCAAAAGACCCATATTTATATGCTCAACAGGTTTTCAATAAAGGCACAAGGGCTATTCAATATAAAAAGAATAGTTTTCTCAAAAAATCATGTGGAAACAATTGGCTATCCAAACATAAAATGATGAATCTCTATCCATACCTCATGACATATACAAAATTAATGCAAAATATAAATCCTCAATAATGTGAAACTTAAAACTGTATAACTTGTAGAAGAGAACATAGGGGAAAATCTTTGTGACCCTGTTAATTAAACATAGGTATGACATCAAAAGCAAAATCCATAAAAGAACAAATTGATAAATTGAACTCAACCAAAATTAATATCTGTCCTTTAACAGGCAATGTTAAGAGAATGAAAAGACATGCTATAAATTGTGGTAAAATATTTGCAGATCTATACCCTAAAAAGAATTTGTTTGTAAAATGTATAAAGAAATCTTTTTTTTTTTTTTTTGAAACAGAGTTCGGCTCTGTTGCCCAGGCTGGAGTGCAGTGGCGTGATCTCGGCTCACTGCAAGCTCCACCTCCTGAGTTCACACCATTCTCCTGCCTCAGCCTCCTGAGTAGCTGGGACTACAGGCACTCGCCACCGCGCCTGGCTAATTTTTTGTATTTTTAGTAGAGATGGGGTTTCACCATGTTAGCCAGGATGGTCTCGATCTCCTGACCTCATGATCCACCCGCCTCAGCCTCCCAAAGTGCTGGAATTACAGGCATAAGCCACCGTGCCTGGCCAAGAAATCTTAAAACAATAGAAAACTAACAAACACATTTTTATAAATTAGATGTATTTATAAAATTTAAATATTTAAAAATGTTATTAATATTCATGTAATAGAAGAAGATATATAAATGGCAAATAAGCATATGAAAAGAAGCTAATCATTAGTTATTAAGGAAGTGCTGACTAAAATTGCAATGTGATACAATTTGAACCACTAGAATGGCTAAAATTAAAAACAAACCAGCAAAATATCAAAAAAAAAAAAAAAGAAAAAACAAGAAAAAACCATGTGCCAAGATATGGACAAACTGGAACTCTCATACGCTACTGGTGAAATGTAAACTAGTACAACTTTGGAAAGCAATTTGGCAGTCTTAATTACATGATTCCAATCTTAGGTATTCCCCAAAGACAACTTAAAGCAAATGTCTACAGAAAGAATGTATGTATCTGTTTATAGCAGCTTTATTTGTAATAGCTAAAAGCTGGAAACAACCCAAATGTCTATCGACAGATAAATGAATAAATGGGAAAAATACAGCAGAATCCTATGGTTACAGAAGTTGTGATGAGATGAATTTTGGTAAAACACAGAATGTTGGCTTCTGTTTTCTGCTTGTTCTGTTTTCAAATAGTTTTATGCAACAGTCTTTATAGCATCTGCAAGAAGAAGGAGGTGTACATATAGAGAACAGCGTAACTAGGCAGAAAAGTAGAAACTTCCGTCTCAGGAAATGATACACAGAGGCTGGGTCACTCAGTATTTTGTTTCACTTATAGTCTCTCAGCTCAGCCTCTCATGAGCACGATGATGTAACTAGTTCTAATCAGGTAGAAGACTTCTGAAATTGCTGTCATTGTCCTACAAATCTTAGCTAGCCACAGGTCCCAGAATATTCCCTTTGAGTTTGTGAATCATATCAGAAAATAGACATCAAATGGCAACAAACTGCAGCCAGGACCTAGACAAGCTTGAAGTGTACCACCAAACCTCAAATTCTTGGCAGGCCAGGTATACTGACTCATCTGGTCACTTAATAAAACTGGCTTTTACCCAATGGAATTATTACATTGTTGTTTTTGTTATTGTATTTTGATGAGTTTTTATTTTCTTGCAACATCTATAATACAATGGGTTCATAAGGAGCTCTAATATAGTAATAGAAAGACAAATAAACCAAGATATGGGCAAATATATACAATGGGTTCATAAGGAGCTCTAATATAGTAATAGAAAGACAAATAAACCAAGATATGGGCAAATATATACAGAATTACAAGTGGGTAATAAGCTTTGTGAAAAATGTTCAACTATACGAAAAATTACAGAATTGCAAATTAAATCAAAATACAATAGCATTTTTTATGTCCATCACACAAAAATAATTTTGAAAAATTAAAAATTTTCTGTTTTGATATATTTGTGAAGAAACAGGTAATACATCCTCCAATGTTGGTGGAAATGTAAATTGACACAAGTGGTTTTGAAAGGCAATTTTCTAGATTCTAGGAGAATGTAAAACACACATGACCTTTGACCAAGCAACTTTACATTTAAACTTTGTGCTAGAGAAATATTTACATTAGGCACAAAGTTATATACAAGGATATTCATTTTGTCATTGTTGTAAGCAGCAAAAAAAAAAAAAAAAACAAATGGAGGTGCACTAAATGCTCATTAATAAGGGTAAAGTTAAATAATTGATGGTAGATATAGATTATTTATTACTATGTAGCTGTTACAAAGGTGATAAATGTATTCATAGTGCCATGGAGATACTGCTATGATATATTGTTATGTGAAAAAAGTCAAAGAAATATATATATAATAGGATCATATTTATTAAACTAAGACTGTGCGTATGCAGATGGGCACATTTGTAAATGCACTGAAAATAATCCAGAAAAATATATTCCAAATTAGCATTTAATGACTGTTCAGAGAGGGAAGTGGAAATAAAATGGTGAGAAACCAAAAGGCAGTGTTATGAAATCATCTTACAACCTCATCTTTTATTACAACTTAAAAAATAAAAATGAAGAAATAAAAAATAAAATTAACATGATTTGACTTCTGATTAAAATGTGTGCATGGGTGAACTGAAATTAATTTATAATATCTCTAAGATATCTAGAATTTATGTGGATGATATTCAATAAAAAAGCGAAAAAGATTTGATTTTGCAATTGCTGAATTTTAAGCTCCTTCAGGGTGGTCTTTCAATGTAGTATATAAAATGTGGTACTGATTATCATGAGTACTGGCATTGGAATAATTTCCTCACTAGATACTAAAATCATGGTAGAGCCTGTAAGAAGTAAATGAAGACATAGTCAAAACCACATCTATATAAAAACATGAAATTACTCGAGTTTGGCATCAAATTACGTATGATATCACTTCAGTTGCTCATTCAATTGTTTGTCTATTTGTTCTTCTTTGCGCAGTGATATATACTGGATTAAGAGGAGAGCTTTTAAAGATGAATACTTAAACAAAAGGAAAAGGGCATTCCAAGCAGAAAGAGCAAGAAAAAAGGAAAATTAGATGAGTCTATTGTAATTATAATTCTACAACTCATTACCAACGTTTGAAGAGGTAAGATTTCTGCAAGAGACAAAGCAGGGTGGTGTTGCTCCAGAATTTTTCAAGAAGAGAATATTGACAGATTGGCTGGTAGATTTCACCTAGGTATTTAGGATATGCTTTATATCTTTCAGAAAGGGTCATTTTTTTGTGGGAGGATCAAATAAGTCATAACAGAAGCCACTATTTCTTCATTTGAAGACCAGTGAGAAGTGATTTGAAGGCTGGATAACATATGAGCTCCTTTTAAAATTATAACAATTAGAAACAACCTGAGATTACAGAACATACTTGGTTACTAAAATAAGTGAGGAGTATAAAATCATATCTACAGGATTTTAAAGTTGATTTTATGAGGAATAACTGAATATATGTCTGTGTCAAAGTCAGATAATATACTTGGTTTGTCCTAGGCTATCATTTCTGACACTTACCTAGCAACTGGAATTATAATTGTTAATGCTAATTAGGTCCCATAAAAATTTGAGAGTATGAAGAGAGGGCAAATTAGGAAAATCAGTAGACCATTTTTTCAACCCATATTTGGTTTGCTGCACATATACTATTGTGTAGATAATAAAAACAATGAGGGTAAAGATTTAAACTGGGAAAGCAACTTATATCTACTTATCCAGATTTTAATGGGACAGAGATATAATCAATTTGATAAAAGACCAATTTATTAGTAAATGAATACAAACCATCAGCAGGCAAATATGGTACAAATACAATGCTACTCGTTACACTATACTTGAATTAACAGCTGATTCAGTAAACAAATGAACAAATGGAAAGTATATTTATGTTATTTACAATCTCTAAAATATTTCATTAAGAAAATTATTAAAAGAATGATCATCCTAAAACATCTGGATGCCATTTACATATCTTCATGTGAGAGGGAGGAGAAAATTATCCTTTAAAGCAGCCAGCCTGACCCATAGAACTTGGCAATAATGAAACAAGGCTCTAAACCTTTCTTCTGAGGCTTGTTTCCAATGGACTGCTTTCAGTACCATTTTCTTTCCCTGTACTTTTTATGCTTCACTAACGGCTTCACTTCTATTTTTTTTTCTTCCTACCTTCTCTGTGTCATCATCCTCTATAAGTTAACCCTCTCCAAGAAACTTGGAAAAGAAGCATGTTCTAATTTCTTTGTCCTTTCTCTGAGTTTCAGTACCTTTTTTCCCCACTTCTCACAGATGTCTTCAGTTAAAGTGAGCTTAATTCAAATAAGCTGATATCAGTAAACAGAAATCCTCATTCATGCTTGACACTGTGCTGGCTGCTGTAAATTTCAAGATGAATAAAACCTGAAAAGGATTGTGGTGGTCAAACCAGGTGTCTCCACAAATAGCCATGATGCAATATGATGAGTGGCAAAATTATTGCTAGAAGGCAATAAGAATTTTAATTCTGACAACTTGTGTCAAGGGGCTTGGCTAAAAAATATGATCTTTAAGTCAGGTCTTGAGGAGTGAGTAGGAATTAAAGAGGTAAATAAGAGTGGAAACGAGCCTTATAGAATGGAAGGAAAGCATGGGTAAAACACATGTGTACTGAAGTACCTGGTGTATTGAATATCAGTGAAGAACCCAAGGTGGCCAGAACACTGAGCTCTTGCTGGAAGTGGATGGAGAAGTAGCATGGAGTCAGGTTTGAAGACATTTGTGTTAGGTTTTATGGCTCTCTTTCAGTTTTTGAGAAAATAATTACTATAACTGAATGACATAGTCACATTGCAAAGAGATAGTTTGAAAAAAAGTAATAAAGTCATAATCTAAAATATTGTATCTGCTACAAAATCCCAGGAAAAATGATAATGGTAGAATGAAGAAAATAATTATAAGAGAACTTTTTTATGGTAGCTATAAGATTTTGAAAACTAATAAGAATGTTTAGAATTTCCAGGGACAAGTGGTAGTTGTTGAACAATGGAAGGAGATGTCAAGAATTTTCAGTTTGGACACAATAGATGGTGATGCTAACTAAGAAAAAGAGCCTATGAAAGGAGCAGGATTGGATGGAAAAATAAAGTCAATCTTGGATATGTGGGCTTTTGGTCAAGCAGGTGGAAGTATTTAGTAAAAGTTAACACAATTAGTCTTGAGATTAGGAGAGAGATTGGAGGTAGGGATAGATTTTTAGGAAGCACCAGCATAAATAGGGTAGTGAAGGTGTGTGTCTTGGTAAGTTACTCAGAAAGAATAAACTAGTAGAGAGGCAAGGGTATAACACCAATGAAAAAGATGGAATCATTACCTAAAGGGAAGGAAAAAAGAAAGATCTGGTAAGGCATTTTTACTTGAAGAACTTTCTGGCTTTTTAAATTTTATTTCCTCAAATACATTGATTAATCTTTCTGAAATCAGTTTCTCTTTTGCTTTTCTATTTTTGTGAAGTTTCAAAGTTGTTTCTGTTACCCCACATATAAACCTTGGTGCTTTGGTCCTTACAGTCCTGTCTATCCACATTTACTTCAGATTCCCTCTCATAACCATTCTTTCGACTGTCATCTTCCCTGCCCTGCCCTTCCTCCCCATGTTTCACAACACTTCATGTCTCTACTATGGCAATGACCTACCCACTCTTTCCTTTTCTGCTGGTCCTGCCTTCTCACCACAAATACATTGACCTCAAAATGTGTATTTCATCCTATCCAGGTCAAGGGCTTTCAAAACCTCCACATTATTTACAAAATTGAGTTCAAATTGTTTTATTTGTCACTCAAAACCTTTCTTATTCTGAGTCCACCTTCTTTATGAAGCCTTACACTGCTCCCTAACATGCATGGTTTCTCCAGAATGATTATTCTATTAATAATAACTCTGGTAGTAACACAACTTATTTTTGGTCTTACTTATTCAATTATTTTTCCAATTCTTTCCATCATTCCTCTACGTATTTAAAAGCCCAGATACCTTCTTTCTAAGATTATGATCCTAAAAATTATTTATTTGGATCCCATCAAAAACAGACAAGTACTGTTAGCCTTTTATGCATTCATGTCTCTAAACTGCAAGTTCCTTGACTGCAAAGACAGTCTTAAGCTCCCCTGATTCAACTCCATGATCCTTCATTCACAGGGATAAAGTTTTGCTTATATAATTTTTGAGGACATGTTGGAAAAACAAAAGCAATCAAGAGATTGCTACTGCTGAACTTTGAGAAAAAAATTTTAAGCTGTCAAAGAATTTGGGGCAACAAATAAGTTTTATAGCAAATATGGTGCTATATTGCTCACCTTCCCCTACAAAAATCTTCTGAGAGCAGTGAAACTTCTAATATTTCCAATCAATGTTATAACTGCTGTAGGATTCTGTTGTTTTGCATATTTTTGTATGAGGATGTCAGGAAAGCGTATCAATAAAAATCTCGTGGGCCACCTCTCCTAGTTTCTCCCTCTCAGCACAGCAGTTCAACTCACCTAAACTGACGGGAAGAGAAATGCTGCTTTAAATTATTATTTCTGTCAAAATCAAAAGAATAGCTCTATCATCACATAATACATCTTAATACTAAGAGGTCAGTTTGGGCTAAACTGAGGGGCCCAGATGACTACTGAATCATATTTAAAGTGGGCTATTTTGTATGCATGGAAAATGTATTTCTTATAGAGAAGCATCTTTAAGGACTATTTTATTTTTATAGCCACCTCCACATTTCACATTTGCCATATCCTTTAAGGGCATACCTGAGTCTCCTGTGTTCTCCTTGGATGCACAGCTCATTGCCTGGCTTGTGGACACTGTGCTGAAGCTCACCTCTGTACAGCTTATTAATTCATTTTCTTCTATAACCAGGGAACATTTTTTGTTACTCTTTAACTATTGATTCTTCTTGATATCCATATAATTTTTCCTTTTAAAAAGTAACGTTGACCCATCCATGTTGAAATCCATGTTCATTGCTGAAATCATTTTGAATTCTCATTTTAACCTGCATGTTGCTAAAAAATTCTATCAACCTGCAGCATTTTTATACCATTAGTGAGGACACCGATGACTTTAAAAAAATTGGTTCCTGTATTCACCCTGGCAGAACATGGCTTGCTATGTCCCCTCAGGGTAACATTATTCTTATGAAGGAAATTTATTCTGAATGACCCTCCAACTACCAATTAGGCAGTTTGATGCCATAATTTTCTCATTGAATTGATAATGCTAATGAAGTAAAGAAAGTAAAGCTTTGCTAAAGTCAAAAGGGGATCTGCTGTCTCTCTTCCATCTACCTATCCTGTCTTTTTTTATAGGAGATTAATCTCATAATTTCACAAAATGCTGACATAAGCTTTATGGTTTCATCACCAAGTAGTTGATGTTCTCATTATGGCCTTCTGTGGCTATGATAATTCTTCTTACCACACATTTGAATTCAGACAAAAGATGGAATTTTAGAGGGTTCCTACAAGTATGCTTTTCTTATCAAAATGTTTCCTATATTTCTCCATAACCAGGGAAAATGTCTAGTAAAACTTCTGTGCTCCTAAATTTGACTGATCAACTCCCTTCTACCTGGGATGGAATGAAGCTCTGCCATGGACTACAAGCTCGTAGCATAAAGCTGTGTTTCTGTTGTGTGACAGTCAATCTCAGCTGTGCCAGAGGAGGATATAGTAATAGCAGAGTTTATTTTTTGAGTGCTCACTATGTTCCAGTGACTCTCTTCTAAGAATCACTTTATATATCACAAACATAAACCATTCAAAAGGAGTAAAGGGACTCTTTAGAATAAATATATGACAAGGGATGGTTATAGTGTCAGAAAGTAATAACTCTTCTCATGCTGATTTTATTATGCACGACCATGCAGTCTGAAGTCGTCGAATGCACTGAGGTTTAATCTGGTCCAGCATTGCTATGAATTGCAGATGACGCCCAGTTTGTAAACTGGAATGGTTAAACGTTTTTGAGCTGTGAGTCTAAATAAGATCAATTAAAATGATCAGAGATCAGAGTGTATGTTCACTGCACACATTTCCAGATCATCATCCCGGGTTGCATGTAGCTTTATCAAGGTATTAAGTTGTCCTTGAAAGCTACTGAGCAGAGTAGAGCTTCTTGAACACAAACTGCAGAACTTCTTGCTCTCTAGGGGCTTCACTTCTTTTTGGAAACATGGCTTTTGAGTGAGTAATAAGTCACATTTTACTGAATCCATTAGATTTCTAATCTTTCTTACCATATCCTTGTTTTTCTTTTAATTATGAATTTTTCTCACAAAACCCTCCTAACAGAAGCTTCTGTGAACCTATATTAATTTGATTTGCAATGTTTGCCTATTTTACTTTATAAAGTCAGCTCTTATTTGTTTACTATTTCTGTTGCTTTTCTGTTTTTCTAATTCAATAGTTTCTGACTTCATCTTTCTTTTAGCTACTCTATTTTTACATTTCTTATACTGTTTACTTGTATTAGATGTTTAACTTATTTCCATTTTTTTCATTAATTATTAATATGGAAATTTGAAACTGTGAAACTACAATAGTTTGGGACACATGCTTTTCTAGTGAGGAGGCAAGCTTACTTACTGTAACAGATATCATCTCAATATACAATGGATCAAACAAGGTAGTAATGTATTTCTCTCCAATGTAATAGTACAGATAAGTCCAAGCTATTATGAAGCACTGTTTTACAATATCAATCAGGAACTTAAAATGTCTTTAATTTTCTTGTGCTGCCATTCTAATAATGTTGTCTTCATCTGTATAGTCAGAATCAAGACAACACGATTCTCAGATCCAGTCCACAGAATAGAAAAAGTGAAATAGTCCAGTGTAAGTGACTTCATCTATAAGATGATAACCTAGAAGTTGCACCATTAATTTCTCTAAATATCATTGGCTAGACCATAATAATTACATGGCTAATTATGTTTACCATGGAGATTGGAAAATATAGGCTTGAGCTTTGTGACCTTCTAAATCAATAGGAAGAAAGAGAGAATGAACATTGGAGAATAATAATCTGCACAAAACTGTATTTTCAACAATGCTCTAATTTTTACTGTTTCTAAGTAGTTTATGGCTTAATTTTCCTCTTTGATTCAACAGCAAATTGGGAGAATTTAAAAGTTCCTAAGTACGTGAATTGTATAAGAAACATTTTTACTAGTTTCTAACTTAATTCTGTAACAGCTAAAGAATTAAATCTGTTTACTTTTTTTTTTTTAATAAGAGGGCTTGGGTTCTTAGCAATTACAAATGTTTCAAGAGTTATTGAAAAGAAAGTCCAAAATCTGTTTGTAGGGTTAAAAAATCAAACCTAACTTATAAATTTCTTAATTATATTTTCAACTTCTCAACATATTTGATTGCCTTTTCCCACTGATCTCCCTTTCAAAAGCTGAGATACTTGCAGCAAGATCTCCCACAATAACTATCTCTCCAACGTTTTTGTTTTATGTATTTCTATTCTATGTAATCTGACATATAAAATCCTGTACTTTTTTATCCTGAGGACTATGTTTTATTAATATAAAATAACCCTGTTTGTTCTCTTTAAATTTTTAATTTGAATTTAATATTTTACACCACTACTGTTGAAGTTTTGCTTTGTTTTTGCTGGTTTAGAGTGCTTAGTGAGAAGGATGTATAATTTTTAGGTGTAAGAAGATATTTATTCAGCATGAAGGATGATTGGGGGTGTTGAAGTTGGAAAACATTAATTTTTTTTAAATTGACAAATGAAAGTTGTATACATTTTTTTGTGTACAATATGATGTTTTAAAATATGTATACATCATGGAATGGCTCTGGGCTGGTCCAAAATCTGGAGCAGGTGTGGCACATGGACCCAAGAGTGCTGACCTGATGACTAGGGATGTAGTGCTGACCTAGTGTTAAGGTTGGTCTAGAACCTGGGGCCACTGAGGGTGGCCTGGTGTCGGGGTAGGTCCAAGGGAAACTGAGCCACCAGGCGATCTTGAGCCTGGGGGTAGCAAGATCCAATCTGGTGCTGAGGTGAGCCTGCAGGCTTAATCTGCAGGTACCATCCTGAAGGCTGGAGCCCTGTGGGTCTGCCTTGTGCTGGGTTTTACTGAGGGAGGCACTTGTTTTTGCATTCTTTTTCTTATTCTTGTGATACAATTAGGTGGTGTGATTGCTCACCCGATTTTCTTAGCTCCTTGGAAGGTACTTTTATATGTGGATAGTTATTCAAGTTGATGTGTCTGCAGGGGTGGGGTTGGGGTGAGGGATGAGTGCTAGAAAGTCCTCTTATGCCATCTGGCTGATGTCCTCCTGGAGGAACATTTTGAATGTTTCTAGGGACTTTCTGTTAAGAAACGAATTGAGAAGTTCTTTCCTTCATCCCAAGATTCAAGTTACTGAAATCTTTTAGTGTAGACAGAGTGATCTGTCCAGGTCTAGTAGCTGGGAATGGATAAGCTTCCTGTGATAATGTCACCACAGGGGCTTAAATAGGCCTCCAATCACTGGGCTGATTGGAGCTCTAAATTGGGTTGTCAAAGGTGAAATGTGTTCCCTAGATTCCTGTGACAGTGGACACAGTAATTTTCTCAGCTTAGCCCTCATTAAACTAGGCTTTTGCCCACAGGATCCAGGCCTGCCTGTGAATCTCAACCACTTTAACATTCAAAAGTCCAGGTGAATGTTGACTAACAATATTTTAGTGGGCCAAAACATGGAGGGAGGGATGCTCTTTGTGAAAAATTCTCTGTGATAGATTGTATTATTGTACAGCATCCCTGAATATGAGTGAAATACATTTCCCCATGACATTCTGAGGCTTTACCATGTGTATTAGTCTGTTTTCACACTGCTATAAAGAACTTCCCTGAGATTGGGTAATTTATGAACAAAAGTGGCTTAATTGACTCACAGTTCCACATGGCTGGTGATGCCTCAGGAAAGTTAACAATCATGGAGGAAGGCGAAGGGAAAGCAAGGACCTTCTTCACATGGCAGCAGGAGAGAGAGAAGCAAGCAAAGGAGGAACCTGTCAAACACTTATAAAACCATCAGATTTTGTGAGAACTCACTCACTATCATGAGAAGAGCATGGGGGAAACTGTCCCCATTATCCAATCACCTCCCACTGAGTTTCTCTCTCAACACCGGGGGTTACAATTCAATATGAGGTTTGGATGGGTACACAGCCAAACCATATCATTTGGCCCCTGGCTCTTCCCAAATCTCATGTCCTCACATTTCAAAACCAATCATGCCTTCCCAACAGTCCCTCGAAGTCTTAACTCACTTCACCATTAACTCAAAAGTCCAAGTCCAAAGTCTCATCTGAAGCAAGGCAAGTCCCTTCAGCCTAGGAGCCTGTAAAATCAAAAACAAGTTATTTACTTCCAAGATACAATGTGGGTATAGGAATTGGATAAATGTCCCCATTCCACATAGGAGAAATTGGCCAAAACAAAGGGGCTACAGGCCCCATGTAAGTCCGAAATCCAACAGGGCAGTGGTTAAATTTTAATGCTCCCAAATTATCTCCTTTAACTCAATGTCTCACACCTATGTCATGCTGATGCAAGTGGTGGGCTCCCATGGTCTTGGGCAGCTCCACCCCTGTGGCTGTGCAGGGTAGAGCCCCCCTCCCAGCTGCTTTCATAGACTGGCAATATCTGGCTTTTCCAGGTACATGGTGCAATCTGTTGGTGGATCTACCATTCTGGGGTCTGAAGGATGGTGGCCATCTTCTCACAGCTGCAGTAGGCAGTACCCCAAGTGGTGACTTCCAGGCAGCTAGGAGGGGGGCTCTACCCTGCACAGCCACAGGGGCAGGGCTGCGCAAGACAATGGGAGCTCACCTCATGCATCTGTGTGACCTGGATGTGAGACACTGAGTTAAAGGAGATAATGTTAGAGCTTTAAGATCTAATGACTGCCCTGTTGGATTTCAGATTTGCATGGAGCTCCAACCCCACATTTCCCCTCTGCACTGCCCTAGCTGAGGTTCTACATGTGGGTTCTGCCCCTGCAGCAGACTTCTGTCTGGACATCCAGGCATTTCCATACATCCACTGAAATCTAGGCGGAGGTTCCGAAACCTCAATTCTTGACTTCTGTGCACCTGGAGGCCCAACACCGCATGGAAGCTGCCAAGGCTTGGGGCTTGAACCCTCTAAAGCAATGGTCTGAGCTGTACTTTGGCCTCTTTCAGCCAAAACTGAAGCTGGTGTGGCTGGGATGCAGGGTGCCATGTCCTGAGGCTGCATAGAGCAGCAGGGACCCTGAGCCCTGCCCATTAAACCATTTTTTCCTCCTAGACCTCTGGGCCTGTGATCACAAGGGCTGCCGCCAAGATCTCTGACATTATCTAGAGACATTTTCCCCATTGTCTTGTTGATTAACATTTGGTTCCTTATTATATGTGCAAATTTTTCAGCTGGTTTGAATTTCTCCCCAGAAAATGGATTTTTCTTTTCTAACATATTGTCAGGCTGCAACTTTTTCAAATTTTTTGTTCTACTTCCCTTTTAAACATAAGTTCCAATTCCAAACCATCTCTTTGTGCATGCATAAAACTAAGTGCTTTCAGAATAATCCAGGTCACATCTTGAATGCTTTGCTGCTTAGAAATTCCTTCTGCCAGGTCCCCTAAATCATCTCTCTCAGGTTCAAAGTTCCACAGATCTCTAGGACAGGGTCAAAATGCCGCCAGTCTCTTTGCTAAAGCATAGCATGAGAGACCTTTACTCTGGTTTCTAACAGGTTCTTCATCTCCATCTGAGACCACCTCAGCCTGGACTTCACTGTTCACATCACTATCAACATTTTCATCAAAGCTTTTCAACAAGTCTCTAGGAAGTTTCAAATTTTCCCACTCTTCCTTTCTTCTTCTGAGCCCTCCAAACTGTTCCAACCTCTGCCTGTTACCCAGTTCCAAAGTCGCTTCCACATTTTCAAGTATCTTTATAGTAGTATCCCGAACTCCCAGTACAAATTTATTGTATTAGTCTGTTTTCACGTGGCTATGAAGAACTTCCCTGGGAATGGGTAATTTATAAATGAAAGACGTTTACTTGACTAACAGTTCCATATGGCTGGGGAGGCCTCAGGAAACTTACATTCATGGCAGAAGGCAAAGGGGAAACAAGGGCCTTCTTCACATGGCAGCAGGAGAGAGAGAAGCAAGTGAAGGAAGAACTTGACAAACAGTTATAAAACCATCAGATCTCATGAGAACTCCCTTGCTATCATAAGAACAGCATGGGGGAAACTGTCCCTATGATCCAATCACCTCCCACCCCGTTTCTCCCTCAACATTGGGGGATTACAATTCAAGATGAGATTTGGGTGGGGACACAAAGCCAAACTATATCACCATGTGACTTATTTTGACTAGTGCAATGTGAGATAATGTGCCATCCTATTACCAAGCAAATATTTTACAAAACATCATGTGATTCCATTCATTTCCTTGTGGTTTTGCCTTCAGCCATGAGAATAATATGTTCTGAATAGGAGGTGCTTCATTTACTAGATCCTGGAATGAAGATTTGTGTAATCTATTTGAACTCAACCCCAGCCTTAAGTATAACTGCAATTGATCAGACACCTTCATGTAATGTGAGAAAGAAATAAACCTCAGTTTTTGTATTCCACTGAACTTTTCTGAGAGGCTATTTGTCTCACAGCTTAATGTAGCAAAACTGAATAATACCAAAATTTATATTTGGAAGCTTTGCCTCCAGTGGCAATATGTGAGAACAGAAATCTGTTTTCTGGATGGCAAAACTTCTAGATAACACATTTTTGTATTAGTTTTGTGATGTGTGTAAGCTATGATGAGTTGTGTTTTTTTGCTGTTTATTTTTGTTTTGGATATATGTGATGAAAAAGTATTAGATAAGAAAGTTGTTATTTTGATAAATAGTTTTACTGAAACAATTTTACAAGAAACGGTATCTATTTTTCTTCTTGACTATTTAAACAAACTGAAACATAGATTTAAAACCCTCTTCCAAAGTTTGTATATAAACACATATAAAAGTTAAAAAATATAATGTAATGAATCTACATATATACTTCACATAAAATCAGTGATTATTAACATTCTACCACTCTTGCTTCTGATGACTATATGAACATTCTTGCTGCAGATGACTATCACATATTAAAACCTATCATCTATCTATCTATGTATGTATCTATCATCTATATGTCTATCCATCTATCTTTATCTATCTAAACCATCCATCTATTCATCCATTTCTCACCTTCACTCTTGAAATTGCTGGTCATTATTGAAGCATATCACAGACATCTTATCATTTAATGTATAAATACTGTAACATGTATTTCTAACAGATATGAACTTTAAAAATAACAACTGCATTGTCAATATTACACTACAATTTTTACATGATTGTTTAATATTATCTAGTATTCAATTATGTTAATCTTTCCCAATATGTTAAAGTGCCTATATATAGGTTGGTGCAAAAGCAATTGCGGTTTTTGCTATCAAAAGTAATGGCAAAAACCGGAATTACTTTTTCACCACCCAATAAATGGCTTATGTGAATTAGTACTAAAACATGGGGCATATTTTAAATTTTATTGACATAACTATCACTTTTATATATTTGTTTTCTTTTTATGTGTAGACTAAAATGTCTTAATTCTACTTTTTCCAGCTTCGTTGAAATATAATTGACAAATAAATTTGTATACATTTAAAGTATACAAAGAATAATTTTATATATATACACATTGTAAAACAAATACCATAGTCAAGCTAATTAACATATCTATTACCTCACACAGTTACCTTTTTTGTGTGTGGTTAGAACAATTAAGATCTATGGTCTTAGTGAATTTCAAGAATATAAAATAGCAATATTAACTATAGCCACCCCATGCTCTACTTAGATTCCTAGGTCATACTTATAACTGAAAGTTTGTATCCTTTTACCAACATCTTCTCATTTCTCCCATCTACTAGCCCCTAGCAACCACCATTCTACTCTCTGCTTCTGTGAGTTTGACTTTGTAAGATTTGATGTGTAAGTGAAATCAGGCAGTATTCGTCTTTCTGTGTCTAACTTATTTCACTTAGTATAGTATCCTCTAGGCTCATCCATATTATTGCAAATAGCAGGATATCTTTTTTGTAATATGGCTGAATATTATGCACACAAACACACATACATATCTATCTCACAATTTCTCTATCTATCCATGAATAAACACTTAAGTTGTTTCCACATTTTGGCTATTGTGAATAATGGTGCAATGAACATGGGAGTGCAGATATTTCTTCAACATACTGGCTTTCACTCCCTTTGGATATATACCCAGAATGGAGACTGCTGGATCATATGGGAGTTTAATTTTTAATTTTTTGAGAAACAGCCATACTTTTTTCCATAATGGCTATACTAATTTACATTACAGCCAAAAATGTACAAGGATTCTACATTTTTTCCACAACCTGGCCAACATTTGTTATCTCTTATCTTTTTAATAATAGCCATCATAACAGGTATGAAGTGACATTTTATTGTTCTTTTGATTTGCATTTCCCTTATGAAAACTGATGTTATTGAACTCATTTTCCTGTGTCTGTTGGCAATTTGTATGTCTTCTTTGGGAAAATGTCC
The DNA here is from genome assembly GCF_000001405.40 of Homo sapiens. Taxonomy (NCBI): domain Eukaryota; kingdom Metazoa; phylum Chordata; class Mammalia; order Primates; family Hominidae; genus Homo; species Homo sapiens. The sequence continues at coordinate 118,329,553 of NC_000003.12, read as the reverse complement.
TTTGCCAATTCTTTGATTGAGCTATTAAAAATTTTGTTTTGTTATGATTTGTATGAGTTTTTTTAATGTATTTGGGATATCAACCCCTTATCAGGTATGTAGTTTGCAAGTATTTTATTCTATTTTGTGGGTTGCTTTTTATTTTGTTGACTGGGTCCTTTGCTGTGCAGAAGCTATTTAGTTTGTTGTAGGCCCACTTGTTTGTTTTTTCTTTTGTTATCTGTGATTTTAGCATCATATCCAAGAAATCACTGCCAAGACCAAAGTCAAAGAGGCTTCCTATATTTTCTTCTAGGAATTTTGTAGTTTCTGGTCTTATGATTAAGTCAATCTATTTCAGGTTAATTTGTGTGTATGGTATAGAATAAGGTTCCAATTTCATTTTTTAGCACGTGGATATCTAGTTTTTCCAAGACCACTTATTGAAGAGACACCTCTTCCCATTGTGTTTTCTTGGCAACCTTGTTTAAGACTAGTTGACTGTATTTGTGTCAGTATATTTCTTGGCTCTATTTTGTTTTATAGATCTGTGTGTCTGTTTTTAGCCAGTACCATACTGTTTTGATTACTTCAGCTCTGTGATATTGTTTGAAATCAGAATGTGTGAATTCCCCAGCTATTTTATCATTCTCAAGATTGTCTTGGCTATTCAAGGACTTTTTAACCCATTTATGCCTAGTATTCCACTATTAGAATGCTAAGTATGTGGGAGTTATTTATATCCTATTGCTGAATGTCATTGCCAAGGTCTGATTGCAAAAATTCAAAAAATTGCAACCTCAGGCATAAATGGGTTAATTTCATACAAATTGTAGGATTGTTTTTTCTATTTGTGTGAAAAATGCCATGAGAATTTTGATAGAGATCGCACTGAACCTGTAGATCACTTTGGGTAAGGTGGACATTTTGACAATATTAATTGTTCTAATCCATAAATATGGTATATCACTTCATTTGTTTGTTTCTTGTTCAATTTATTTCATCAATGTCTTATACTTTTCGGTGTACAAATCTTTCCACTCCTTGGCTACATTTATTTTTAAATGTTTTATTATTTTTGAAGATATTATAAATGCAATTATTATCTTAGCCTTTTTTTAAAAAATATTTGTTGTTAGTGTATAGAAATGCAACTGATTTTCATATCCTGCATTGATTTTGTATCCTGAGACTTTACTGAATCTGTTTATTAGTTCTAACAGTTTTCTGGTAGAGTCTTTAGGGTTTTCTATATATACAATCAGGCAAGCCATGATGGCTCACATCTGTAATGTCAGCACTTTGGGAGGTGGAGGGAGGAGAATTCCTTAAGCCCAGGAGTTTGAGACCAGCCTAGGCAACATAGGGTGACTCTGTCTCTACAAAAAAATAAAAATAAATTAACCAGTTGTGTTGACATGCACCTGTGGTTGAGGTGGGAGGATCGCTTGACCCCAGGAGTTTGAGGCTGCAGTGAGCCATGATTATGCTGCTGCGCTCCATCCTGGAGAGTATGTGTGTGTGTGTGTGTGTGTGTGTGTGTGTGTGTGTATATATGTATATGTATTATATATATAATCATATCATCTACAAAAAGACAGTATTGCTTTATTTCTGATATGAATGCTTTTTGTTTCTTTTTATTTTTGATATGAATGCTTTTTCACTTGTTTTTCTTGCATAATTGCTCCGACTAGGACATCCAGTTTTGGGTTGAATGGAAGTAGCAAGAGTGGGCATCCATGCCTTGTTCGTTATCTTAGAGGAAGAGCTTTCCATTCTTTACTGTTGAGTATGATGTTAGCTGCAGAAATGTTATTTATGGCCTTTATTATGTTAAAGTGTATTCCACTTTACCTATTTTGTTGACTTTTAATCATTAAAGGATATTAAAAATTTTTAATGCTTTTTAGCATCTACTGAGATAATCATATGATTTTTATCCTTCAGTCTGTTAATGTGCTGTGTCACATTTATTGATTTGCTTATGCTGACCATTCTTGCAGGGGTAATCTCACATAATCATGAAGTATAATACTTTTAATATGTAGGTAGATTCAGTTTACTATTATTTTGTTGAGGATTTTTGCATATATTTTTATTATGGATGTTGTCCTATAGTTTTCTTTTCTTATAGTGTCTTTGTTTGGTTTAATATCAGGGTAATGCTTGCTTTGTAAAATGAGTTTGAAAGTGTTCTCTCCTCTTCAATTTCTTTTCTGGAATAGTTTGAGAAGAACTGACAGTAATTCTTTAGGTGTTTGGTAGAAATCACCTGTGAAGCTGTTTGGTCCTAGGCTTTATTTTATTGCAATGTGTTTTTTATAACTGCCTCAATTTGCTTACTCATTATTGTTCTGCTCAGAATTTGTTTCTTCATGATTCAGTCTTAGAAGGGTTTATATTTCTATATGTATCCATTTCTTCTAGAATATCCAAGTTGTTGGCGTGTAACTGTGCGTGGAAGTCTCTTATGTTTCTCTGTATATCTATATAGCCGTGGTCTCAGTTGAATACATCCTCTTTTATCCATACTTTTATTTATTTGAATTCTCTCTTTTTTCCTTGTTCAATCTGTTTTGTTTTTCTTTTGAAAAGCAATTATCGTAATGTTTATATTTTATATTAAATTTATAATCTCTATTTATTTCTGCTCTTATTTTTATTTTTTTCCTCCTACTAAATTTAGGCTTTGTTTTTTGTTTTTCATTTTGAAAACCAATTCTCAATTTTGTCATTTTGTTTTACTATTTGGAAACCAATTTTCATTACGATTATGTTTTATGTTAAATTTCTAATCTCTATTTTATTTATTTCTGCCTTTTTTTAATTATTTTTTTCTTTCTGCTAAATTTGGGCTTTTTAAATAGTTTATTGATGTGTAAAATTTAAGTTGTTTATTTGGGATCTTTCTTTTTTCTTAATGTAAGCATTTATTTCTGTAAATTTACCTTTCAGAACTATTATTGCTGCATTTTAGTTTTGGTATGTCGTGTTTTCATTTTCATTTGTCTTAAGATATTTTTGATTTTCCTTTTCAGTTCATCTTTGACCCATTGTTTGTTCAGGAAACTGTTGTTTAATTTCCACATATTTGTGACTTTTCCAATTTTTCTCCTATTAGTGGTTTTCATTTCACACCATTGTGCTCAGAAAAATGTAATTGATGTAATTTCAAGCTTCTTGAATTTGTTAAGATGTATTTTGTGGACTAATATATAATCCATTTTGAAAAATGTTCCATGTAGGCTTAAGAATAATGTGTATTCTGCTGTTGTTGGGTATATTGTTTCATATATGTCTCTTAGGTTCATTTGGTATAAACTGTAGTTCAAGTCCAGTCTTTCTGATTTTTTGTCTTGAGAGTCTGTTTATTGTTGAAAGTAGGATAATAAAGTCTTTGATTATTATTGTACTGCCATCAATTTTTCTCTTCAATTATGTTAATATTTACTTTGTATTTTAGGTGCCCTGCCATGTTGCATGCATATATAAGTGTCATATCCTCTTGATGAATTAATACCTTTGTCATTCTATAGTTATGTTCTTTGTCTCTCATGACAAATTTTCATAGAAACTTTATTTTGTGTGATATAAATATAGCCAGTCCTACTCTCATTTGGTTATCATTTGCATAGAATATCTTTTTTCCATCCCTTCTCTTTCAGCATATGTGTGTTCTTACAGTGATTCTCTTGGAGGCAGCATATTGTTGCATCTTCTGTTCCTAATTTTTATGCATATGAATGCTCTGTGTATTTCGATTGAAGAATTTAATCCATTTAAATTTAAATAATTAGTGCTATATGAGGACTTACTATTGCCATTTTTCATTGTTTTCTGACTTTTTATAGTTTTTTTGTCATTCTGTTTTCCTTTGTGATTTTTTTTGTAGTGGAATGCTTTGACATCTTTTTGTCTCCTTTATATATACTAATGCTTTTTTTGTTGTTATTACCATGAGGCTTATATAAAATATCTTAGGGTTGTAAAAGTATATTTTAAGTTGACAACTTAACTTAAATCACATATAAAAACTATGCTTACAGTTGTTTTCCACCACACACACAGCATTTTATACTCCTGTCATATTTTACATATTTCTATATATCTATCCATTAATAAATTATTGTAAATACAGTTATTTTAATACTTTCGTCTTTTAACTTTTGTACTAGAGGTAAAGTGAATTATGCACTACTATTGCAGTATTAGAATACTGCCAGGTTAAGTATATTTACCTTCACCAGAGACTTTTCTACTTTTATATGTTTCATGTTATTAGTTATTGTCTAGTCATGTCTAATTATGAACTTTCAGCTTTTGTATATCTCTGAATGACATTGTTTCTTCTTCATTTCTGAAGAACATATTTGCTGTGCATAGCACTCTTGGTTAACAGATTTTTCTTTTTTTTTTCATAAGTTTGAGTATATCATTCCACTCCCTGTGACTTGCAAGATTTCGTCTCAGAAACTTACTGTTATATAGTCATATAAAGGTTCTATTGTATGTGCCAATTCATTTTTCTCTTGTTGTTTATAACATTCTCTCTGTACTTGATTTTTGACAATTTGGTTATAATGTGCACTCAGATTAACTTCTTTGGATTGATATTGCTTGGGAATTTTGGAGCTCCATGAATTTGGATGCCCATATCTTTCCCAAGATTTGGGAAGTTTTCAGCCATTATTTCTTTTAGTGAATTTTTGATCTCTATCTTCTCCTTTTGGGATTACCATAATGAAAAGATTTGTTTTCTTAATGGTGTCTGATAGGTGCAGTGTAGTTTCTTCATTCATTTTTACTCCTTTTTCCCTGTTTTTGTTCCTTGAATTGGCTAATGTCAAATAAACTGTCTTTGAGTTTACTGATTCTTTCTTCTACATCATTGAGTCTGCTCTTGAAGATCCCTATTAAAATTTCAATTCCATCACCAAATTCTACAGGTCCAGGATTTCTGTTCAGTTTTTCATGTTTTTTATTTCTTTTTTTATTATTTTACTTTAAATTCTGGGATACATATGCAGAATATGCAGATTTGTTACATAGGTATTTACACGGGCCATGGTGGTTTGCTGCACCCATCAACCCATCATCTACATTAAGCATTTCTCCTAATGCTATCCCTCCCCTACCCCCAACCCCTCAACAGGCCCTGGTGTGTGATGTTCGCCTCCTTGTGTCCATGTGTTCTCATTGTTTAGCTCCCACTTATGATTGAGAACATGTGGGATTTGATTTTCTGTTCCTGTGTTACTTTGCTGAGATAGATGGCTTCCAGCCTCATCCATGTCCCTGGAAAGGACATGAACTCATCCTTTTTTATGGCTGCATAGTATTCCATGGCATATATGTGCCACATTTTCTTTATCCAGTCTATCAATGATGGGCATTTGGGTTGAATCCAAGGCTTTTCTATTGTGAATAGTGCTGTAATAAACATATGTGTGCATATGTCTTTACAGTGGAATGATTTATTATACTTTGGATATATACTTAGTAATGGGATTGCTGGGTCAAATGGTATTTCTGGTTCTAGATCCTTGAGGAATCACCACACTGTCTTCCACAATGGTTGAACTAATTTACACTACCACTAACAGTATAAAAGTGTTCCTATTTCTCCACATCCTCTCCAGCATCTGCTGTTTTCTGACTTTTCAATGAGCACCATTCTAACTGGCATGAGATGGTATCTCATTGTGATTTTGACTTGTATTGCTGTAATGACCAGTGATGATGAGCTTTTTTTTCATATGTTTGTTTGTCACATAAATGTCTTCTTCTGAGAAGGGTCTGTTAATATCCTTTGTCCACTTTTTGATGGGGTTGTTTTTTCTTGTAAATTTGTTTAAGTTCTTTGTAGATTCTGGATATTAGCCCTTTGTCAGATGGATAGATTACAAAATTTTTCTCCTATTCTGTAGGTTGCTTGTTCACTCTGATGATTTTTTTTTTTTTTTTTTTTTTTTTTTTTTTTTTTTTTGCTGTGCAGAATCTCTTTAGTTTAATTAGATCCCATTTGTCAATTTTGGCTTTTGTTGCCATTGCTTTTGGTGTTTTAGTCATGAAGTGTTTGCCCATGACTATGTCCTGAATGGTATTGACTAAGTTTTCTTCTAGGCATTTTATGATTTTACATCTTATATTTAATTCTTTAATCCATCTTGAGTTAATTTTTGTATAAAGTGTATGGAAGGGGTCCAATTTCAGTTTTCTGCATATGGTTAGCTGGTTTTCCCAACACCATTTATTAAGTAGTGAATCCTTTCCCCATTACTTGCTTTTGTCAGGTTTGTCAAAGATCAGATGGTTGTAGATTGTGCCATTATATCTGAGGTCTCTGTTCTGTTTCATTGGTCTATATATCTGTTTTGGTACCGGTCCCATGCTGTTTTGGTTACTGTAGCCTTGTAGTATAGTTTGAAGTCGGGTAGCATAATAACTCCAGCTTTGTTCTTTTTGCTTAAGATTGTCTTGGCTATACAGGCTCTTTTGTGGTTCCATATGAAATTTAAAGCAGTTTTTTTCTAATTCTGTGAAGAAAGTCAATGGTAGCTTGATGGGGATAGCATTGAATCTATAAATTACTTTGGGCAGTATGGCCATTTTCACAAAATTGATTTTTCCTATCCATGAGTATGGAATGTTTTTCCATTTGTGTCCTTTCCTATTTCCTTGAGCAGTGGTTTGTAGTTCTCCTTGAAGAGGTCCTTCACATCCCTTGTAAGTTGTATTTTTAGGTATTTTATTCTCTTTGAAGCAATCGTGAATGGGAATTCACTTATGATTTGGCTCTCTATTACGGGTGTATAGGAATGCTTGTGATTTTGCACATTGATTTTGTATCCTGAGAATTTGCTGAAGTTGCTTATAAGCTTAAGGAGATTTTGGGCTGAGACGATGTGGTTTTCTAAATATACAATCAGGTCATCTGCAAACAGAGACAATTTGACTTCCTCTTTTCCTATTTGAATACCCTTTATTTATTTCTCTTGCCTGATTGTCCTGGCTAGACACGGAGCCCAGAAAGCTAAGATTCACTGGCATGAAATTCTCCCTACCAGCACAGCAGTCTGAAGTCAATCCGGAATGCTCGAGCTTAGTTGGGGAAGGGGCGTCCGCCATTACTGAGGCTTGAGTAGGTGGTTTTTCTCTCACAGTGTAAACAAAGCCTCCTAGAAGTTCAAACTGGGCAGAGCCCACCACAGCTAGGCAAAGTTGCTGCAGCCAGACTGTCTCTCTGGAGTCCTTCTCTCTGGGCAGGATGTCTCTGAAAGAAAGGCAGCAGCCCCTGTCAGGGGCTTATAGATAAAACTCCCATCTCCCTGGGACATAGCACCTGGGGGAAGGGGCAGCTGTGGGCGCAGCTTCAACAGAATTAAACATTCTTGCCCGTAGGCTCTGAAGAGAGCAGTGGATCTCCCAGCACAGTGCTTGAGGTCTGCTAAGGGACAGACTGCCTCTTCAAGTGGGTCCCTGATCCCCGTGCCTCCTGACTGGGAGACACCTCCCAGCAGGGGTCGACAGACACCTCATACAGAAGAACTCTGGCTGGCATATGGCGGGTGACCCTCTGGGATGAAGCTTCCAGAGGAAGGAACAGGCAGCAACCTTTGCTGTTCTGCAGCCTCCACTTGTGATAACCAGGCAAACAGGATGGGGAGTGGACCTCCAGCAAACTCCAGCAGACCTGCAGCAGAGGGGCCTGTTAGAAGGAAAACTAACAAACAGGAAGAAATGGCATCAACATCGACAAAAAGGACATCCACACAAAAACCCCATTCAAAGGTCACCAACATCAAAGACCAAAGGTAGATAAGCCCACCAAGATGAGGAAAAACCAGTGCAAAAATGCTGGAAATTCCAAAAACCAGAACACCTTTTCTCCTCCAAAGGATCAAAACTCCACAAAAGCAAGGGAACACGCCTGGACAGAGAATGAGTTTGATGAATTGACAGAAGTAGGCTTCAGAACGTGGGTAATAATGAACTCCTCCAAGCTAAAGGAGCATGTTCTAACCCAAAGCAAGGAAGCTAAGAACCTTGAAAAAAGGTTAGACGAATTGCTAACTAGAATAACCAGTTTAGAGAAGAACATAAATGACCTGATGGAGCTGAAAAACACAGCATGAGAACTTCATGAAGCATACACAAGTATCAGTCACCAAATTGATCAAGCGGAAGAAAGGATATCAGAGATTGAAGATCAACTTAATGAAAAAAAACAGGAAGACAAAATTAGAAAAAAAAAAAGAATGAAAAGGAACAAACAAAGCCTCCAAAAAATATGGGACTATGTGGAAAGACCAAACCTGGCCGGGCACAGTGGCTCACGCCTGTAATCCCAGCACTTTGGGAGGCTGAGACGGGCAGATCACGAGGTCAGGAGATCGAGACCATCCTGGATAACACAGTGAAACCCCGTCTCTACTAAAAATACAAAAAAATTAGCCGGGCGTAGTGGCGGGCGCCTGTAGTCCCAGCTACTCGGGAGGCTGAGGCAGAAGAATGGCGTGAACCCGGGAGGCGGAGCTTGCAGTGAGCCGAGATGACGCCACTGCACTCCAGCCTGGGCGACAGAGCGAGACTCCGTCTCAAAAAAAAAAAAAAAAAAAAAAAAAAAAAAAAGACCAAACCTAAGTTTGATTAGTGTAACTGAAAGTGGTGTGGAGAATGGAACCAAGTTGGAAAACACTCTTCAGGATATTATCCAGGAGAATTTCCCCAACCTAGCAATATAGGACATTCAAATTCAGGAAATGCAAAGAACATCACAAAGATACTCTTCAGGAAGAGCAACCCCAACACACGTAATTGTCAGATTCACCAAGGTTGAAATGAAGTAAAAAATGTTAAGGGCAGCCAAAGAGGAAGGTTGGGTTACCCACAAAGGGAAGCCCATCAGACTAACAGCGGATCTCTCTGCAGAAACCCTACAAGCCAGAAGAGACTGGGGGCCAATATTCAGCATTCTTAAAGAAAAGAATTTTTAACCCAGAATTTCATATCCAGCCAAACTAAGCTTCATAAGCAAAGGAGAAATAAAATCCTTTACAGACAAGCAAATGCTGAAAGATTTTTTCACCATCAGGCCTGCCTTACAAGAACTCCTGAAGGAAGCACTAAATATGGAAAGGAAAAACCAGTACCAGCAACTGAAAAAACATACCAAATTGTAAAATTCATCAACACTATGAATAAACTGCATCAACTAATGGGCAAAATAACCAGCCAGCTAGCATCATAATGACAGGATCAAATTCACACATAACAATATAAACTTGAAATGTAAATGGGCGAAATGCCCCAATTAAAAGACACAGACAGGCAAATTAGATAAAAAGTCAAGACCCTTGGTGTGCTGTATTCAGGAGACCCATCTCACGTGCAAAGACACATGTAGGCTCAAAATAAACAGATGGAGGAATATTTACCAAGCAAATGGAAAGCAAAACAACAACAACAACAACCACCCAGGGGTTGCAATCCTAGACTCTGATAAAACAGACTTTAAACCAACAAATATCAAAAAAGACAAAGAAGGGCATTACACAATGGTAAAGGGATCAATGCAACAAGAAGAGCTAAGTATCCTAAATATGCACCCAATACAGGAGCACCTGGATTCATAGAGCAAGTTCTTAGAGACCTACGAAGAGACTTAGACTTCCACACAGTAATTGTGGGAGACTTTAACACCCCACTGTCAATATTAGACAGATCAATGAGACAGAAAATTAACAAGGATATTAGGGACTTGAACTCAGCTCTGGATCAAGCAGACCTAATAGACATCTGCAGAACTCTCCACCCCAAATCAACAGAATATACATTCTTGTCAGCACCACATCACACTTATTCCAAAATTGACCACATAGTTGGAAGTAAAGCACTCCTCAGCAAAGTAAAAGAACAGAAATCACAACAAACTCTCTCTCAGACCACAGTGCAATCAAATTCGAACTCAGGATTAAGAAACTCACTCAAAACTGCAAAACAACATGGAAACTGAACAACCTGCTCCTGAATGACTAATGGGTAAATAATGAAATTAAGGCAGAAATAAATAAGTTCTTTAAAACCAATGAGAGCAAAGACACAACGTGCCAGAATCTCTGGAACACAGCTAAAGCAGTGTTTAGAGGGAAATTTATAGCACTAAATGCCCACAGGAGAAAGTGGGAAAGATCTAAAATTGACACCCTAACATCACAATTTTACTTCTTTCTTAAAATTTCTTTTTCGGTGTGTCTTCTTTTGATAAATGTCTATGTAAGGCTTCTGGCCATTTTAAAAATTGGATTATTAGGTTTATTTCCTATAGAGTTTTTTGAGCTGTTTATAATTAGGCTTATTAATCCCTTGCCAGATGAGTAGTTTTCAGATATTCTTTCCTATTCTGTGGGTTGTCTCTGCAGTTTATCTGTTTCCTTGGTTGTGCAGAAGCTTTTTAACTTGATGTGATCCCATATGTCCATTTTGCTTTGGTTGCCTGTTCCTGTAGTGTATTAATCAAGAACTTTTTGCACAGACTAATGCCCTGGAGAATTTCCCAACGTTTTCTTGAAGTAGTTTTATAGTTTGAGATCCTAGATTTAAGCCTTTAATTCACTTTGATTTGATTTTTGTATACAGGAAGAGACAGGGGTCTAGTTTTATTCTTTTGCACATGGATATCCAGTTTTCCCAGCACCATTTTTGAAGACAGTGTCTTTTTCCCAATGTATGTTATTTGCACCTTTGTTAAAAATGAGTTCACTGTAGGTGTGTGAATTTGTTTCTGGATTCTGTATTCTGTTTCATTGATCTGTGTGTCTGTTTTTATGTCAGTACAATGTTGTTTTGGTTACTATAGCTCTGTATATAATTTGAAGTTGGGTAGTGTGATTCCCCTAGATTTTTTCTTTTTGCTCAGGAGAACTTTGGCTCTTCTGAGTCTTTTGTGATTTCATATAAATTTTAGGATCGTTTTTCCTGTTTCTGTGAAGCATGTCATTGGTATTTTCATAGAAATTGCATTGAATCTGTAGATTGCTTTGGGCAGTATGGATATTTTAATAATATTGATTCTTCCTGTCCATGAACATAGAATAACTTTTCTTTTGTCTCCTCTTCAATTACTTGCATCAGTTTTTTTATACGTTTGATTGTAGGGATCTTTCACTTCTTTGGTTAAATAAGTTCCTAGACAGTTAGTTTTATTTGTGGCTATTATAAGTGGGATTTTTTTTTTTTTTTTTGAGATGGAGTCTTGCTCTGTCGCCCAGGCTATAGTGCAGTGGTGCATTCTGGGACCACTACAACCTCCGCCTCCCAGGTTCAAGCAATTCATCTGCGTCGACCACCCACATAGCTGGTATTACAGGTGCCCACCACCATGCTGAGCTAATTTTTGTATTTTTTAGTAGTGATGGGGTTTCACTATGTTGGCCAGGCTGGTCTCGAACTCCTAACCTCAAGTGATCCACCCGCCTCAGCTTCCCAAAGTGCTGTGATTACAGGGCATGAGCCGCCACACCCGGTTGGGATTACTTTTTTTTTTTTTTTTTTTTTTTTGTGACGGAGTCTCACTGTCACCCAGGTTGGAGTGCAGTGGCGCGATCTCGGCTCACTGCAAGCTCCGCCTCCCGGGTTCACCCCATTCTCCTGCCTCAGCCTCCCAAGTAGCTGGGACTACAGGCACCTGCCACCACACCCCGATAATTTTTTGTATTTTTAGTAGAGACAGGGTTTCACCACATTAGCCAGGATGGTCTCGATCTCCTGACCTCATGATTCGCCCACCTCGGCATCCCAAAGTGCTGGGATTACAGGCGTGAGCCACCGCGCCCGGACCCGGCTGGGATTACTTTTTAAATTCTTTTTTCAGATTGTTCACTGTTGGCATGTAGAAATGCTACTAATTTTTGTATGCTGCTTTTGTATCCTGCAACTTTATCAAATTTGTTTATCAGTTCTAATAGTTCTTTGGTAGAGTCTTGAGGTTTTTCCAAATATAAAATCATATCATCTGCAACAAGAATAATTTGATTTCTTCCTTTCCAATTTGGATGTCCTCTATTTATTTCTCTTGTCTGATTACTCCTCCTTTATTTTTTGGAATACTTTGAATAGAATTAGTATTAGTTCTTCTTTCCATGTTTGGTAAAATTTAGCAGTGAAGGCATTGGGTCCCCAGCTTTTTTTTTACTGGAAGACATTTTAGTATGGTTTCAATCTTGTTAATTGTTTTTGGTCTGTTTGGATTTTGGAATTCTTCATGGTTTCATCTTGGTAGGTTCTATGTGTCTAGGAATGTATCTATGTTTTCTAGATTTTCCAATTTATTGGCATATCATCATTCATAGTAGCCGTGATGATTTTTTGAATTTGCATTACCATTTTAATGTTTCCTTTTTCATCTCTGATTTTATTTATTTGGGTCTTTTTTTATTTTTTTATTTTATTATTATTATACTTTAAGTTTTAGGGTACATGTGCACAATGTGCAGGTTAGTTACATATGTATACATGTGCCATGCTGGTGTGCTGCACCCATTAACTCACCATTTAGCTTTAGGTATATCTCCTAATGCTATCCCTCCCCCAGGCCCCACCCCACAACAATCCCCAGAGTGTGATGTTCCCCTTCCTGTGTCCATGTGTTCTCATTGTTCAATTCCCACCTATAAGTGAGAACATGCGGTGTTTGGTTTTTTGTCCTTGCACTAGTTTACTGAGAATGATGATTTCCAATTTCATCCATGTCCCTACAAAGGACATGAACTCATCATTTTTTATGGCTGCATAGTATTCCATGGTGTATATGTGCCACATTTTCTTAATCCAGTCTATCATTGTTGGACATTTGGGTTGGTTCCAAGTCTTTGTTATTGTGAATAGTGCTGCAATAAACATACGTGTGCATGTGTCTTTATAGCAGCATGATTTATAGTCCTTTGGGTATATACCCAGTAATGGGATGGCTGGGTCCAATGGTATTTCCAGTTCTAGATCCCTGAGGAATCGCCACACTGACTTCCACAATGGTTGAACTAGTTTACAGTCCCACCAACAGTGTAAAAGTGTTCCTATTTCTCCACATCCTCTCTAGCACCTGTTGTTTCCTGACTTTTTAATGATTGCCATTCTAACTGGTGTGAGATGGTATCTCATTGTGGTTTTGATTTGCATTTCTCTGATGGCCAGTGATGGTGAGCATTTTTTCATGTGTCTTTTGGCTGCATAAATATCTTCTTTTGAGAAGTGTCTGTTCATGTCCTTTGCCCACTTTTTGATGGGGTTGTTTGTTTTTTTCTTGTAAATTTGTTGGAGTTCATTGTAGATTCTGGATATTAGCCCTTTGTCAGATGAGTAGGTTGTGAAAATTTTCTCCCATGTTGTAGGTTGCCTGTTCACTCTGATAGTAGTTTCTTTTGCTGTGCAGAAGCTCTTTAGTTTAATTAGATCCCACTTGTCAATTTTGGCTTTTGTTGCCATTGCTTTTGGTGTTTTAGACATGAAGTCCTTGCCCATGCCTATGTCCTGAATGGTAATGCCTAGGTTTTCTTCTAGTGTTTTTATGGTTTTAGGTCTAACATTTAAGTCTTTAATCCATCTTGAATTAATTTTTGTATAAGGTCTAAGGAAGGGATCCAGTTTCAGCTTTCTACATATGGCTAGCCAGTTTTCCCAGCACCATTTATTAAATAGGGAATCCTTTCCCCATTGCTTGTTTTTCTCAGGTTTGTCAAAGATCAGATAGTTGTAGATATGCGGCGTTATTTCTGAGGGCTCTGTATTTCGGTCTTCTATATTTTTTCCTAATCTGGCTAAAGATTTACCAATTTTCTTTTTCTTTTTCTTTTTCTTTTTTTTTTTAAGACAGAGTCTCGCTCTGTTGCCCAGGCTGGAGTGCAGTGGCGCGATCTCTGCTTACTGCAAGCTCCGCCTCCCGGGTTCATGCCATTCTCCTGCTTCAGCCTCCCGAGTAGCTGGGACTACAGGTGCCTGCCATCATGCCCGGCTAATTTTTTGTATTTTTAGTAGAGATGGGGTTTCATCATGTTAGCCAGGATGGTCTCCATCTCCTGACGTCGTGATCCGCCTGCCTTGGCCTCCCAAAGTGCTGGGATTACAGGCATGAGCCACTGCACCTGGCCCCAATTTTCTTTGTCTTTACAACTTAACACTGTTTGTATAAACAAACGAAAAAACAAAAAGAAAACTCATAAAAACTCTACAATTTAATTTATCCTCCTACATTTTAACATTTTGTTATTTCTCTTTATGTCTTATTGTACGATGTCTTGAAAAGCTGTTGTAGTTATTTATTTTGATTGGTTCATCATTTATTCTTTCTCCTTAACCCAAGAGTAGTTTACACTCCACCATTACAACGTTATATTATTCTCTGTTTTTCTATATGGTTATTATAACCAGTGCCTTTTTTGTGCCTTCAGATGATTTCTTCTTTCTTACTAGCATTTCTTTCTTTCAGATTGAAGTATTCCCTTTAGCATTGCTTTCAGAGACAGGTCTCATGTTGATTAAATCCCTCAGCCTTTGTTTGTATGGGAAAGTCTTATTTTTCCTTCATGTTTGATGGATATTTTGTGGGGATATATTATACTAGGGTAATTTTCTTCCCCTTCAGCACTTTAAATATGTCATTCCACTCTTTCCTGGCCTGTAAGGTTTCCACTGAAAAGTCGGCTATCAGACATATTGGAGCTCCATTGTATGTAACATGTTTATTTTCTTTTTCTGCTTTCAGGATCCTTTTCAAATTGTTGACCTTTGGAAGTTTGATTATTAAATGCCTTAGGAAGTCTTGTTTGGGTTAAATCTGCTTGGTGTTGTATTACATTCTTGTACTTGAATATTAATATATTTCTTTAGGTTTGGGAAGTTATCTAATATTATCCCTTTGAATAAACTTTCTACTCATTGCATAGGGCCCTCCTTTTCAGGGCAGTGGTTTCCCTCAGGTCCCAGGCATATGCAAAGATGCTGTCTGGGAACCAGGGATTGGAGTCAAAAACCTTAGCAGTTTACCTGATGTTCTATTCTACTGTAGCTAAGCTGGCACTCAAGCAACATAGTCCTTCCAGTTCTCCCCTTCTTTTATAACAAGCAGAGGAGCCTCTGCCCATTGCCTTCATCACCATTGGTTAATGAGGGGTTCTGTGAGGCCACTGCCAATATTTACTCAAAGCCCAAGGGCTCTTCTGTCAGCTTTTGGTGAATGCTGCCTGGCCTAGGATTCACCCTTCAGGCTAGTGGGCTCCCATCTGGCCCAGGGCAGGTCCAGAAATGTTGTCCAAAAGTCTATGCCTGGACTTCAGGACTCCGAGAGCTTACTTGTTTCTCTATCCCACCATGGTTAAGCTGGTACCTAAGGTGCAAGAGAAAGTCCACTTTACTCTTCCCTTTGCTTTTCTCCAACAGGAGTCCTTCACCATAGCCACAAGAGCTGGGAATGTGTTGGGTCACTCCTGAAGCCATCACATCTCAGAGCCCAAGGCCCACAGTGTACACCTTGGGTACCACTGCTGGTTATTCAAGGCCCAAGGGTTCTTTAGTCAGCAGGTGATTAATTTTGACAGGAATGGTTCTTTCCCTTCAAGGCAATAGGTTCCCTTTTGGCACAGGGTGAGCCTAGAAATGTCCAGGAACAAGGACCTGGAATGGGAACCTCATGATTCTTCCTAGTGCCCTATACTGCTGTGCCTGAGCTGGTATTCAAGATGCAGGACAATACCTTCTTTACTCTTTGCTCTCCTCCCTTTAAGCAGATGAAAGGAGTCACTTTTGTTGCTGCAAGCAGCACTGCCTGGGGTTGGGGCATGGCTAATGCAAGCACTCCCTTAGCTGCAACAGCTGATGTCTTCCTATGTTATGTGTCACTCTGGTCTACTGGCTCTTAGCCCATCCCAGCACTAGGAGTCGCCTAGGAATTTCAGTCCTTATGTCCTAGACTGCCTTCAAGATTACCTAGGACCCCAAAGCACAGTGGCAAAGCTTGCCCAGAAACTCAAGTTTTGACTGCTGGAATAGGCAATTCCCCTCTGCCTTGGGCTGGTCCAAATGCCCCCTCCATGAACCAGCACTAGCTGAGTCCAGCGCAGATTTATTTTCCAATGGGACAAGGCAGTAGCGAGTTCAATGTAAAGCCCCCAAGTTTCTGTTCTCTCTCTCTCCCCAAAGTGCAAAGATTTCTTCTCTGTGCTGCATGGCCATTGCCAGGGGTAGGGTTGGGGTGGCACTGGTGATTCAAGACTCTCTCTCCTGTCGCTCTCAATGCCTCTTTTGGTGATGTGAAGTTAGAACCATGTACTGTGATTGCTCACCTGATTTTTGGTTCTTGTGACAGTGCTTTTCTGTGTGTATATAGTTGTTAAAATGTGGTGTTCCAGCGAGAGGGATGAATGATGTAGGCTTCTAATCTGCCATATTGCTCTTTCCTGATTTCTATTTCTTTGTTAAAGTTCGCATTTTGTTCATGTATTGTTTTCCTGATTTCATTTGGCTGTATATCTGTGTTCTCTTGTGTTTTGTTGAGCTTATTTTGAATTATTAAAAATTATTTTTAATTCTCTGTCAGGCAATATGTAGAACTCAGTTTCTACTGGGTCAATTGCTGGAGACTTACTAGTCCTTTAGTGTTGTTTTGTTTGTCTCATTTTTCATGATCTGTGTAGCCTTTCATTTGGTGTCTGTGCATTTGAAAGTGCAAATACCTCTTCCAGTTTTTACAGACTGGTTTGGGAAGGTAAAAAAGTTCTTCTAGTTCTTCTTTTGGCTCTTTGCATTGATGGGGTTATCTCTTGTATCACATTTGAATGAGGATGGAGCTGAGGGGTTCTTGGGCAGGAAGGACTACCCCTGGACCATGGCTGAGCAGTTCTGGAATAAAGTCACTGAGCTGCTTCAGGGTCCACACCGAAGACCAAGTTCTGCAGATCTGCCTCAGATGGCACAAATGGCATGCTTCCTTCTGGGTCCCTGTGTAGGCAGAAATGTTCCTGAACCACAGCTGAAAACACCTGTATCCAGGTTACAGGGCCAGTTGAAGACCTACAGCCTGACTGCAGTTGGTGTGTCTGCCTACTGGGACACAGATGGATGTGGCTTCTAATGGGTTCCCAGGAAGACAGGACTACACTGGGGCCATGGCACAGAGTAGCTAGAACCAGGTAACAGGACCTGTTTAAAATCTGTTGTTGGACCAAGTTCTGCAGGTTTCACTCTGGGGACACAGACAGGCATGTCTCCTGATGGGTCTCTCTGAGGGTAGGATTCCTCTTGGACCACAGCTAGGATGGTCAAAAGCTGGGTTGCAGGGACTCTTTAAGATCTATGACTGGACCAAAATCTACAAGTCTGTCTCTGGGGACATGAACTGGTATATTTCCTAGCAGGTCCCTGAGTGGGCAGAACTACATCCAGATAGCAGCAAAAAAAACACTGGACTCAGATTACAGGGCCATCTCAAGATCTTCAGGTAGACCAAAGCCAGTAGTTCTGCCTCCAGGAACACAGATGGATGTGTCTCCTTCCATGTCTTTTGCAGGTACTGCTAATTGCAGGACCAATGCCAAATGAGGCTTTGACTAAATCCACAAGGGAATGGGGCTGTTTCTCAGCTTATGGCCAAAAGAATATTGAGCCTTCCCCTAGGTATGGTCTTGTCCTCTCAAAATGAATCTCCTCAGTCATGCTCCACTGGGGTTGTGCAAGCCCTTACTTGAATACCAAACCTCCCACAAAAACATTTTTTGTCTATGAATGGCTGCCAACTTATTATTGCTGTGGGGGAGAGATAAGCAGGGGCTATTTTGCTATTTTATTTCCTTTAATCAATAATAACTTGACCTTTTAAAAATTTCATCTTATTTATGTTATTAAAAATAGAGTAATCTGTCTTGTAGAATTTCCCACATTTTGGATTTGACTGATTGCTGAGAGTATCATGTAACTTTTAATTATATCATCAAATTTCCAGTAAACTGATAGTTAAAGGCTTGGTGAACTTTAGGTTAATTTTGTGGTTGATGCTATTCTTCTTGCATTACATCAGAAGGCACACGATAGTTCATGGCTATACTTTAAATGATGCTACAACTGATCAATGGAATCAAGTTTGTTAGTCTCTTTCTTCATTTAAATTCTCCCAACAACGTTTCAACTCATGGTTTGAACAGCTATTAATGGTAAGTGTCTGGATGTAGTATTTCATTGAAGGTTGCTAAATGGTGATTTCTTATTTTATTATTTCCTCTGCATTTATGAGATGAAATTGTTATTTAGAGATAGCTGTCCCTCATCAACTATTTGTTTACATTGAACTTTGTCCATACAGGAAAGACAGAATAGATATTTGAATTTTTTCTTACTAATTTTCAAAATAATCATATTCAATGGTGACCCAATAAATTGTTTTAGTGTAATTACAAACTCAAATGATCTTATCTTTGATTATTTGGAGTCCTTTAAATTGGCTTCTTTGTTTCTTTGACATGATTGTAGGTCTTGATAACTTCTTGCATTCAAGTACAATATGTCCAAATCTTGCACATTTACATTCCCTGCCCAAATATAGGTTCAGCTATTTTTCTTAGGAATCTTGGATCCTTTAAAGTATAAATGGCACTTAGAGATCAGAATATCCCTGATATTCTGATATTTAGTGCCCATATGGGCACTAAAGGTACTAATTGCTACTGAGTTGCCGTTGCTTTTAGTTACTTTCAGTGGACAGTGCTAAAAATATGTAATTTTTTACAAGGGGAAAATAAATCATATTTCTCTACATATCTTTCCAATGTAAATTAAAGATTATGGTTTTTAATTAACCCTATTTAAACTAATGTTATATTTGTATCTCTTTTCTTCTATCCTGAACATCTTGGATCATTGTAATACTAACATAGTGTTTGTTCTCTCACTCACTCTATATAGCAGCTGATTAATTTCATATCTCCTCCACTTTCCTTATCAGGTCTCTCACACTCTGGGACTACTATGCACCCATGCTAATCATCTTGGGGCTGGATACCAGACAACTGGAGACAGCCCCTATGTCCTGGTGCTTGAGAAATTATTCAAATTATCCAACCTGCAGCAAGTATATGAAACCTAGCTAACCTCATCTCTCTTGCCATACACAAGCTGCCCACTACAGATTCAGCTTGCTCTTAGCCTATCCTGAGCTAACTCCCTGTGCGGCACTGCATAGGGAGTTCTCTCTTTTGGCCCAGTAAGTAACAGGGACTTCTGCCTTTCAACTATTCAAGTGTCATCATGTTGAGTACTATCAACAAAATAATTTTTAGATCTTATAAAACTAACTCTCTCTGAGGTTCAAAATAACACCAATATGACTATTCTGATTGAGATAAATAAATAAATTGTAGGTATCTTTGTGGTTATTTTGTTTTTAGAATAATTCCCAGTAGGGAAGTTCAGCCTAAATACTGTGTTTTTCAAAATTCATCCCATGAAATAATTTTTGTAAGGTTATGTCAATAATTTGATATATAATTAGGCTAATATGTTACAGCTTGCTTTAATTTTAGGAATGGCTTTGCTTTTTAAAAAATATTTTTCTCTTTAAATTATGTAATGTAATTATGTATTTGCAAATTTAAATATATAAAACAAGATATATTAAGGGAAGTATACCTTTGATAATTGCTGCCAAACTCTCTCCCATTCTGTCTTTTCACTATACGTTACCTTTTTTTTACTAGTTCTTGGTTTCTTATCTCATTATTTCTTTATGAACAAGTGTATATGTACATTTACACACATGCATGTACACATATTATTTTCCTTACCTTTTTTCTCATTAAAGGTATAACACTATGCACACTCTTCTACACCTTGCTTTCATAATTAATATTTTTATGAAGATGACTTCATACAATATAGATCCATTGTTCTCATTCTTTTTTAAAAAAATAAACTTTATAGTTTAGAACACTTTGAGATTTACAGAAAAATTGCAAAGCTGGAACGGATCGTGCTTTTATACCATGCACCCACTTTCTTCTATTGTTAATATGTTTGTTGCCATTAATAAATACAAATTGAGAAGTTATCACTAATGAAAATCCATACTTTATTCAGATTTTCTTCATTTTTATCTATTGTCTTTTTTCTTTTCCAGGATACCATATTTCATTTAGTTGTCATTTCTCCTTAAACTTCTCTTGGTTGTGATAGTTTCTTAGATTGTCTTTGTTTTTGATGACCTGGACCATTTTGAAGGCTACTAGACAGGTAAAGAATGTCTCTCTCTTGAGATTTGTCTGATGTTTGTCTAATGATTGACTGTGTTGATGTACATTTTGGAGGAACATCATAGAGGGAAAGCACCAATTTTATGATATCATATCAAGGTACACAGTGTCAGCATGACTTATCGCAGTTTATATTGACCTTAATCACCTGCCCAAGGCAGTTTTTGACAGATGTCTCCACTGTAAAGCTACTTTTTCCCCTTTTACACACTAATTTTTGGAAGAAAAACATTTAGCATAGCTTACCCTTGGAGTGAAGGGATAGGCTCTATTTCCTTGGGAGCTTAGGATCTGCATAAATTATTTGAAATTCTTTTGCATGGGAGAGTTGTCTCTTCTCCCCCATTTAAAAATGATTTACTCCATCATGTATTTACATTGGTGTAGGCTCATGCATGTTTGTTTTATACTTTGGATTATAATCAGATACTATTTTATTTATTTTGTTGCTCACATTGCCTTATGTTTGGCCGTTGGAAGCACTTTTAGTTGGTTTTTGTCCTTTTAAAATACATCAAAGGAGTGGGTTTTACTTATTTGAGCATTCCCCTACTTTTTGGGACAATGAGATACCCCAGCTTCATTTTATATCTTTCCTGCCCCAGTTATAGAATCAGCCATTTCTCCAGTGAGCCCTGTTGCCTTTTATTGGAGAACGGTATTAGAAATCAAAATCTGGGCACAAGATTGTTATTTGCATGTCATTGCTTCTCAGCCCTTTCAGCTTAGAGAACAAGGAGCTATATGTGGGTATATTAGCACATTTACATATACATATTCATGAATCCTTCTATATATAATCATCTTCATCTATATTATTTCATACCGTTGTCTCCAACTTCCTGAATTACCACATGGTTAATTCCAGCTTCCTCCTCTTACTTATCTTTATATTTTCACTAATGTTGGGAGTTTAATAACAAATCTGTTAATCCCAGGAAATCAGCTTTATGGATAAGAGTACAATGCTTATGGACAGTTATTTTTTTTAAACTTTACTTGACAGAATCCATTCATTTCTGGGGTTATATTTAGTCAACACTACTTTTCCCCAACTCCTTTCATGAGATTGTTTCATATATTTTTAATACACTTGGATGGCTTTGTCAGTCGGCATTTTATGCTGCGATTCCCTGACCTCTAAAGTAATTATTTTTAGGGCTCACTTTTTGTATTATAAAGTTGTGTGGGGTTTTGACATAGTGTAATATCGTGTAGCAACTCTTATACTATCATGCAGAATAGTTTTACCTCTGTTAAAAGAAAAATGTTCCCTTCACATCTGGTAATCAGTGACCTATTTCATGGCTTTATAGTTTTGTCTTTTCCAGAATGTTATAAAATTGGAATTGTACAGTGTATTAGTCCATTTGCATTGATATGAAGGAATACCTGAGACTGGGTAGTATATAAATAAAAGAGATTCATTTTGGATTATGGTTCTGCAGGCTATACAGGAAGCAGGGTATGACATCTGCTCCTAGTAAAAGCCTCAGGAAGCTTCCGCTTGTGGCAGAAGGCAAAGGGGAAACCGGTATATCACATGGCAAGTGCAAGAGCAAGAGAGAAACAGGAAGATGGTGCCATACTTTTGTAAACAATCAGGTCTTGTGTGAACTCAGAGCAAGAACTCAGTCATTACCGTGAGGAGGGCACCACACCATTCATGACGGGTCCACTTCCATGACCCAAACACCTCCCACCAGGCCCCACCTCCATTGGGGATTACATTTTAACATGAGATGTGGAGGAGAAACATCTAAACCATATCATTTTTACCCCTTGTCCCCCAAATCTCATGTTCTTCTCACATTGAAAAATGATCTTGATTACTTCCAGGTTTTAGCAATTATGAAGGGGTTTCTGTTAACGTTTGTGAAGAGGTTCTTGTATAGACACAGGTTTGCGATTCAGTTAGATAAATCCTTAGAAGTGTGATCATTGGATCATATAGTAAGAGTGAAACTGGTGAAGTTAATTTTAATAATATATTTTACTTAACTCAATGTATCCCAAATATCTTCATTTCAGCATATAATTCGTTTAGAAATAATCAATAAGATGCATTCCATTATTTTTTTGTACAAGGCCTTTGTAATCCAGGGTGTATTTTGTAGCCTCAACACATTTCAATTTGGACTATTCACAATTTAAGTGTTCAATAGCCACATACGGTTAGTGGCTACTGTCCTGGTAGGAATGCTATGGGCTATAATTTTTTTAAGCTTATAGAGAATGTTGGAAGAGAGAGATTCTATTTTTAATTCTGCTGGCAATGTTATAAGTTTCTTACATTTTTACTTTAATCTATAGCTCTCAAATTATTAATGTCAAAAACAATTTGTGAATGTCCTTATACATTTTGAGGAGTTAGTATTTTTATATTGCTCTCAATTCTAATTCTCCAATTTTTATTAATTTAGTCTAGACTTATGGTTCCAATCTGTTATTGCTGACATTTTAGCCACATAAAATACATTTTAATACTAGTTTTTGGCTTTTATTTATAATTTTGGTTTCTCACACCCTATACTTTCATGAGGGTGTCAAAATTACCTCAGTCTTTTTTTGTTGTATCACAGTGAGGCACTTATACAAGATTTTTAGAATAAGGGAGTATGATATATTATATTAACCCCTAACGAGCATCCTATGGTAAACTCATTTTTGTTTCTATTTTTGTTGTGTGCCATTTCTCCAATTATTCATTTTTATTTTTAATTATTGTGGGTACATAACAGGTATATTTATTGATGAGGTATATGTGATGTTTTGATACAGCATACAATATATAATAATCATACCAGGATAATTAGGGTATCCATCACTTTAAGTATTTGAAATTTCTTTGTGTCAGGAACATTCCATTTCCACTCTTTTAGCTATAATAAAATATACAGTAAATTACTGTCAACTGTAGTCGTCCCTTCATGCTATCAAATACTAGATCTTATTCATTCTATCTAACTATATTTTTGAGCCCATTAACCACCCACAGTCCTGTCACCTTAGCTTTTCTTTCCAGCCTGTGGCAACCATGATTTTACTCTATCCATGAATTCAATTGTTTTAATTTTTAGCTCCCACATATGCCACTTCTCCAATTCTTATTAGGGGCATGTGTTTCTTACTCAACGAGCACAATTATTTTCTTCTTGTGACGGCTTTTCTCAAGAAAATTGTAATAAATGTCATTGTAAGATATCCAGCAAAATTTTTTAGTTTAATCATCATTGCTAGTTTCTAGAAAACTTTTGATGGAGTTTTTTTTTTATTTTTTATTTGTATTTTTGTAGCTAGGTAATTGGTACAGAACTGTACAATGGTTTAGGCCTATTACAAAGTCATACTTCTTGTAGTTGTTAGAATAAATTTTTTTCTTTGAAAAGTGGTTTTATACAGCATGCCATTTTCTTCCATGAATTAACAATTTAGCTTTTGTGTTAACAGAAAACCTTATTAATCCAACATTGCTTTATTTAGGATAGCAAAAGGACTGCCAGTCCCTTGATATCTAGATGCTGTTATTGCATTTAAAAATTTAGATAATCTCAAGAAAGTTAATTGCAATTCTGTTCCCCCACCCTTCTTTGGTCCCCTGTGTTAAGAATTAATAAGATTTTTACCGCGTTATTTTAGCATTTTTCTGATATCAAAATTAAGCTTATAAAATTGTCATTTCTTGGGTAACTCTTTTTTAATTTTAAGTGATAATAGTTTTCTGATTATTATCAAATGTTCTACTTGTTCTCCATGACGTCTTAAATGATGACCAATAACTATATACATAATTTTATGAATTTACGTCTTTGTTTAATTAAATGTATTTTTACAATGTTACCAAAAAGATAAATTAGGAAGTACTTATTTTCTTTCAAATCTATTGTTCTCTTTACAGAAAGGGTCACTACAGATTTTCTTTAAGCGGCACACACACCTCATGCCAGAATGCTGAAATACGGATTATCTGGGCATGTTTTCACTGAGAAAGGCAGAGCAAATGATGGAGGAGAGAGAGTAAAACATAAAGGAGGTAACTGGTAACTGGAGAAGGGGAGGAATCGAAAACATAGCAAAGGGGGTCTTAGCTTAGCAATTAGGAGCTCCATTTTTTCTATAAATACCTTTAACCTTTAGATGATTAATAGTTAGCAAAGCCTGACTGGCACTAACTTAGGAAAATTAAAGACTTCCATATTTATGGATAAGATCCTGACAAACTCAGAAACATCTATGCCCTTTTGCCACCTCACTTGTGATCACTATGAAAAGCTAAAATAGTGTAGAAATATACCTGAGCTTAGAAATTAGGAAAGAGTAACATTCAAGTGCTAGCCCTGAGCTTGCATCCCACCACAGTTCACTGTGTATTAAGAAAAATTAATGAAATGAAATCAGTACCTAGATCCAAGCAGGACACATTTCTGAATGTTATGGATTTAAAAGATGGCAGGAACATTCAGGCTAAAATATGGTAACAAGCCAAAACAAAAACATTCCATGTGGATTACAAAAGCCAACTGGACTTCAAACTTCTCTCAAACATTAACCTTAAAATAAAATCTATGTAGGTTTGTCTAGCTAATTTGTCCACTTCTGTAGGACACAGAGATGACTGTTCAGTTATGAAAGCACACAGACGGTAGAAAAATCATGTGCCTTATTGAAAATTTTCTTGAGGCATTCAGTAATTGAGCAGTAAGATGATTTGAAACCTCAAAAAGTAAAATTGTCATAATTATTGACATCAGTTAAATATAAAATTCATATTATTTCCAACTAATTTTATTTTTATTAACTTATTATAGGCATAACATGAACAAAAATCACTGCAAAACACTCATAATAAAAAGCAGCAGTGTTTCCTAACCTCATAGTCCCTTTCCTGGAGATAGCTACTTTCCATTCTTGAGACTGTTTCTTTTGGTGTTTTAATCCACATTTCTTTATACCATGCTTATACCTCCATTTCTTAAATTATGAAATTGAGACACTATGTATTGGCTTTCTTTTATTAGAGCTGAATTATCAACTTCGTTTTCTTTTCTCCTATCTTTCTACTAGAATGATACCACATTTTAATTAAGCATACAAATTTTGTTATTTAGCATACAAAGTTTATTCTTCATTTGGTTAACTAATTTATACATTATAATTATGAAAATATAATTCTTGAGCCAAGTAGTGTACAATGATTATTTTTTCTTTATCATACAAATATTGTTTTCCTGGAATTAAGAATTATTCCATTATTTAACTCTTAGTTTTCTATATAGTATATTTTCCCTAAGACTTGATCTGTCAGAAGACTCACAATAAATTTTCCTAATATATATACATATTTCTTTCCTTTTCCTGTATTATTAGGATTATTGTCATTATCACTATTATTTTAATCACAGAGGCAGGCGTTCCTTCTTCACCTTTTTTATTTTCTCCTAGAGTTTGTGCTGGATTTTTACTTGTCTTACTTCACAATGTAGTCCTGAGAGTTTTTGTGTTATTTTGTTTCTAGCACCACGTCCTTCTGTATGCTTTGCTCTCTTGTTTTGCTAAATGCGCCTTCCAGGAACTTCCAAAGAGTCTTTGAGAGATATATTTTTGGATTCTTGCAGTCTAACATTGAGATCATTCTATCTTCTTTTCTTATTTATAATTTGATTGAATGGAGAATTATACACTGAAAATCACTTTTTTCTTAGAATCTTGAAAATATTGCTCTGTTTTATTTTGGTATTAAGAATATTGTTTACTTTCTGGCTCCTATCACTTTCTGTTTTTTCCTGTGGAACTTTTAGGATGTTCCTTATCCTTTATTCTGAAATTTTACAATGATAAGTCTTTGTGAGAGGGTTGACTACTAAATAATGTGCAGGTATAGGAAATAGGTTTACTGTTTAACAGCAGTGTATACATATTTTTAACTAATTCTTCTATTTTATGTCCCACATTCTGTGTACCTATGTGAGTCTGGAGATTCTACAGTACTAATGCAGTCAAATATTACAATTATTTCCCCATCGTAGGCAGTTAGTAACATGTCAGTTAGTACTCCTCCTTTGGGTTTTTGACATCTCAAATATATTTATATCTCAAATTTACTCCAGTTTTCATTGTCTTTTATGTTAATACTGGTTTAGGTCCTTTAGTATCATTTTGGCAGGGTCTATCTTGTGAGTAGAGATGACTACATGTTGTCAATTTACCATTATTAATAGAAAATAAGGCTGATTCATGGTTGACAAATCTGATTACAGAGTAACACATAAAAATAAAACTTATAGTTCAAAGAAATAATTTAAATCAAAATATTAAATGATAATAAACTGGGTATAAATTACTGATTATATAAAAATAATTTGGGACAAAAGAAATGGGTACGTTTTTCTTATGTTTTCATATTTAACAAAGGAATTCATTAGATATGGATTTATATACAATATTGATATATAAGGAAACACTTGTTCAAGTATGTTTGTAATAGTAGAAAGAATGAAACTTTCCAAATACTGGAAAGTTGCTTTATAAAATTCAAATTATATTTTTGGCAAAATACTTTTAGTAAATAAAGAGTAATAGGATAAGATGTCGTAGTCTGGCTTTGAAGTGATTTGTGGCATATCTATGCACCTGCCAATAACAATTGGAATTGCTGGAAAAAAGTTAATATGGAGACATTGGAAGGCTATGTTTCTGAGGCAACTAGGACTTGAAGGAATAAAATCTTGAAAAGAATGGAGCCATTGACAGGTGATAATTTTTATGTGCATTGTTCATAAATTAAGAAAATATTATCTATGATTATAAAAATTAGTGTAAAGAGAAAAAATGGTAATAGAAAGAGATCCACATGTGTACTAGATACCAGATTTTTCAGAAATAAATGTTAAAATAGTCATGATTAATACATTCATGAAAATAGATGACAAGACTGAGACTTCTATCGAGAATTATATTATATAAATACAAATGTTAAGGGAAAATCTGGTACTGAATAAAATCAATAATTAAAATGTAGAAGTCAATATTCATGCATTTTTGGTCAGGTTCCCAAGAAACAAATATTGAAATGAGTGCAACTGATTTGTGTGCAACTGACTTATTAGAAGATATTTCCAGGAAAAAATATTGACATGAGAGTGAGAAAGTGGGACCAGGAAGGAAAGGAAACCTTTCTTTTCCAAGGGTGAGGTGTCAATTAAAATCACTCAGAGGAATTCTAGAGAAAGTGTAGATGACATGTGAATTCTGCTCCTATCAGAAGTAAGAGAACAGAAGTGTTTATATCTTATATTCCTCTACTTTTCAATTCTTGTTTAAGGGTTTACCTCAGGGGGATGAAAACACCAGCTATGCAGAAAAGATGTCTAAAGAAGCTTGAGGGCAGTCCTGTAACTAAGAGATAAAGGTGCTAGATGTATGCATATACAAATGGTATCTATTAAATACATTTATTAGCATATTAGACATGGCAGAATAGATGATTATAGATAGAAAGCTAAGTCAGTAGAATATATTTATATTGAAGCACATATATATACAGTAATAGGTAATATGAAAAAATACAGAACTTAATAAAAGTTACTAAAATAAATATAATTGGAGGCCCAGACTGGGGAGAAAGATAATATAGAACAGAAAAAATATTTGAAATGTAAACAGCTAAGAATCTCCAAAACTGACAAAAAACAATAAATAAGAGATTCAAAATATTCTAAGAATGGCAGGCAGGAAATATACAAGGAAGGATACATAGAAGCCTAATAATGAAACTTGAAAACTGATGACAAAAGAAAATCTTAACAGCTAGATTAAAAAGGAAGCATTAACTTCAAAGGAAAAGGAATCAAATGGATTACTGACATCTAAATAGTTATAATAGAAGCTAAAGGCCGTGGAATGACAACTCAAACAGGCTAAAATTAAACAGGTGTCAACTTAGAATTTTAGACCTAGCAAAATTATCCTTCAAGACAGAAGGCCAAATAAAGAAATTTCCAAGGAAGAGGGGGAAATAACGTGAGATAATTTTCCACCCATATACCCACCATAAAATAAATACAAAAGAAGTTCAGGCAGTAAGAATATGTAACCAAACAAACCACTATAAGACAGGAAGAAAGGAGCAAAAATTAAATGGCAAACAGGCAGGCAAATATGACTAAATATTGATGGGATGAAATAGTTATCATGATACTTTTAAGGTACTTAAATACATACTGCAATAAAAGGCATGGAAAGTAACAGAAAACGCAGGCAAGTTGTATTTTTAAGGTTTTGTTATTTTCTGGAAAGTAGTAAATGTACTATGTTAGAGGATGATAAATCAAGGATGCATTTTGAAATCACTAAGCTGTCCAATATACTAGCCACTAGTTGTGGATGACTGGTGAGTACTTACACTGACCAATATACTAGTCACTAATCGTGTACAACTGTTGAAATATGACTAGACCAAATTGGGATGTGCTTTAAGTGTAAAAGAATGTAAAATATCTTATTAATGATTTTATACTGATTATAAGTCACTGCAATAGTATTTTAGGATTATTGTGCTAAATAAAATCTATTGTTAAAATTTATTTATTTTTTCTCTTTACTTTTTTAATGTGACTACTAGAAACTTTTAAATTACATAGGTGACTTGCCTCATATTTCTTTTCGTTTTCTTTTTTTGAGATAGGATCTACTTCTGTCACTCAGGTTGGAGTGCAGTGGTGCTATCATGGCTCACTGCAGCCTCAACCTCCTGGGCTTAGGAGATACTCCCAGTTTAGCCTTCCAAGTAGCTGGGACTACAGGCATACACTAGAGATGGGGTTAGCCATGTTGCCCAGGATGATCTCAAACACCTGGGCTCAAACGATCCTCCTGCCTCAGCCTCTCAAAGTGCCGGGATTATATGTGTGAGCCACCACACCTGGCCAATGTGGCTTACCTTGTATTTCTATTTGACAGTGCTGCTTCAAGGTGATTACTAAAGGAATGCTTAAAACATATAATTAATATGTTAAATATAAATTAGAATGGAAATAGCATATAATATAAATACAAAAGAAAGGACAAATTAGAGAAACGGGAATAAAAACGTAAGTTAAATAGAAAATAAATGGTAAGATGGTAGATACAGATAAATCAGTAATTAAATAAAGTATAAGTGGATTAAATAATCAAGTTTAAAACAGAAGAAGTATGTGTGGATAACAATGCAAAATCTAAATACTTGGTAACCAACTTAAACATATAAACATAGAAATAAAAACATTATGTTTCACAGGTTACAAAATGATGAAGAATCTGTACAATACAAATAGTAATGGAAAGAAGGCAAGTGTAGTCATATTAATATTAGACAATAAGTCACTAAGTATGACTAGTAATAAGAAGTGACTTCAAAATAATGAGGTTGATTAGCAGAAAAATAAAAATTATGAATTGTGTGCATTAATTACATAATTTCAAAATACATTAATAAAAGTGACAGAAATAAAAAATAAATATTCAATTAAGAATGCAACATTACTATTTCCATAACTGATAGAAAACCAAATACAAAATCAACAAGCATATAGGTCTGAAAAACATAATTTAATGATACAATTACAAATTACATATGTAAAGGAATATATATGTATATATGTGTATGTGTGTATTTCTCTGAATATGGAACATTTAAAAAAAACTTTATTATAATTGTTAGTCCATGAAAGATTATTTTTAAAATTTCAAAATAGAAACTCATTTCCTGATAGATTCTTTGACCTTAATCCAATTAAACTAGAAATAAATAATAAAACGATGATAAGAAAATGCCAAAATGTGTGCTTTTTAAATATGTACATCTCAAAGAATAAACCATATTGGAAATTTGAAAATATGTTGATCTTAAATGATAACAGAAAGAAGACATAAAAAATTTTGAGATACAGCTAAAGCTTTACTTAGAGGGAAGTTTAGAGTTTTAAACATCTATTAGAAAACAAACTCTAAAGAAATTAAAAATAATTTATTTCATGTAGATAGAAAAAGTCTATGAAGAAATCACCAAAATTATAGGAAAAAGTAAATGATAAGCATAAAATCAAATAACTATTAGATGATTTTATGATAATGTAAAGTACATAGAACAAAAATTAAAATTAGTTTCTTTAAAAATAATAAAATTAGTGAACTCTAATAAGAATAAATAAAAATAAAAAGAGATGACACAAATTTCAGTTTCTGAAATGAAAAAGAGGACATCACCATAGATGTTACGGATATAAAAAATAAGCATAGCTTAAGAACAACTTTAGCTGATACAATTGACACTGTAGGTGAAGTTGGCAAATACCTAGAAAAACATGAATTAGCAAAACATACTAATTTAAAATAAACATAAATAAATATATTAGTGTATCCTATATAAATTTTAAAAAGATTAGAATGGAAGAAATGCACATAGAAATTCCAATACTATCTATAAACTATTAGACTTAATTAGTAAAAGCAACATCAGTATTTCACAACCAATATAGAAACATTTTTATTTCTACAAACAAGCAAAAATTAATTTTCTCAAGTACCCTTGACAATTTTTTAAAAAAATCATCGAGTATATAAAAATAAATCAGGATTTCAACAGAAGAATTTACAAAACATTATTAGGAGAAAGGATGAAGTCCTATAAAATAAGTGGATATACCACATTCAAGACTTTAAAGAGTCAATCTTTTATGTCAATTCTCACCAAATTGTAGATTCAATGCAATACTAATAGAAACATCAAAGTAAATTAGTGAGGAAAACTGACAACCTGATTTTAAAATTTATATGATTTTGCAGGTTGAATTTCCTGAAAAGCAGACACTGTGGTAGAAATTAGCACACATATGTCTTCTTCTCTATTGATGGGAAGGGAAGGAAGTAGTATTGGGTAGATAGAAAACTTAAACTATGATGCAGTTTCAATAGAGTTCTGAAACTTAGGTTACTCATCAGATTTGTTAAAAGGGCAATGCCTGTATTGATGACTCTCTGAATTGTCTGCTGAATACAAAGTGTCCAGAAAGTAGCTGTAGTTTATAGTTTAAATGACTCTTGCTATTTCTCCTGGGTGGATGTGTCCTTCCTTTGGAGATCAGGACAAGCCTGCAGAGCCCAGAGCTGTGGAAATGGTGAGCACAAATTCTTTTTTTTTTTTATTATTATACTCTAAGTTTTAGGGTACATGTGCACAACGTGCAGGTTTGTTACATATGTATACATGTGCCATGTTGGTGTGGTGCACCCATTAACTTGTCATTTAACATTAGGTATATCTCTTAATGCTATCCCTCCCCTCTCCCCCCATGTCCTTTGTAGGGACATGGATGAAGCTGGAAACCATCATTCTCAGCAAACTATCACAAATTCTTTAAGTAGGTACTTAGAAGTCATGAAAAGCAGGGTCAATCTAGCTTCCATCTATTAGTTTCCAGTCCCATGTATTCCATCTGTTAGGGACAAAGCCCAATATAAAAGTCATTAAAGTTTACACTGTATCCTGTAGTATGTCACCTTATCCTCACCAAGTAATGTCTAAGTAATTGCTTGACACAGGTGCTTCAGCTATGTGTGAAGGATTGCCCCATTGCTCTATGAATCTCATGGTATATGAAACTCTCAGAGGATCCCATGAGCATGTGCCCACTCTGGCACCTTTCTGTGTGTAGTGACTGTCTTGGCTGACACAGTATTAAGTTGGATCCAAAGGCAACCCTTCAAGAGTGGTGCTGACTGACACTCAGCTGTCATAAAAGGCAAACTCACAACAGAATCTATTCTTACTAAACAAAATCACTTGTCTTCCAAGATAGAAGGGTTCCTATTAAGTCAACTTGCCACTGAGTAACTGGTTGGTTTTTCTATAAAGATTGTTCATATTAGAAATTCAATATTGACTTATGTTGCAGGCAGGTCGAACCCCAAGCCATGGTAGTAGCTAGATCACCTTTGATAATAGTGAGAGTGCAGCTCTTGGGCCTATTTATGGCCTTCATCCATAAGTTGCATGGCTATAATGTTAATGTGTCCACTGTGCCAGCATTCATTATAGCTTACAACAGAGGCTGACTAAGGTCCACTAGTCCAACGATTTTGTCTGTTTGTTTAATGTACCCTCGGGCCCCCTGGAGAATTCTTTCTGTTGGGATTAACATACTTATTTTGTATACACAAAAATATTTGTACTTTGTTCTTATTCTCACATGTTCACAAAACCATGATCAAAATCAATTTATATTAAAAGGAAGATAGTTGCATCTGTACTGAACATGTACATACTCTTTCTTGTCATTATTCTGTAAACAATGCAATATAATACCTATTTACATAGTGCTTACATTGTATTAGGGTTATAAGTAATCCAGAGATGATTAAAAGTATATGGGGAGATGTGTGTCACTTATATAAAAATATGACATCATTTTACATAAGTGACTTGAGCATCAGTGGATTTTGGTAACTGTGGGAGTAGGGGTTGTGGGGATGTTTTGGAACCAATCCCTCATGGATCCTTAGGACAACAGTATTTGTTTCTTTTGTAGGTGAATATAGTAACTCTATGAGGGTACCATGATACCTTTAGAGGGTTGGATATTTTCCCTGTCCTTCTCTGGTGCTGATTACATGAATGTGAAACTCCATTGAGCTACATATGTATAATTTTGCATATTCTTCATATCTATTATTTTGATTAAAGAATTATTTACAGAAATATTGGAAGGATACTTCCTTAATATTAAACAACTACCATTATTGTCAAAACGATATTGTGCTAGTTCAAAAAATCCATTTCAAAAACTAAAAAATCGTAGAGGAACTACATAAATTCATGGATTAAGCCATTAAGGGTTAAATTTAAAGTGTATAAGCTAACTAGAGATTCTCATTTTGTTAATGTGTATCTCTTTGATTTTCATAAAGAACAATTTAACTAGGTGCAAAAAACAAAGTACAAAAAGTGGACTTTTTACTTTTGTGGACTAAACAAGAATAGCAATTTAGAACCAGTGATATCTAGTACAGGTATGTGCCACTTAATGATGGTTCCAATAAACTCAGGGAACAACAAAAAAAATACCCTTTTCCACTACCAGTATTTAATAACTTTATGGAAGTTCTATATGATGCAATACGTAAAGAAAAATAAATTAATGGTGTAATTTTTAAGAGGTGATGTCAAAATTATCATTATATGTAAGTAACGTGTTTGATAATTTGAAAAACTAAGAGCATTCACTATAAATTATCACAGAGTAGAAATAGAGAGGTTTGCTTATGTAAAAAAATATGTACATATACAGCATTTCCTTCTTATTCAGTTGCATTAACCTGTTAGAACATAAGATAGAAAAACAAGCATGTTAATAATAGCTATAAGATTCAATTTATGCCTGTTATTTAAGAGTAATTATTGTAATTATTAATAGTGTTTCCTTTCACTATTAAATTCCAATGGTTTGAATAGCAAGTTATATATCCACTTTAATAATAAGCAATAATAAATATAAAATATATACAAATAGACCTAATGAGAGATGTAAGATAAGTGCAAAAAAACTTATCAAAAATAATGAATATAGTGAGGCAAATACCAAGATTCAATACTAAGAATATTAACTCTCCATATAATACAATTTATACAATTATATAATTCCAGTCAAAATATCAATGGATGTTTTTGAACAGTTAAAAAAGTTTTAAAGGTCATCTTGAAAATTAATGTTTATAAGATTCTGTAAATTCTGAAAAGAATAGTGAGAGGTAGTTTGTATTGGTTAACATTGAGATGGTATTAGAATGCCAGAGTCATTAAAATTGGTATGCATAAAAACTGACTGATAAATAGTACACAAAGAAAGTAGAAAAATAGATCTGACCACATTGATATATAGAATGTGACACAATTTATATGAAGTCAATACTGAAAGTAAGCTGTATTTGGGGGGAAAGATTAATTCTAAATGGTTAAATAGTTAAAACTGAAAAGGAGGGAGAACCATAAAATGTCTAGAAGAAAATAAATGGGGCTCAGGGAAGATATATTATGTATGAAAGAAAAATCATACAGTCAGGTTGACATTTTGTATAAAAATTAAAATTGATATATATTATAAAGTTACCAATATTAACATAAGAAACTTAAAATCATAAAATGTTTGCAATGTTTAATAACATTGTTATATAATATATTGTAACACTTAGTAACAAAATAGATGAATAAACTTATAAAATAGCCAAAATGTATGTACAGGTTATTAATAGTTAGAATTATTAGTCATTAATAATGACAAAACCACCTAGTTAAATTGTTCTTTATGAAAGTCAAAGAGATACACATTAACAAAATGAGAGTCTTTTGTTAGTCTGTATGCTTTAATTTAACCCTTAATGGCTTAATCCATGAATTTATGTGGTTCCTCTACGATATTTTAGTTTTTGAAATGGATTTTTAAAATTATTTTGGCAGATCAATTACTTCCCTTTTTCCCATTTTTTAATTACCAACTAAGGGTGGACTTTGTACTTTTGTGGACTAATCAAGAATAACAAGTCAGAACCAGTGATATCTAGTACAGGTATGTGTCACTTAATGATGGGGATATGTTCTGAGAAATACATTGTTAGGAGATTATCTCCTTGTGTGAACATCATACACTGTATTTGCACAAACATGGATGACAAAACTTACTACACATTAAGTTACATATTATAGCCTGTTGCTCCTAGTTTACAAACCTGTACAATATGTTAATGTTCTGAACACTGCAGGAAATGGTAACACAACAGTAAGTATTTGTATAACTGAGCATCTCTAAACATAGGAAATGTCTAGTAAAAATGCAGCATTATAATCTTATGAGATCACCATTGTATATGCCGACCAGTCTCGATAAAAATGTCATTATACAGCACATGACTGTATTGGTAGAGTATTTTTATCCTTATGAAAGCACTTTAATAGTTAAAATTTCATTCCATTCTCACGTGCATTTTTATTGTAATCCTATTTACAAATTCATTCTTTCTTATCACACAATAAAATTAAATACAAATGGTATATGATTGATTGTTATTTATTTTTAACCCTACTTTATTTGTAAAATGCTGTATTTTGAAAAATATATAAATTTGTTAATGTCAGGAAGTCATATATGCACATAAATTAATTATGCTTAATTACAAATAGAATAGAGTACATAATGATCATGAATTTCATATCTCTAAAAATAGACTTAAAATATATGAAGCAAAAAAGCAAAGAATTTCAAGGAGAGAGTGATAGATTTCTTATCATAGTGTAAACATTTACCAGCTAATTCAGAATATGAGCAATGATGAAAAGAGAAAATTAGTGAAGATATAGAAAAATGGAACAAAAATTAATAAGCTTAGTACAATTGGTTTTTATAAAGAAACTACATGCAACAAATAATGAATAAGTATTATTTTAAAGCACATATAAAACTGACCACATATTAGGTCATAAGAAAACTTAATGAATAACACAAACCAAAATTATGCTTACCAAATTCTCTAAAAAGAAAGCATTATAATTAGAAATAGTAATTGAAGTTGGTCAATAAAATTCAATAAAGTTAGAATCCAAAAGCCTACTTTTAATAACTTAGGAATCAAATAGGAAATTCTAATCAAAATAACGAAATATTTAGACATGAACAACAGACTTGCAGGATGAAGCTTTATTTTAGATGACATATATAGCCTTAAATCCATTTGTCAGAAGACAATTATAAAAAGAATAATAAAGTTTGAGACTTTTGCTTCAGAACATGGAAATAGGAACTGTATTTAACCTGTTAATGTAAAATAATTATAAAACTGAACAAAATATATAAAGCCGTAATTTTCAAACATTGGAATGTAGGCAGACAATACAGTGAGATATGAGGAAAGAGAAACAAATAATGTTAGCTGTATGATTACGCCAACTCAACGTTTGAAGAGATTTTCCAGGATGCAGAGCAGGGAGAGGAAAATAAATTCATCCCAAGTGGTTAACAGGATAGAATTCAGGTATTTGGAGGCCAAGATGAGGAAAATTCACAGAAAAGAATACTAGACAAAAGAAAACTGCACAGGAAGACAGAGCTCTAGGGATCTGCATAGGATTCCCCCAGAGTCTTCAGATGAGTACTGATGAGTGCGTGTAGTTGTGGAAACTAACATGGTTGGGCAAATTCCAATTAGAAAGAAGCCTGTAGAACAATCCTTACACAGCACCAGGATGAGCTGATGTTCTTATTAGTCAGAGTTCTTATTAGGCAATGACTAGTATAAAGGCTGTCTGGACTCACCTAAAATATCTTAAAAAAAAAAAGACTTAAACAAAATGTTACAAAGTACCCTACCTGCATAACAGAACAAAGCCCACAATTATTTAAAGAAATTTAGTATTCAAAATATAAAATTGAGAAAGGCTGGCATCAAATAAAAAAAATTGGCATGAAAAGAAGCATAGAAATACAAACCATAATGAGGAGAAAAATCAATCATCAGAAATAGAACAAGAAATAACAGACATTGGAGAATTAGCAGAAAAGAACAGATTATAAATTATAAATTAAATACAGATTATAAATATATACATAAAACAGATTATAAATATATACCATATGCTCACAGTGAAGAGGAAAACTTGAGCTTGTTAAAGAGAGATATGGATGATATCAAAGGAATCAAATTAAGCTGCTAGAAAAAATTAGCCTGTATAAAGTGAAAAAATACACTGGGCAGATTTAATGGTGGATTAAACACTCTGGAAGAAAATATTAGTGATCTTGAAGACATGGCAGAAAGGAACAGTATGGTAATGAATTGTGAGAAAATATCAAACATCCTAATATATATGCCACTGGAGTTTCAAAAACATAGGAGAGGAAAAAGATAAAGCTATTTTAAGACATGACCAAAATTTTCCTAATATGATAGGATTCTAAAACCACAAAACCAAGAAACCCAGTAAACCACAATCAGCAGAAATCTACACTAACACATGTCACAATAAAGTTGTATTAAACCAGTGATACAGAAAATCTTCAAAGAAGAAGACAAAGGTAAGGAAAAGACCTATTATATACGGAAAAAAAAAAAGCCAGACCAAATGGATTCACAGCCAAATTCTACCAGATGTTCAAAGAAGAACTGGTACTAATTCTACTGAAACTCTTCCAAAAGATCAAGAAGGAGAAAATCCTCGCTAACTCATTCTGTGAATCCAGTATCACCTCGATACCAAAGCTAGGAAAGGAAACGAAACAAACAAACAAAAAAACTACAGGCCAATATCCGTGGCAAATATAAATGCAAGAGTCTTCAAGAAAATACTGGCAAACTGAATCCAACAGGCACATCAAAAAGATAATTCACCATGAACCAATGGGTTTCATCCAAGGGATGCAAGGATGGTTCAGCACATGCAAGTCAATAAATATGATTCACCACATAAACAGAATTTTAAAAAAAAGCATATGATCATCTCAATAGACACAGAAAAAGAATTTCGTAAAATTCAGCATTCTATCATGATAAAAATCCTCAACCAACTACGCATAGGAAGACCATATCTAAAAATTAATGAAAGCCGTATATGACAAACCCACAGCCAGCATTACACTGAATGGAGAAAAGTTGAAAACATTCCTGTTCAGAACTGTAACAAGACGAGGATGCTTACTTTCACCACTTCTATTTAACAGACTATTAGAAGTCCTAGCCGGAGCAATCAAGCAAGAGTAATAAAGGACATCCGAACTGGAAAAGAGAAAATCAAACTATCTCATCTGCTGATGATGTAATGCCAAAAACCCTAAGGAATCCTTGAAAAGACTCCTAGATTTGGTAAATGAATTCAGTAAAGTTTATATTATGCAATCAGTGTAGACAAATCAATCACAATGTTATATAGCAATAAGGACCAACCTGACAATTAAATCAAAAACTTGATTCTATTTACAATAGTTAAAAAAAAATACCCAGGAATAAACTCAACTAAGAAAGTGAAACACCTGTATAAGGAAGTATAAGGAAAACTATAAAACACTGTTAAAAGAAATCATAGATGACACAAATAAATAAAAAAAGTCAAATGCTCATGGATTGGAAAAATCAATATTGTGAAAATGGCCATGCTGCCCAAAGTAATCTACAGATTCAATGCAATTCCTACCAAAATATCAATGTCATTTTTCACATAATTAGAAAAAAAAATCGTAAAACAAATATGGAACCCCAAAAAGGGCCTGAATAATCAATGCAATCCCAAGCGAAAAGAACAAATCTGGAGGCATCACATTACCCAACCTCAAATCACATTACAAGGCTATAGTAACCAAAACAGCATAATACTTGTATAAAGGTACATGCATAGACTGATAGAATAGAACAGAGCATGTAGAAATAAAGCCACAAACCTACAACCATCTGATCTTTCACATAGTTGACAAAAACGTGTACTAAGAAAAGGACACCCTATTTAATAAATAGTGCTGGGAAAATTGGATAGCCACATGCAGAAGAATGAAACTGGATTCCTATCTCTCTCCATATAGAAAAATTAACTCAAGGTGGATTAAAGACTTAAATGTAAGATCTGAAGCCATAAAATTTCCAGAAGCAAACGTAGGAAAAATTTTTCTGGACATTGGCCGGGGTAAAAAATTTATGACTAAGACCCCCAAAGCAAATGCAACAACAATAAAATTAATGAGTCACTGCACCTGGCCACAAAAATATTCTTAACAAAATTTTTAGCAAATTTCATTAACAAAATATATGAAAGTAATACACCTTGGCTTATACTTGGAATATAAGGTTAATTTGGCATTCTGAAATCAACCAATATCCACTACATTAAATGATATAAAAGGAAAAACCATATGATCATTGTAATATGTATAGATAAATCATTTTAAAAAAACCATCAATTCTTTGACTAAAAATTCACTGCAAATATAAGACAGAAGTGAACTTCCTCAACCTTTTAAAAAGCATGTGTGTAAACCTTGCAGCTAGCATCATACTTGTTGGTGAAAGCTGAACGTATTCTTTCTAAAATCAGAGAAAAGTGAGAATGTCTATTTCCACTTCTATTAAACATAGAACTGGAGTTTGAAGCTAGTTCAAAAAGACAGGAAAAATAAAAAGAAAACAAAATAAGATAAATCTAGATTTTAGAGGAAGAGGTGAAATTCTCTTTAGTTGCAGACAACATAATTATTTGTGTAGAAAATTCTAAGAAGTAGATTAAAAAAGCTTC
The DNA here is from genome assembly GCF_000001405.40 of Homo sapiens. Classification (NCBI taxonomy): domain Eukaryota; kingdom Metazoa; phylum Chordata; class Mammalia; order Primates; family Hominidae; genus Homo; species Homo sapiens. The sequence goes on along the minus strand of NC_000003.12, from coordinate 118,289,983 downwards.
TAGAATTAATGTTGCAGGATGAAGATCGTAATAACAAGCAATGATTGTATATATACTAGCAATAAACAGTAGAGGTCAAAATTGAAAAATAATTCCTTTTAAATATTATTTAAATGTGAAATAGGAATTATTTTAACAAAATATGTACAAAACTCGCAATTTGAGAACTATAAAATATAGATGGTTTCTGACTTACAATGGTTTGACTTAGGATTTTCTAAACTTACAGTGGTACAAAAGCAATACGCATTTACTACTCTCCTCAATTTATGATGAATTTATTAGGGCCTGAACCTCATTGTATATAGAGGTTAAAATAATAAAAAAGTACTCTTTAGTAATAATTTTTAAAACATAGAAAATACAGATAATTTGTAAAGCAATTAAAATCTAGAATAAACATAATAATTTTTCATTTGTCAAAATATATTAACAATATGACCCCATTGCAAGTCAAGAAGTGCCTGTATTGCTGAGAAAAATAAAATGACATAAATTGAGAGAACTGATCATGGTTTGGAATACTTAATATTGTCAAGATGTCAATTCTCTCAAAGTCTATCTGTATATTCAATGCAAAACTGATTAAAAGTCCTAGAAATTGTTTTATTTTGTAGAAATTGACAAATTATAAAAGTTCTATGAAAAAGTCAAAGATCTATAATATTAAAAACAATTTTAAAAATTATGAACAAATTTGGAAGAGTTACAGTATTTTATTCAAAACTTAATATAATGCTACACCTATCTCCACATCACAGCATGGGCATAAAGACATAATTAGGTAGTCAGAGAAAAAAAACCCTTCAAAATAAATTCTCACACATAATGTCATTTGATTTTAAGAACAGTGCTATGTCAATTTAATGAGTAAAGGACAATCTTTCAAGACAGGGTGTTTGATATCCAAATGCAAAAAAAAAAAAAGTTTTTCACTCTTACCTCATATTACATGTAATACTTAACATGGATCATAGATCTAAATATAAGATCTAAAATTCTGTAATTTCTAAAGGAAAGTATAGGAGAAAACCTTAATGACTGTGAGTTAAGCAAAGATTTTTAAGTATGAGATAAAAAAGAATAAGCTATAAAAACATAATACATTGTATTTCACCAGAAAAACTGCTTTTCAAAAGTTAGTTAAGAAATTATAAAGAACAGCTATATACTGTGAAAATGTACCTATAAAACTTTTATCTGAGGAAAGATTTGTGTCTATAATATTTAAAGAACAATTACAATCCAATATGACAACAAAATAGAAAAATATTTGAATAGACACTCCACTAAAAAAGAGGATTTAAAATAGGTACATGAGAAGAGGCTTAACTGGTAATTAGATCAGTGCGAATTAAAACCACTATGAGATAACTACGCCACCTTCTAAAACAGATAAAATTTAAAAGGCTCTTCCTACCAAGTGCTGACATGAAATTGTAGCAACTGGAATTCTAATACACTGCTTGCGGAGATATAAAATAGTACAACTACTTTGCAAAACAGTTTGGCATTTTTGTAAAAATTTAAACCTGGCTATATCATGTGAAATAGTCATTGCATTCCTAGATACTTAGCCAAAAGAAACACCTATACACACTAATCTTTGTGGCAGCTTTATTTGTAATAGGCAGAAACTGGAGGCAACTCAAAGTCTTTCAATATTGAATGGATTAACAAAGTGTTGTGTAATCTGTTAAATCAAAATAATACTCAGCAGTAAGAACAAGCTATAGACACATGTCTTAGCATAGATGAATTTCAAAAGAAATATGCTCAGTGAAAGAAGCCAGGCCAAAAAGTGAAAACTCTGTTTTTACTTATATAAAATTTTAGAGATGAAAAATAATCCATATTGATGGGATGCATACCAGTGGTTTTCTGGGAGATCATGCAATATTGAGGAAAATGACAGGTGCATTACAAAAGGGTGCGAGGAACCTCTTAGGGCGACAGAAATGTTCAATATTTTGATTATGATGATTGTTCACAGGTACATACGTATGTGAAAATGCATCCAATTGTAAACTTTTCTATGTTCACTTTATTTTGTGTCAAGCACATCTCAGTGTCTATAACTATAATAGCAAAGTAAATTCAAAACAACATTACAAAAGAAAAAAATAGAAGTAAGAGTCAAGATTGTTGAAATATCACCAATTTTGTTAAATGTAGCAACCAAAATCAAAGCATGGTTATTTTAAAAGACAAGTGAAATAGTCATTTGACAACAGCTAGAGGGGAAAGAAGAAAGTACTAATAATATTAGGAATTTTAAAAAGTGTATGGCAAAATGTAAATGGAGTTTAAAATAATAAGAAAACAATACGTACTCTTTAGTAATAATTTTTAAAAAGTAGAAAATATACATAATTTTCAGAAGTGCCAAAGTTACTAATTTATAAAGTAATTACAAACTAGAATAAACTTATAATCATTATTCATTTGTCAAAATGTATTAACAAAATGACCTCAGACTAACACAGTTCCACAGGCTAGTGTTTGCCAAACTTTTAGTGAAATTATCACCTGTCCTATGTTCACTTTTACAAAGAAAATTTAAATAGAGAATATTTTACAATGCATTCTGGGAACTAAGCAAAACCGAATGAAGAAGCTGCCAAATAGTGTTTTTCTCAGAAATGCAAGGACAGTTTCACATAAACAGCACTGATTAAAACCAAAAAATATTATTTTATCAATAGATTCATGGAAAATCATCCAACTTAATTTAACACCCATTTGTGTTACAACATTTAAGGCCAACTAAGAATAGAAGACACCTTCCTTACCTTCATAAAGTTCTCTGTCAAAAACCTACCTGGGAGTATGTGCCACATGAAATACAGAAACATTTTTGTAAAGTGAGAAAGATCTTAAAGTTACTTGATGTTACTCCTCTTATTCAACACAACATTACAGGTCCTAGTCTTTGTTAAGAGGCAAGAAGTAACACATATACATGATAAGGTTTTGAAAGGAATAATTGAATTCTTATTTTCTAAAGATAATATGACTAAGCACATAGACAATTCTAGAAGATCTTTTTCAATCTGTTATAATTAAGCAAAGAATTCAATAATGTTGCTGGAAATTAGTCAATAGGCAAAAATCAATAGCATTCCTGTATACCACATGCAGTGGGTTTCATTGACAGCTGAGAAACTCTGAGCTTGTGGGAACCTGAATCTTTTATAACAAGCTGCAATATAAGGAAGGCTGCCCTTTGCCCCAAAGGAAGACATCACCTCTGTGATACTGGATGTTAACAACATCTGTCCTTTGCACTGCAAGGAGACACTATCTTTATCTTCTAAAGCTGTTTGCTCTACAAACCCTTGAAGAGACAGGCTGAAACAAAAGGCCAATCAGTAAGTTGCTTGTAAGATGTGCAGAAATATGAGAAGCCAATAGAGAATTATCTGTCAGCAATGATCTACTGCCCAAAAAAGTCACATGGACAAGCCAAGCCAATACGGGCAGAAACAATATGCATGGACACAGAGAGGTGTGATTCGTTTAGAGTCAGTACTGTAGCAATGTGTCACAGTCTTCAGTAAAATAATTCACTACCAGGTATAAGATATTCTTACACATACATACAAAAAAATACAAGTATGTTCATTATAATTTTTTCTAACAAGTAAAATATTGAATAAAATTTAAAGGTTTATCAAAAGGGAAATGAATAAATGGTGGTATATTCATACAAATAAGTTATAATAAATGATGAAAATAGTAATGATAGATAAGTTTTATTGAGTATTAACTATGTGCTAGGCATGGTTATAAACATTTAATATGCATGTCAGCTTACTAAAAAAAATTAAGATGGACCAGAGGCAAAAATCTTGACCAAGATTTGAGACGATTATTCTGGAATACAGTGTATCAAAATGGGCATTTGAAACAAAAACAAAATTAGTGAAAAAGGTCACTTGTGGGTGGATACAATATGAATTCATTCATATAAAATTTGAAGACATACAAAGCACTATTGTTTGTTCATTTCTTTCTTTGTGTCTTTATTACTCTCCATTTTTTTAATATACTTAAGTACGAGTTCCAACTTATGTGGGGTTTTGCTTTGCTCTCCTTGCTGGATTCTACCCTCTACTTCCGCTATTGAAATACATATTTCGTTTAGAGCTAAGGGTCTAATTCTGTAGCCAAGCCAAGATTAATGAGGCAAAGACCTGCAAATGATCCTTCTTTGGAGTTCCTTGGAGGTCCTAGGAAGAGTGATAGATACCTCGGCTGCTATTCTCTCCTGAGTCTGTTTGTTCTAGCATTGAAATTAACATCATGTTGTCTCTTATCTTTCAGAAAGTCTCTGAACTTTCAAATTCAACAATTATACTCATTTCTATTTTCCAGCAATGTTTGGATTTTCTTATTTTTTTGTATGCATTTCTTCATTCCGATTTGATGGGAGTTTTCTTGGAAGGGAGGTAAAATTATGTGCTCAATTCATCATCTGGGTTGGAAAATTGGGAAATACACCTCCATGCTGTGTTTTTACTTGTATTCAGTTTTACTGAATAAAAAGTTTTACTTTACTTGGAGAGGACTGTATGAATAACCTTGCATTGTCCCCTTGACTTTTTTTTTATTATTTTCTTTCAATTGCTACATTTTTCTTTCTCCTTCCCTCTCTCTCTTCCTCCGTCCTTGACTCCATTTTTCTTTCCTTCTTTCTTTTTATATATATATAATATATATTTTTATTATACTTTAAGTTCTAGGGTACATGTGCACACCATGCAGGTTTGTTACATATGTATACATATGCCATGTTGGTGTGCTGCACCCATTAACTCGTCATTTACATTAGGTATATCTCCTAATGCTATCCCTCCCCCTGCCCTACAACAGGCCTGGGTGTGTGATGTTCCCCTTCCTGTGTCCAAGTGTTCTCATTGTTGAATTCCCACCTATGAGTGAGAACATGCAGTGTTTGGTTTTTTGTCCTTGAGATAGTTTGCTGAGAATGATGGTTTCCAGCTTCATCCATGTCCCTACAAAGGACATGAACTCATCATTTTTTATGGCTGCATAGTACTCCATGGTGTCTATGTGCCACATTTTCTTAATCTTAACCCTTGACATTTTCTTTTCCTCACCCATCTATAGAGGGGAGAAACACAGTCAAATTGGCATACAATGTCCTAGCATATTTGCAGATATTACATGACTCCACCACAAGGTATGGTCTTAAGGGAATAGAATGTATTTCTTTCATAACTTAAACATTCATGCATTCATGTTTGATACCAACATAATAAATACTTTTTCACCATTGTTCTTTGATATTTTGTTATTTACTTTATATTTACCAAACTTTTAGATTTTTCCAGCCCTCTATGAAAACCACTGCACATTGTTGATCACATTCTCTGCTATTCTTGACAACCTCTTATGAAAGATTCTTATAAAAATCTTGTGTTTTACACATATTACTGTCCTCCAGTTTCTAAGTAAATTTAACAAATATTTATTGAGCAACTTGGATATTCTTGGCATAGATAACTAAGAGATAAATAAGATATGGTCCTTACCTTTGAGGAACTCACAGTCTAAGGGAAGAAAAAGACCCATAATCGTATTTACTAAACTATGATATAAAATGTGCTAAGACCAACATGTTTATAAAGTATTTTGGGCTCACAGATAAGCAGGTGATTAATTCTGCCTTCAAGGGTGAGGAAAAGCTATAGAAATTAAATGGCATTAAGTTGAAACTTGACACATAAGCAGGGGTTTCCAGAAGGGAAAAAGTGAGCAGGGCTATTCTGAGAAGGCTAAAGAGCACAAATGACTAAGATGTGAAAAGATATGGGGAATGTGGGACATTGTTAGTGAAATGTGATTACATTAAGAAGCTAAGTCAGGGAAAAAGCCTAGGGGTTAGGGGTTAGGGAAGGTTGGAGTTTCTGGCTAAGGAGTTTGGATTTTAGTTTGCAAGGAATTTTTTTTTTCTTTTACAGACAGGATCTCCCTCTGTCACCCAAACTAGAGTGCAGTGGCATGACCTAGGCTCACTGCAGCCTCAACCTTCCAAGCTCAAGCAATCCTCCCACTACAGTCTCCTGGAAGCAAAAAATAGCTGGTAGCAGCTCATGCCCAGTTATTATTATTGTTATTTTGGTATTTTTTTATAGAGACGGGTTATCACTAAGTGGCCCAGGTTGGTCTCAAACTTCTTGCCTCAAGGGCTCTTCCTGCTTGGCCTCCCAAAGTGCTGGAATTACAGGAGTGAGCTACCAGTTTGGGCCTAAAAGGTTTTGGAAAGGGAAGTGTTATGATCACATTTTTGTTGTAAAATATTTTATTCTGGTCCCCTAGAATGTAGGCTTTGTGAAAGTAGTAACCTTTTCTTAAAAAAAAATGTAGAGGTGGGATGTCTCTCTGTCATCCAGACTGAAGTGCAGTGGTATAATCACAGCTCACTGCAGCCTCGAACTCCTGAGCTCCAGTGATCCTCCCACCTCAGCCTCCCAAAATGTTGGGATTATATGAGCAAGCCACCATGCTGGGCTTGAAAGTACTAATCTTGATTGTTTTATTATTATATACACAGTGTTGAGAAAAATCCAACTGTATAGTAAGTGCTTAACAATATTTGTTAAATAAATGAATGGTAGCTAATAGTGGAAACAGACATTTTAGGTAAAAGGCTTATACAATAGTATAGGAAGTGATGGCAAGGGCCTTTGTTAATATGCCTCATTTCATCATCACAGTTAATCCCCATCGATCTGAAATGACAATGTAGTTTATTATCAAAATTGGAAAATATTGAAAATAAAAGGGAATGCACTTAAAATAATTCTGGAAAAGTAGGTAACATCATGGGTATACCCCAAGCCCAACCAGCAGAGGAGAAAGAGAGAAAGAGGCTCTAGGAAATGGTCAAAGACTGAGAAAGACATGATCCCACATTGATGTGCTTGTTCTTGTGGGGATGTAAATGTGCATATGTATGGTCTGGTCTACGTTGCAGTCATTACCTACCCTTGGAGTTATTAAAGGTGTGTGAAATATAGTATATTCATAATATTTGAGCAAAAATATTTAAGACAATACCACAATGGCTGGGATAGCTGCACAAGAAGAGAATCTTCCCATTGAGAGATCAATTCTGGGGCAATAAGTGACCACACAGGAGGTGGTTGAGTATTGAGTGTTGAGTAGCTGAGGAGGTTGAGTGTCACCTGAAGTTGACATTACTGGCAAACTGTTTCCCTTTTCCTGGGTTCTTTTGACAGTTTGGTACTGAGACACAGAGATGCCTGGAGCTGTTTAGGTCAGGGTGAGGGAGGAATGCTTGCTTCTGCTTTAAGGAGACAGATAAGGTGTAAGTTAGGGCTGTCTGAACTATTAAAGCACATTAAAGGAAGACTTGGGTCCGTGCACTCAGAGCATGAACACATCTAATGGTCGATATGAGTTATTCTTCAGGTTGTGTCTCACTATCTCCAAACCATCTGTAAAACTCTCTTTAAAGTTGCAGATTTCCCGGCTTCCACCATGAGAATGTGGGGAAGATGCTAGGAGGGAGGATATTGAGAGTGAAGGGGTTTGAGCCAAGCTGCAGCCACCTGAGGAAAGCCGTCTGAGGAGGAGGAGGAGCATGGCTGGGTAATCAGAGGCCTGGGTAGAGTGTGGGGTGGCAGGCAGAAGAAGTCAGATTTACCATTCATTTTCATATTCCTCGCAATGTTTTGGAAGGGAAACTTGGTAAAAGGTAAGACTTTACAAAGTTAAACAGACTGGGAGTTCAAACATCATAATTGAATATTAATTTTATAGCCTCAGACTGGTAAGGCTAAGATATTTAGGTTTAAAAACGTTTTTAAAGGGGTATTTCTAATTCCCAGAAGCAGAAGAGTTTTTCTCTTATCTTCCTTTTGCCCAAATGGCCAACACAACAATAACAACAAAAGCAGTCATGCCTTTATTTTTTCTTTCCTACTGCACCTTTCCAGTTTTTTTCCTCTATATCCTTTCCCCATCACCACTCTTCAGCCTTTTTGGCTATGCTTTTTTTTTTTTTTTTTTTTTTTTTTCAGTCCCCACTTACTGACACTGATGGTGATTCTGAACTTAGAAGAAAGAAAAATTCCGGGCTTCATAATCTCTGCTCCTGCTGTCATTCTTTCTGCCATTGATGTTGAAGGTTTTGTCCTTTTACCAGCTTCTGTGTGGCCATGTGCCATGCACCCACAGGCTTCTTCTTGCTTTACTCTTCCTCCAGTTGCTCGAATTGCTGTCATATGTCTTACAGAGCTCACTATTCTCCTCACCCCAAGGCGACATCAGCCACCTCTCAGCAGGATTCAGTAACTCACTAGCTCATTCACTCACAGATACACGTTATTTGTGTCTCTGGCCTTCACTAACAAGAGGCAGAAGTAAAGGGGTTACTATTATTTTTTTGCCAATAAAGAAACATAAGTCCAGAAAGGTCTTGATGAAAGAAGGAAAGCCATTTAAAATGCAGATTAACAAATGTTAACTCAATTACAGAAAAGTCTACTTATGCATGCTGAAAAATGACTGTATCTGGGGAGTTCTCAGTGGCATCCAAAGTAATGCCACTCAAGATTGGGTGCTTACCAAGTTAACCAGGTAAAAGAATGTGACATATGAGTCCATGGTGGTGATAGGGGGCTCCTCAGCAGAGCTGCTTCTGCAACCACTCCTGACAGCCTGGACACTCAGCAGTGCTTCGGCTGCCATTGAGCCACCATGATGGTGGCTCTGCTGCCAGGTTAATCAACTGCCACGCTAGAATAAGCACAAGGGTTGGATAGATGGTTAGAACTGATATTATTTAAAAACAGGAAAACTGTGAGCTATAAAGTGAGATTTGCAATGGTTTTAAACAACATTAATTTGTGAGAAATGCAAATACGATCCTCTGGAAATGCCAGGTGCCTACATTAGTGACTCTAGCATTTGTGTAAGACAGAACACACAGCAACCTGGTGCTCGAATTTTAAAATTTAAGAACCATAGTCACGCTCTTTTAACGATTCTGGGGCACTTTTACAAATGTCTCATTAACAATGTTTCCATATCGTAAAGCCAGATGGGAGAGGCTATCTTTTATTTATCAGCCTCAAAATAAAATGCTATCATCTCTGGGATTTGAAAAGAATGTTGGAGGCTTTAGTTTTCTTCCTCATCCCCTCATCACCACCACTCCCACCCCCAGCCAACTTTTGTTATTGTTTTGAATTCCTCTGCTTCAATGTGAATGCCAGTTAATTAAGCTGGTTTTGTTATTCAGCTAATTCAAACCACTGATTTGTACACTTGCCTGAGCCTCAGAGCTATCTGGGAGAGGTTATTTGAAATACATATATACATATTCTTGGGTCCCATTCCAGAGCTCTAAATTGTACTTTCTATATGATATAGGAATCTGTATTTTTCGAATTTCTGCAGTGATTCTTATACAATCTTGTTTTTGGGAACTATTGAAATGGGTAACTTTCCAATCTGATTAGTGTCTGAACTGGGATGCACAGAGTATCTATCCCTATTGATAACTCGAAAGTTGCTCCAGGCCAAAGAATCCCAAGGGTCATGGCAAAAGCATGTCATATGTCTCCTTCTGGAGAGACTAGGTCAATTTCTGAATCTTGTGGAGGCTCTGCCTGGGGTTGCAGAAATGGAAAATAGATTTGTTGTGGAATCACTCTGGAAAGTCTGTGTCTTTTGTGGGCTGCCTTCATTGACCTGGTTAGTACCCTAAAGTATTTTAAGGGATTGGCAAGTATTTCAAACTGTTGAGAGCAATGTAAATTGTAGTGAGGATGTGTGTTTTGAGATGAGATTAGAAAGTATGTTTGTGCCATAGAGAATGCCTGCTATGTAATATGATCTTTCTTTACTTTCAAGCAAGTAAACAACTATATGTGCATTTATTACACTTTTAAATAATGCAATTAATATGGAATTTTTACAAAAGAGTGATACCATGAGATATATGTTTTTGAATGATATGCAGTTAGCAGTAAGCGGGATGGATTGGAATGGGAAAAAAATTAGAAGTGGGGAGATAAGTACCATGGTGGAAAGAGCTTGATCTCAGGCAGTGGCTATCAGAAGATAGAGTCAGGAGCAGATTTCAAACACATGCCTTAGGTAGGACTAGAAGAACTTCTTTAAATGACTTTGTGAGACCGGTTATAGAAAAGGAGGAATGGGGGATGACTCCGATGCTTTAATTGGAGTGACTAGAAAGACGGACATACTCTAAACAGAGGCTGAAGACACATTAGGAAGAGTAGGCTTGGCTTTTCTCTGCTCAGCTTGACATGCCTTTGGGACATGGAGGTGAGCCTGTTCATTAGGTGGTTCAGCCTGATGCTTGGGACTAGAGTTCAAGAGCAAGAAAGAGGAAATGGAGAACTTGGGGAGATAGGCCATTGGGGAAGCAATTTGATCCTTAGAGGGGTGGATAAGATTGCTCATGTGGAATGCACAAAATGAGGGGGAAACCAAGGATGAAGACATGTGCACGAAAGAAAAAAGAGGTAGTATAGTTTCAGGGTCCATTAAAAGGAAGCATTGAACAAATTGTCTGAATACTCAGTTCCTGGTGGGGGAGGCTGGGTGGCTGATGGGATGCTGGTTTTGAGTTTGTGCATGGTGGTGGTGATGAGGAGAATGAGGATGTGGGAGTGTTCAATGAAGACTTTTCTCCACTAGCCTTCAGCCATAGGAGATGCATGGGGAAAGCCAAATCAGAGTGGGAAATTAAGCTTCAATAAGCCAAAAAGTGAAGTCCAAACAATTATGAAAATCTCAGTTCCCATAGCAGGTGCTGCATGCTAGAGTACAGAGTCAGGACTCAGGAGCCAGCAGAAGGACAGCCAGCAGTGGACTTGAAATCACTGGGAGTGGTTTGGAGGCCTCTGTCTATGTATTGTGTCCCGGGACTTTCTTTAAATGGGCCAGCCACAGTATGTTGTGTGACAAACTAGCCAAATGCAGAGGCCAAGGGATAGATACCCAGAAATAGGTAACTGTTTCAAAGACTTCCTTGCATTAATTTCTGAAGCCCCAGTACTGTGCTTGGCACATAGTAGGCTATCAATAAAGGTCTGATGAAGGAATTAGTAAATGAACCAGACTAGCAATTTCTGGGAGTAAATTAAATTCCTAGAAATCCTAAAAATGACTGCTGGTTCAAAACAGTTCTATTGAGGTAGTCTGGGGATTCCAGCCTCCCCGGCTAAGATGTCCAGGGGGAGCTCATTCACCAGAGAAAACTTCTGGGTCACTTTTGCTATCCTTGATGGAATGAAAAGTTCTCCCACCCTGATCCTCCCTGTAGAACAAACAGATAGTCTCCCCTTAAGATCCCTTTTCTTCATTATGAGATTGGAGAGCCAATAGATAAAGAATAATGAACCCTATCAGAAGCCATAATTATCTCACACAATTTTAGTTTCATAAACTTGTAATGCTATAATTTTCTGTCTTTTCTTTGAACCATTGTTTTGAAAGACTGCAGTGTGTTCTTTATTTTCCCTGCACCAGGGCTGCCGTCGCCCAGCATATCAAGTCCACTATATCACATTAATGGGTGCCAGCTCAACAATTTGATACTCGATCCCATATATCAACCACTGATATAATCCATTGCCATACAGTATATTTCATTTGCATTTATCTTTTCCATACACAGCACTCTCTTTTATCACTCTTCCCATGGCCCCTCTTCTCCCCCCTGTTTATTCTCACTGACACACACCTATACTTTCTTCCTGGCTGTGTTATTAATAATCCCTACAAAGACCTTTCTCCCCCTTTTACCTTTTCTCCTCTCAGTAACTGACAGCTCCTTACAATCTGGCCTTTTAATGCAGTAGAGTCAGGCCTGAATGAGGATGTTTCTTTGTTATTTTCACAGACATTAGCATAGCTGCCTGAGCTGGTACTCAGGCACTTTCTCTGGATATGATTTATGACATCAATCCAATTTATGGCCATTTAAAGGAATGCTGAACTGGCTGTAAATCAGCAGAAGCACATAAAATACTCATGAGAACTGCTGGAATCCATCTGCATCAGCCTCCATCACCTGTAACAGCAGCCAATCAGCAGCAAAGAGATGAAGCTATCATATGGGCATAGGGAACCGATGGCAATGATAGGTGCATCAAGGAAAAACCAATCACTTGATGATAGTAGGCAGGACAGACATGAATTTCAGGTGGGTAAGAAAAGTCTACAGTGGCAGAGGGTGGGGGTGAAAATTTGAGCTGGTAGCTAATAGGTGCATGTTAAGGAGATGTAAAGGATCACATAGCAGTAACTACCATATTTTGCAGTGGTTAAAGTTTACAAAGTAAATTCACGTGTGTTTTCTCATTTAAGCCTATTGGTAACCTTGGTAATTGGGTGTTATTTTGCCTATTTTGTCTGAGAAAGATGGAGGCTATAATTACTAAAGGGACAAATTAAGTCTGTATTCTCCCTAACATTGATAGCGAAGCCAAAAAAATAGTGAATCATTTTGCATTGTTGTAGTCAAGTAATTAATTGAGGAAAGACATTACAGTGCTTTAAATATATTGCTAGCCATTTAGTGGCATGTTTGCCACAGATGATTTATTCTCTGTTTGCATATAAGGATTAATAAACCCTTGAGAGTTTTTGGCTATTTTAAGGTATTTGTCTTCTAGCGCACTGTTGAAAAAAAAAAAAAATCCCTCAACTAAAGCTAGTTGTTTCTTCATCAGCTCTTTAGCTCTTTGCTTGTTACATATATCCATCAATTTTCTCTTTCACTGTCCCTTACATTGTGCTGGTGCACATGTGTGAATGAATAATATTTTGACCTATTAATTTTTATTTCTTGCTCTCTATATTTTTCCTATCCCCCGCTTCCCCATTCAAACAGATAACTGATGTTCTGCCCGTTCCTCCCTGTGGCAGAGAGGACATTAGACATAGACTGGAAAGACTGCCTAAACTTTTATTCTCAAAGCTGAAGGATCAGAATGGGAGAAAACTTTGGGGTGGAACACTATGTCTGGGAGAAGCACATAGGGATGCATCAAACCCGCTGGGGGCCCTCTCATCTATAGATCTCCCTGTGCTGGGAGAAAGGGAAAATAGGAATCTGAAGTTACTGAGCTCTGGAAATCTGGGCCCTGGTCATTGGCAGCATTGCTTGGTGGTCACAGATTCCATGTGTGTTTATTACTTTAATTACAAATATTTTCAGTTAATGATTTCTAAAATCCCATTTGTGTGTGTGTGCATATGTGTGCATGCATCTTGACCTTTATTCATTTCACGATAAACTAGGGTTCAGATTTTTCTCCAAGCTCATTGATAACATATTCTCTGACATGTGCATTTTCCCATACCTGGTCTTTCAGGGAGTTACATATTTCCTAATGATTTTTCACTATTTCCCTCACCTGCTTCCCTCCCCTCTCATAAATTATATCCCTTGGACAAACTTTTCCCCAACTGTGCGTAAGTTGAACCTTTCAGAGGAAAGATGCTATAAAACATCCAATCGATAAATAACCCTGTTCTCTTCATAGAGTAAAAGAGTCAATCAATCTTTACTTCTCCACATAAATGTGCATATCTTATCATAGCTCAAACCCCATTACAACTGTTTCCATGGGGGATTTCTTTTTGGCTGTAAGGGAGATTTTGTAGAAGTAAAGAGGGTACTTCATGTAACCAAAATTCTTGAGTTCTTTTCAAACTAGATGGAGGAAGTGAACAGAAAAGCAAAAAGGCTCTTCAAATTGTAGCTGCTTAGTACCTGTGTTAGACAAGATCTGAATGTTCTCCATGGATGTACTGACTTTGAACAGGTCTGCTTTAATTTTCAAGCAGCATCTAGGACATGGACAGTAATCCCTAAAGGGCTCTAGACCCTTCCTCAGCAAGACTTCACACATTCAAAAACTGTAGATGAGCTATGCCTGGGATCATGTAGTCATTACCTTTGATTAGATTTAATCACTCTAATTTATGAAGGACACGGAGTTGTTTGGTTCTGAATTGTAAAGACTGGTTGTGTATGTTTTATCAATTTGGTAGAAATTTTCCATCATAGTACATCATTTTGGATTTGTTTGTATGACTTAACAATTCCCATTATTCCCATTCTATTCTTCAATGGGCTGAATTCCCTTTTGGGGTGGTAGGCTGAAGATATCAGAAGAGGCCTCACTGGGGAGCCAGGAGTTAGTTATCATGGTGGTAATTGCAGATTTCAATAAGAGAAGACCCTCTAAGGCAATGGTAGGCATCCACGCTGGGGAACCTGAGATTTGGCATAAAGTATGCAGCTCAGTTACCTACCTTGAGGTAGAATTTCAAATCACATATTATTTGCATATCAACACAATTACCTCAGGTACTTATAAGCTGCTTAACCTTTGTGAAATTTATTAAACTCTCTCTGCCTCAGTTTCTTTATCTGTAAGATAGAAGAGCCTAGGATCTGATGGTTTTCCTGCTGAATACTTTATTTGTAAAACAGGGATAGCAATAGTACCTATTTCAAGGTTAATTGAGGTATTTTATATGAAGTGCTTAGAATAATTTGTGGCACATAGTTAAATGCTGAATAATATTGGCTATTAGTATTTTTGTTATCATTATTGCTTTGTATTTTATTCCTGTTAGTTTTTCTTGCTAAGGCTAACCAAACTAAATTATATTACCATTACTTATTTAGCCTCTAGCTTCTTTATGTCTAAATTGTTATGTTATCACCACTTCCTCCTCTGACAACTCCTATGATCCACACATGCTGTAATTTAACTTGCATCTGTTCTCACTCAATGCCTATACATTGAATCAATTCCATCCAAACTCCATAAATCCTCATCAGTGAACACAGTGATCAACAGCAGGGATTCCCCTACCTTGCCCATCTGGTTTTCCATACAGTATTTCCAACCTAGCTTTTTGGTTATTTATCTACTAGAATTTATACCCCATCTATTTAAAAAAGGACGGAGGCAGTAAACATCAATAACAGAAAGCTAGCAATACTCTCAAAATGAGCTAAATTGCCATGTTAAAGATTTAGAATGTATGTGAAATTCTTTTCCTAAGAGCAAGGGTCATTAAATGCTAGAGAGGGTTGCCAGATTATTTAAACTAAAATATCAGAGCTTTAGGCTCACATATTTGTATGCAAGTGATATGTGAACACAGGGCAGAATGCTCAGACATACAGCCAGCAAGCTCACAGATCATATTATATCAAAACATCCCATTAATTACCAGGTAATTTTACTAAAACAAAAATAACAAATAGGATTGATAAAAAGCTGTGGAAGGGATGTCTGGATTAAAGAAGCAGGCATTAAAAATATTAAAATGACATATACTTTCAGTTAATTACTGTTCTAATCACAATTGTAGCTTTATGCGTTAAGAAGATCAATTCTTTCTAATCTTCTCTAATAAAAAGAAAAACATGGGCGTACATACTTGTTATGGACTCCATGTTTGTTTCTTTCCAAAATTCATATGTTGAAACTCTAACCCCCAAGTGGGATGGTATCAGAAGGTGGGGCCTTTGGAAAGTAATTAGTTCATGAGGATGAAAACTTCATGATGGGATTAGTGCTCTTATAAGAAGAGACATGAGAAAGCTTGCTTCCTTTTTCTTTGCTCTTTGCCCTGTGAAGACATAGTAAGAAGATGTACATCTGCAAACCAGGAAGGGAGCCCTCGCCTGACAACTAGATCTGCCAGCACCTTGATCTTGGATTTTCTAGCCTTTAGAACTGCAAAAAATAAATGTTTGTTGTTTAAACCACCCAGTCTATGATAATTTATTATAGCAGCCTGAGCTAAGACAATACTTAAAAATATGGTTCCCAGGCCCATCCAAGATGCTTTAAATCAGAATCTTACTGGGAGAGATTCCCAGTAAAACAAAATGTTTAACAGGTATACATGTGATTTGTATTTTTGATTGATGTTTGGAAAACACTGAGTTGGAAGATCATTTGGTAACCTGACCTGTCTCCTTTGTCTCCCACTGTGAGTCTTCATAGAATTTATCTTAGATTAGGGGAAATCATTAATGCTGCCCTAGTGAAAGATTACAAGTGAACATCATCAAAGGCCTAATGCCAGTTGGGAACCATTTACCATCTTTTAACCATAGAAGAATATTTTCAAGAAACCTTAGAGAATTTAAAGCTACAATATGGTTATCCTCTAGTTCTGACACTTATGGTCTGTGTGACTTTGTTGAGGACACTGACTTTTGATGCCTTTGGTTTTTCTACCTATAAAATGGAAATAATCACATAGTAGGTTCTTCATAAGATTGCAAGACCAAATAAAACAAAGAGCAAAATTTAACATAAATGTTAGTTATTATTATTATTATCATTCTTTCATTGGTGCTTCAGCTACCCAGGGATAATTTTCCCCATTAATCTTCAATTATTTTCTTCCTCTCTTGTCTTTTCAATGACATAGCTAAGGGTGCTTTTTTGTGCTGCACAGACTCTGTTCTCTCTCTCTTTTTTTCTTTTCATACCTTTTTGATCCAGAGAGGAATATTTAAGAGTTTCTATTCTTCATCCTTTCTTCTCTAAAGCTGAAGGCTGATGCCAGCGCAGCCATTTTTATCCCTCAGAGTAAGAGGGGAAATATGAACTTGGCTGTTGGCACTGCTGCTTTCTATGACTTCTCTTTTTTTAAAGGCAAAGTTATTCCACAACTTGACTAGTTGGAGCTGAGATAAATAAGCTTTCCAAAGCCACAGAACTCAGAATAGAACTTGGATTTCTGACTCATCAGAGGCAGTTTAAACATTTTCTCCATCTGTTCTAAACGCATAAAGAGACTGGTGGTTCTTGTGCTTCACTTATTGGTAGAATTAGGAAGGAATACCCATCCCATCTTAGCACATCTGCCTCCCCTATGGATGCATCCACCCACTACCTCATTCCCTGGGATGCCTGTTCCTCTAAAATTATGGAAATTATAGTACTTTGTGATATAGCCACAAAGGGATTGCAAATTTTCTATTGTTCAGAAAGTTTGAAGACCTTGAGTGAATAGAAAGGAGAATAATATGATGTGAAATCCAGGGTAAAATGTGGACAGCAGTAAACAAGAATAGAGGACTTGGAGAAAGCACGCCCTTGCACGTGATTTGTGTCTACTCTCACATGTCACACATGGATGCATATGCATGCACAGACAGTTGATTAAAAAGCCCCAGAATGACTAGAAGAGAACCACCAAATCAGAGTTCAGAGACCCTGAAGGACTACTTTCTACCTGACCCTAAGTGGTGAATCTGGGATTCTGTTTATTCTTTTCTAATAGATTTTATATCTTTCATGGTCTCTGATTCTTCTTAAATTCTAGTATGCTTGAGAATTATCACAGGGTATTGTTAAAATATAAATTCAAAAGCGAGAATATGATGTGGGGCCAGAGCACTACATTTCTAATAAGCCCCAGGAGATCTCCAAGCTGCCGCTCTGCTGACCACATTTTATGAGCAAGGGGCCCACCACATTTCTTAGTCAATAGCATGAACATTAAGTTGGAGAAGCGCTGAACTACAGTGATTCTCGAACTTGGGCTATACATTAGAACACCTGAGAAACTTGAAAATAGATCGATACCCAGACATTTGATTTAGTTGTTCTGGAATGCAGCCCAGACATTGAATTCTCAAGTGATTCAAATATATGGTTAGGTTTGAGAACTCTAGACTTATATCTACACCCTATATTGTTGGTTCCCAACATATAATCCCAGGTCAGCAGCATCAATATTAACATCACCTGGGAACTTGTTAGAAATGCAGATTCTCAGCCCCCAACCCCCCTAGGCCAACTAAACCAGAAACTCTGAGGGTGGAGCCCAGGAATCTGTATTACAACCTCTCAGATAGATACTAAGTTTGAGAACCTAGGGTTCCAGGAGAGGGCTTGTGAAAAGACATTGTTGCTCCCACTTGCCTAACTCTGTAGGTCTTGGAAGGGAGTAAGACCTTACTTTGAGGCCACAGGTCTCCATGAAGGAGATCAGGGAGAGAAAGACAGAGGCATTATGGCTTTAGCAGAGTTTACAAATGAACTTAACTAGGAAGGAAGAAAGTGGATTTAAAAACAAAATTAGAAGGTAGGGGCAGGAAGTATGGGAGAAACTAAAATGCTCAAAATGATTTCCAATTTTGTTTAACATCTTTCCCTAGTAGAAGGGAACTCTGTGATCACAATTCATGCTTTGCTTGTTAATTGTGGGATTAATGAGAAAAAGCATATAATGGCTTACATATAGGAATAAGAATCTATTTCCATATAACCTACTTATCTATAGACATTAATTCACTCAACAAACATGTATTAAGTTCCTACTCTATCAAGCATTATGCCAGATGCCAGAGAAACTAGGATGAATAGTCACAGTTCTTGTTAAGAAACAAATAGTTTCTTTGACCTTCATGTACTTATTTCTGCATTGATTCTTCCTCTCATTTTCACATGTTTCTCAAGCACTTACCATGCACCAAACAGCTTATGAGGTGCTAGGTATAGATTAGCAAATAAAACGGGTTAACCCTACCATTTAGGGGATCGCAATTTGTTGGGGAAACAAGCAAAATACGTATGTGAATGAATATGTAATTACAAATTAGGATAAATGCTCTGAAGGAAATGCACAGGACGTAATTATTGGAGTAACAGAGGAGGCACTAACTTCAGGGCAGGGTAGACCATCTTCAAAGGGACAATACACAAGCCCCAAAGGGAAGAGGCATGGTTACAGTCATGGCCAGCAGTCTGGGCTTGGAATCTAACATCCTGACTTTGGCTGGAAAATTTAGTAACTGTAAATCCTTGAACAAGTTACTTCGGTTTTCTCATCTGTAAAAAGCTCACAGGGATCTCATCAGAATTAAAGGAGATAATCTGTATAAAGTATTTAGTATGATACATGGCAAATTTTGAGTAATTATTATCTTAGAGAAATGCACCCATCCATGTGAGTATTTACTATGTGTTGGCTTTATTCATATTCTAGAAATACAGAGGCAAATAGCATGTCCGGAATTGGTGGGTTCTTGGTCTGACTTCAAGAATGAAGCCACAGACCCTCGCAGTGAGTGTTACAGTTCTTAAAGGTGGCGTGTCCAGAGTTTGTTCCCTCTGAAGTTCAGATGTGTTCCGAGTTTCTTCCTTCTGGTGGGTTCATGGTCTCGCTGGCTCCGGAGTGAAGCTGCAGACCTTCGCGGTGAGTGTTACAACTCTTAAGGCAGCGCGTCTGGAGCTGTTCGTTCCTCCCGGTGGGTTCATGGTCTCACTGGCTTCACGAGTGAAGCTGCAGACCTTCTCAGTGAGTGTTACAGCTCATAAAGACAGTACGAACCCAAAGAGTGAGCAGTAGCAAGAATTATTGCAAAGAGCAAAAGAACAAAGCAACCCCACTGCAGAATGTAAACTCAGCAGGTTGCCACTGCTGGCTCAGGCAGCCAGCTTTTATTCTCTTATCTGGCCCCACCCACATCCTGCTGATTGGTCCATTTTACAGAGAGCTGATTGGTCTGTTTTACAGAGAGCTGATTGGTCCGTTTTGACAGGGTGCTGATTGGTGCATTTAAAAAAATCCCTGAGCTAGATACGAAGTGCCGATTGGTGCATTCACAATCCCTTAGCTAGACATAAAGATTCTCCAAGTCCCCACCAGATTAGTTAGATAACAGAGTGCCAATTGATGCATTCACAAACCCTGAGCTAGACACAGGGTGCTGATTGGTGTGTTTACAATCCCTTAGCTAGACATAAAGGTTTTCCAAGTCCCCATTAGATTCAGGAGCTCATCTGGCTTCACCCAGTGGATGTCCCAACAGGGTGGCAGGTGGAGCTGCCTGCCAGTCCTGCACCGTGCACCCGCACTCCTCAGCCCTTGGGCGGTTGATGGGACTGGGCGCCATGGAGCAGGGGGCAGTGCTCGTCTGGGAGGCTCAGGCTACGCAGGAGCCCAGGGCGGGATGTCGCAGGGGTGGACTCAGGTATGGCGGGCTGCAGGTCCCGAGCCCTGCCCCTCGGGGAGGCAGCTAAAGCTGGGTGAGAAATCGAGTGCAGCGCCAGTGGGCCAGCACTGCTGGGGGCCCCAGCGCACCCTCCGCAGCTGCTGGCCTGGCAGGCAGGGCCGGCCTGTCGCTCCGAGTGCAGAGCCCGCCAAGCCCACGCCCACCGGGAACTCTAGCTGGCCTGCAAGTGCCGCGCGCAGCCCCAGTTCCAGGCAGTGCCTCTCCCTCCACACCTCCCCGCAAGCCGAGGGAGCCGGCTCCGGCCTCGGCCAGCCCAGAGAAGGCCTCCCACAGTGCAGCGGCGGGCTGAAGGGCTCCTCAAGCGCGGCCAGAGTGGACGCCGGGAGGCCGAGGAGGCTCCGAGAGCGAGCAAGGGCTGTAGAGGGCTGCCAGCACGCTGTCACCTCTCAATAGGAAGCGTTCTTTTCCTCAAAGAGCTTACACAATTGTGATTACAGAGTTTACACTGTGAGTACAAATTTTGCACAATATAAAAATTACCATAGTGCACATCACATTGAATGTTATGGAAGTAGTTACCACAGATAAATAAAAAGAGAAAAATCCCATATCCCAGGCTGGGGTGTTGGTAGACAAAATCTTTCCTAATTTTTTGTATGATAGATGTCAAAAGTGTTCCTAGTAAGCGTGTCCAGGGTACCTACCTTCTCTTTGGGAGCCTGGGGAAGGCTACATTATTTTATATAACCATGCATGATGGCAAAGCCGTATCTCCTTTCTCACTGCATGCTGAACTGCTGAAACTACTGAAAAAAAAATGTCGAATTGTTCAATAATTTATTAAGCATTGAACATTTTTTATTGCATTATACTCTATGAACAGGGAAGTTTGGAAGTACCAAGAGGCTAAAAAGTAGTGTTTTGTGGCTTCAGAGACTTCTAGTAATGGTAATATTATAAAAATAATAAGTACCATTTGTTGAGTTACTACTATGTTCCAGGCACTGCTATAGACCCTATATACACATTGTCTCATTTCATCCTCAGAAAAACCATGAGGTACCTATTTTCATATTATTTTTTAAACATGGTAATAACTGAGACTCGAGGAGTTAAGTGACTTAGCTAAGGTCACCAGATAGAAAAAAATGAGATGTGACAGAAATTGTATTTGATGCAAAAGCCTATGTTTCCTCCCCATCTCTCCATTCCACTGTCTCTTTCTGTTGCTTTTTGTTGTTATTGAGGTAAAAAAAAAAAAAAGGAGCAATCTCCATCTGTCTGTCTGTTTCTTTCTCTCTCTCTGTGTCTCTCTTGTTTTTGATTTCTCACACCTATCTGGCAAGAGGCATAGGTGGGGTTGGGATATGTTTTACTTTCCCACCTAAGGCTGAACTTATCTCCACACATTCTTTTTCAATCTACAGTTCCAAGTGTTTTGCTAATTAGAGACAATTGTTCTTCTCATATACTTCTTGTCTTTTCACATATGAGGTAAAATGGAGAAATAAGGCAATTGTGAGAATGCAGAATAGAAAATAAGTTTACTTACATTTTCTGACTGTCTTGAAACCTTAAGATTTGCACTTAGAAATGAATGGTCTAGGAAATAGAGTTGCAATTATACTCAGTATTAGACTTATTGATACAATACTTTTAATTTCTGTTGTGTAGAAAGAATATAGTGCACCAAGATATAGTCAAAATTTATTATGATTTTAGTGCTCATTAAATAATGATAATTATTGTTTCATCATTATTAAGCTGCAAAATGTTTTCTGAGGTACTCCATAATTCATAAAGTGTTATATGTATATGAGAGTAGGTAGCATCTTTTTAGAAGTGATACAACTTTGTTGCTATCCTTGCTATAGAAAGATCAGGTAGAAGGATTATGAGGATTGTTACCACAATTTGTTCTGCCAGCATTTTGGTGGTTGACCCTACTACCTCTGTTTCATAAGAAAATCAATTTGCGATATACTATAAAACAGTCAGAGGATTAAAGTAAGAAAATATCTATTCATTCGCCCTATGTTTATCTTTCTAGATCTCCGTTTTGTCAGCTACCCAGTTGATCCAGTTCCTTCCAGCTCTACTGTTTTGGCTCTCCAGTTAAAAACTGCCAAAACAGTCACCAGTTCCTCATTTGTATTTTGTGTTTTCCAGATATGATTGTTGATGACTGATTTCTGAGCAATGATGTCAATGAAAAGTTATAACTTTAGGCAAGTGGGAATGATTCATTTGTGCATCACATTAATTGTTCTCAACTTTTCTAAACTTACCAAATTATGTAATTCATGAGCACCTAAAGTACCTTGAAAATTTTAAAACATTGCTTTAAAAAAGTAAGGTTATAAGTTTATATTATTCTTTTAAGATAAATGTAAAAATAGCAATCTCATACTAATATGGGACTTGCAACATTGCATAAGTTATTTCATTTAATCTTGTCAATTCAATGAACTGTTCTCTTTATATCTAGTTCATACATGAAATAACACAGCAGATCATGAAGTTTCAAAATTACATGAGTTCAAACCCTGACTTCACTGCTTACTTAATTATGTGGCATGAATAATTTAACAAACCTTGTAAGTCTCAATTTTCTTAATGTGTATGTAATGGACAAAATATAATAATACCTAACTCCATAGGGTTGTTCTGATAATTCAATAAGATAATAAATATAAAACTTTTTAGCATAGTATCTAGTATACAAAAAGAATTTAATACAAAGACTCTCAGGAGGCATGAGCAGTTCTCAAGCTCCCATGGAGATTTAGAACTGTCCAATGACCAAAACCCCACCTTTGTCATCTTCAGTCCAGTCAACACATTTTACAGTTAGAGAAACTTGATTCAGTGTTATTAACTTTTATTTTTTAAATTTTAAACAAGAAATTTATTTATACAACCAGACACTTGATATGAAGCCAAGCATGTACAACAGTGTTTAATCCTGTGGTTCCCATTGTACTGAGCAGAATCACCATGGCAACAACACATCATCAGTGAGGAGTGATGACAGCAAAATGACAGAGAAAAAGTTCTCCAGCTTCTCTCCACTGCACTCCTACAGAATTTCAACTGGCAATTATCTAGTGGCAAGGTTACCACCTGAATATCCCAGAAGTTGGGAGCAAAAGTGTGTCATTCCATTGGACCACAGAGCTGAGAAAAAACATAGTGAAGTGATAAGAGAAATGAAATGTGCTCTGTGACCACAATGGCCACACCCCCAAACTTACACAGCACCACAAGCAGAAAAGTCCTCTGTATGTACAGTTTCTACAGTGAAAAAAGTGAAGTAGAGGTGGGCATTCAGCTTTCCCACCATTCTGAGACTTTTATGCAGGAGGATCTCTCCAGTCCTTTCCCATGGGAGGCATTGCAAGTGCGAATAGGACTAGCCCAACATGGGTCAATTAGAAACAAAGAATAGGGGTTGAGTGCACAGCAGCCAATTCATAAGCCTTGGTGCCAGCCTCTACAGAACTGGGCTTAGGCTACCCTCTATTGCTACAATAGATACAGTGGTCATGTGCTAAGAGATCAAAACAGCAGTCTGGTCAGTAAGAATTTTTGTACAGGTATACTGTGTGAGGATTGTCACAAAGTGAGACTATGAAGACTGGAATAAATACTTACATATTCAGTGTTCAGACACTGATAACCACAAAAATCAAGAACAATTAGGGAAACATGACATCACCAAAAAGTCAAATCAAGGTGCCAGTGACTTGACTCTAAAGAGACAGAGATGTGTGATTTTCCTGATTAAAGATTCAAAACAATTGTTTCAAAAAAGCTCAGTGATCTTCAAGAAAATGCACAGAAGCACTTTAGAAATTGTCAGATAAATTTAACAGAAAGATTGAAATAATAAAAAATAATTAAACAGAAATCATAGAGCTAAAAAGTAGAAGGAATAAAATAAAAAATGCAACAGCGAGCGTGAACAATCAGATTCAATTCTTGTAAAACTATCCCAAGACATATGATAATAAAACTCTCAAAGGTCAAAAATATGGAGAGATTTATAAAAGCAGCAAGTGAAAGAAAGCAAATAACATATGAGATTCCAATACACCTGGCTGCAGACTTCTTAGCTAAGAAGGCCAGGAAGAAGTGGGATGATGTATTAAAAGTACTGAAGGAAAAAAACAAACAGCCAATCAAGAATACTGTACCCAGCAAAGATAGTGTTCAAAATGAAAGAGAGACAAATACTTCCCCAGACAAACAAAAGCTGAGGAAGTTTATCACTACCAGATCTGTCTTACAAGAAATGCTAAAAAGAGATTTTCAAACAGAAGGAAAAGGACAATAATGAATAATATAAAAACATCTGAAGGTATAAAACTCACTGGCAAAATTAAGTATATAATCAAATTCATAATACCCTAATAATGTAATCATAGAATATAAACCTCATGTCTTTAGTATGAAAATGAAAAGACAAAACTATTAAAATAATAACTATAACTGGTTATGGAATATGCAATCAAAAAGCTGTAAATTGTAATATCAAAAATTCAAAATGTGGAAGTGGAGAGGAGTTAAATTATATAATTTTTTGTATTCTTGGCTTTTTGTTTTCACTTTTTTTAGCAATCAAAGTAAGGTTGCCAGTTTAATTCAGTAAGTGTCTGTGATGATTATCATTGTTCAAGATTATAGAGCTAATACATGATGCAGCTGAAACCTGAATTCAATGCTTACCAATGTACTATGTTTCCAGAGACGTCATTAGTCTACAATAATTTGTGAGCAATTATACCCAATATTTGCTGGAGTATGCTGGTTTGAAACTATTGTTTTGAAGGTCTTCAACCTGTTAGATCAATTCTCCACCTAGCAGCAAAATGACCTTCTAAATATATAAGTAGGATCACAGCACATTCCTTCCTAAGCTCCTTCAATGGCTTTCCATTGTTCCTTCCATAAAATCTAAATTTCTTATCATGGCCTGAAAGGCCCTACATGATCTGGTATCTGCCCTGCCTGTTACAACTTCCACTTTTTATTCACTTTGCTCAGCAATACAATGTCCTTTCCCTTTCTTGAAATTGACAATCTGTTCACAGCATCAGGGATTTTACACCTGATATTACCTGTAACTGGAAGAATCTTCATCTTTCTTTTCTTTTGGTTAATTTGCATTCATCTTTTAACCCTCAGCTTACATATTTTACTTTCAGAGAAGACACCGTTGACTACATCACTTCCTCAGTTTCTCACCTCTGATAAATGACATCAGTACTTCATAGCACTTATTATAAGTGTTCATTATGTATTTATGTATTTATTTGCTTAATATTTGCCTCTACTAATATACTGTTAACCTTATAAGAGTAGAGACTTATTTGTTTTGTGCAATACTATGTGGACTGCAAAAAGAGTCTCATTTATTTATAGGCATCCTTTGCCAGACATTCTACCATTCCAACAAGTTTGAACCTCCTTGAGATATATAGGTACCTGTGGTTGTGTAATCATATAGAAAGTTTTATGGAAAAATGTCATAAATAGTATGTGTTTATTATATAACTTTATCAATTTTTAACTATGTTCACTTTATATTTTTAAAATATAAAATAATTCAGATATGGTTGAAGACTCCACTCTATTCAGAGGTAATCATTTTGTTGAATTTGGTATTTATCACCTCCATGCCTGTATATATATTTATTATTATAGATGTATATATCTTAAAAAATATGCAGCATTATTTAGCATATTTATATATTTTATGCAAAGAATTTATCATTGTGATTGTATCATACTGCATTATTCTTTTTTTCCTCCATATTATGTTTTAAATTTTTATCTAGGTATCAACCTAGATATCAGTAGTTCCAGTTCATTAATTTTCATGAATATATCCTATGAAATTTGATGTATATACTGCATTTGTTTGTTATCTTGATGATGAACATTTATGCCATTCCCAATTTTTCCTATCTGTATCAAGGCTGTAATGAACTAGTTTTTCATGTCTCTCTGTGAAAATCTGCAAATTTTCTCTAAGAATTAATCCTCAAAGTAAAGGTTTACAGTCAAAGAACAAGTTCATCTTCAAATGTACTAGATATTTTCAAAACATTCTCCAAAACATACTGATTTATTTTATGTCAGCAGGATATGAGAGTTCCTTTTTCTTCATAGTCTTGTCAGTACTTAACATTGTCGAACTTTTTAAATTTGCTCATCTGTTGGTTGTGGAATGGTATTTTATTGGCTTAAAGACTCCTTGTATACTGAAATGTAGTAGATATTCAGCAAATAGTTATGCTTTATGGTATTACTGCAGAACATTTCATACTAGTACCTGAATTCAGTTTTATGCATATCAGGCAGAAGATATTAAATACGATCCCAGTAGATGAATATCTCCAAAAACGATGACATTCAAAGTAGAGTGTTGTTATAAGATTAAGAAATCCTTCCTCTCTCTTGTTACCTCTAATAAGTGAATAGTGAAATGAGCATCTTTTTTGAATTACGATTTTAACAGATAAATTATTTGAAATAGAAATGTTCGTTGAAGTTTCTCTTTCTCTTCTTTTTTGTTTCCTGCTTTAGGAGGCAGCAGTGTGGCTTGTGGAGGTGAGGAGATGGCATGTGGGGTGTGGGGGATGAAGGGGTATTAGTCACACCCAAGGAACTAGTGGCAGGGCCAAGGGCCAAGAAGCAGCCCTGCTGGGATCTGAGGAGATGGTGGTGCTGGGAAGCTGCAGGGCCAAGGGCTGCTGAGGTGTCCAGCGTGGTCCAGAGATTGGTTACTGACAGGAGGATTAAGCACTTACTGACAGAGAAGGGATTTATACACATAGAAAAAAAGAAGACAAGAAAGAACCCTCAGGTAGTAAGTTGGAATTGGTAGTATGTATTTTATCCAGCAGAAGCAAGCTAGTCAGGGCATGTTCTTAAGGCAATTAAAGGAAACAAGAGCGGGAAGGGAAATACGACATGCATTTTCAAGCCTCTTCTTGCATTCACTCTACTATGAAACGAGTGACCAAAAGCAAATGACTTATCTAAGCCCAGAGTCAGAATAGAAAAGGACTACTAACTTACAGGGCACATGGCTTGGATACAGGTAGGTCACATTAGTTGAGGCCATCATTATAATTCATCAACTACATACTCCTTCAGAGAACTGCCCTACAGTTACAAACACAGCCATATTATCCCTTAAATGGGCTATGAAATGAGCTATTGGTAAATATCTCCTTTGGTAGATCACTCCTTTGGTAAATAGCTCATTGATAAAATATTCATGCTGTCTCCACTTTTTGTGTTCATACTATTATTTTCAGTTTATTTGTTGTGTTTATGACTTCAGCCCCATAAATTTTTAGGTCTATTGGCGTTAGACAGTTTCTGTTTATTTCCTGATATGAAATGAGAGAATTAAAGCATTTATCACTTTTCCATAATTATTCTTTTGTCTATGTCATCTTTTCTCTATGCTATATTTTCATTAAGATTTATCTTAATATTTATCAGCTTTATATACCTATGTCTTTCATACTTTATCAGTTGATATCACATACTGAAACTCACTGCACACAATTCACAGTATTATAATTACATACATATTATTCACTGTGGGACCAAGAAGTGTGTGCTACTCAGAGAAGGAATTGTTACTCAGTGTCAGTCATTTAAACTATGATAGGGGAATTTTCTAAGCATCTCATTTTAAATGATTCCCTTTTCTATACTTTTAAGCTTTCTTCCCTTCTTTTGCGTGATACTTAAATATACATCCTAGACCATCCTCATTCTTGGATCACATATTCTTTTTTCATTTTCTTGGATTACCTTATTGTGTAATTTCATTTATTCATAGAATATGTGAGTTGTAGACTTTCTAAGTTCTTGACTGTCACTAAGTGCCCTAATTTTTCTCTCCTGCTTGATTGATATTTTTTAGGCATAAAGTTTTGATTGTGACTCTTTTCTCCTAGAGAAGGTTGAGGATGGCACTGCATTATTCTCTGCTCCTTAAGTTGTTGAATCTTTATAATTTTCATTGAAAGCATAAAATTTCACCTGGATATGGGTGTTTTCATTTGTTCTGTTAAGTATGTGATTGGTTCTTCAAACTAACAGATTTAGTGCCTTTCTTCAATATGGGGAAAATTATCTCATTATTTTTCTGAGCTGCACCCTGTATTGTTATCATCTCTACCTGATTGATATTCCAATAGATCATAATTGACTCAAACATTTGAACACAATCTAAAGAATTGTATGCTATCAAATATGTACATGTATATTACCAAATGTTCTGTATTCTGGTCTGTTCCTTTTCATTTTATTTTATTTTTAAAAATGCTGGTTATAGAGCACTAATTTGGTATCATGACCATATTAGTTTGCTTGGGCTACTATAAAAAATTAGCAAAGACTGGGTGGCTTAAACAAAATAAGTTTATTTCTCATAGTTCTAGAGGCTGGAAAGTACCATCATCTGGGTACCAGTAACCCCGTTTCTGGTAAGGGCCCTCTTCTTGGCTTGCAGATAGCCACTTTCTTGATATATCCTCACATAGTTGAGAGAGCACTCTTGTGTCTCTTCTTATAAGGGCACTAATGCTATTGTAGGAGCTCCACCCTCATGACCTAATTAGCTCTCAAAAGCCCCATTTCTAAATACAAACCTATTAGGGGTTAAGATTTTCAAAATATGAATTTTTAGGAAACACAATTCAGTCCATTGCAATGACTTACTAATGGGCTATATCTGCAGCTTGAAACACAATGTATTTGGTTAATATGTCTTTTTAAACTATTCTTGACATTTCTAATATATATTTCATATTTTCAGCTCTTTTGATATATATGTTACAGTTTTAAATTTATCTTTTGTGTTAGTAAATTGGTCTTAAGCTGATTTTGATGTATTAATTTGTCAATCTATTTCATTTGAAATTTTATTTTGTTAATTATGTTTTTAATTTCTAAGAACAGTTTCTTACTTTCTAAATACTGTTTATATAGCAGCCTATTCTTGTTTTATGGCTACAATGACCTCTTTTTAAAAATTAAAATATAATTCACATAACATAAAATTCACTATTTAAAAGTATACAATTTAATGGAGTATTTTTGTGTATTGATTATGTTGTATAATCATCACCACTATATCTGTACCTATTAGCAGTCAGTTCCAATACCTCCCTTTCCCTACTATTTTTCATTCTGGTGGATTTGCCTAATGTAGACATTTTGTGTAAATGAAATCATATAATATGTGGCTTTTTGTGTCTGTTTTCCTCTACTTACAACAATATTTTCAGGGTTCATCCATGTTGTAGCATGTATCAATTCTTCATTCCTTTCCTTTTTATGTGGCTAATATTCCATTGTATAGACATACTACATTTTATTTACCCATTCATCAGCAGATAGAAATTGGTTGTTTCTAATTTTAGGCTATTTTGAATAATGCTACTAGGAACATTTTTGTACAATTGTTTTTTAAATGTGCTTTCAATTTCATACATTTATATTTAAAAGTGAATTGCTGGTATATTAGTCCATGTTCACACTACTGATAAAGACATACCCGAGACCGGACAATTTGCAAAGGAAAGAGGTTTAATGGAGAACTCGCATTGCACATGGCTGGGGAAGCCTCACAATCATGACAAAATGCAAGGAGGAGCAAGTCTCATCTTACATTGATGGATGGTAGCAGATAAAGAGAGGTTGTGCAGGAACCCGTCCCCCCACCCTTATAATAACCATCAGATCTAATGAGACTTACTATCACAAGAAAAGCATAGGTAAGACCCACCCCCCTGATTCAAATACCTCCCACTGGGTCCCTCCTACAACACGTGGGAATTCAAGATGAGATTTGGTTGGGGACACAGCAAAATCATATCATTCCACCCTGTGCCCCTCCCACATCTCATGTCCTCACATTTCAAAACTAATCATGCCTTCGCATAGTCCCCCAAAGTCTTAACTCATTTCAGCATTAACCTAAATGTCCACAGTCCAAAGTCCCATCTGATAAAGGCAAGTCCCTTCCACCTATGAGCCTGTAAAATCAAAAGCAAGTTAGTTACTTCCTACATACAGTAGAGGTACAGGTATTGCATAAAGCCATTCCAAATGAGAGACATTGGCCAAAACAAAGGGGATAGAGGCCCCATGTAAGTCCAAAATCTAGCAGAGCAGTCAACTCTTAAAGCTCCAAAATGATCTCCTTTGAATCCATGTCTCACATCCAAGTCACACTGATGCAAGAGGTAGTTGGTTCCCATGGTCTTGGGCAGTTCCGCCCCTGTGGCTTTGCAGGGTATCGCCTCTTCCTGACTGCTTTCATGGGCTAGGGTTGAATGTCTGTGACTTTTCCAGGCACATGGTGCAAGCTGTCAGTGGATCTACCATTCTGGGGTCTGGAGGATGGTGACCCTCTTCTCACAGTTCCACTAGGCAGTGCCACAGTAGGGACTCTGTGTAGAGGCTCTGACCCCACATTTCCCTTCTGCACTGGCCTAGCAGAGGTTCTCCATGAAGGCCCTGCCCCTGTAGCAAACTTCTGCCTGGACTTCCAGGCATTTCCATACATTTTCTGAAATCTAGGCAGAGGTCCCCAAACCCCAGTTCTTGACTTCCATGCACTCAAAGGCTCAATACCACGTGAAAGCTGCCAAGGCTTGGGGTTTGTACCTTCTGAAGCCATGGCCTGAGCTTTACATTGACTCCTTTCAGCCATGGCTGGAGCAGCTGAGATGCAGGGCACCATGTCCCTAGGATACACACAGCATGAGGACCCTGGACCTGACCCACAAAGGCATGTTTTCCTTCTAGGCCCCCAGGCCTGTGATGGGAGGTGCTGCTGTGAAAACCTCTGACATGCCCTGGAGACATTTTCCCATTGTCTTGGGGATTAGCATTCCTCACTACTTATGCAAATTTCTGCAGCTGGCTTGAATTTCTCCTCAGAAAATGAGATTTTCTTTTCTATCGCATTGGCAGGTTGCAAACTTTCCTTTTATGCTCTGCTTGCCTTATAAAATGGAATGCCTTTAACAGCACCCAGGTCACCTCTTGAATGCTTTGGTGCTTGAAAATTTCTTCCTCTAGGTGCCCTAAATCATCTACCTCAAGTTCAAAGTTCCACAGATCTCTAGGGCAGGGGCAAAATGCTACCAGTCTCTTTGCAAAAACACAACAAGTGTCACCTTTGCTACAGTTCCCAATAAGTTCCTCATCTCCATCTGAGACCAACTCTGCCTGATCCTTATTGTTCATATCACTATCAGCATTTTTGTCAAAGCCATTCAACAAGTGTCTAGGAAGTTCCATACTTTCCCACATTTTCCTATCTTCTTCTGAGCCCTCCAATCTGTTCCAACCTCTGCCTGTTGTCCAGTTCCAAAGTCACTTCCACATTTTCAGGTGTCTTTTCAGCAACAGCCCACTTCTGGTATCAATTAACTGTATTAGTCCGTTTTCATGCTGCTGATAAAGACATGCCCAAGACTGGGCAATTTACAATAAAAGGAGGTTTAATGGAGAACTCACATTTCCCCATAGGTGGGGAAGCCTCACAATCATGGTGGAAGGCAAGGAGGAGCAAGCCACATCTTACATGGATGGAGGTGGATAAAAAGAGCTTGTGTAGAAAAACTCCCCCTTAAAATAACCATCAGATCTCATGAGACTTACTCACTATCATGAGAACAGCACAGGAAAGACCTGCCCCCGTGATTCAAATACCTCCCACCAGGTGCCTCTCAGAACACATGGAAATTCAAGATGATATTTGGGTGGGGATACTGCCAAACCATATCAGCTGGGTAACATGGTAAATTTGCTTAACTTTCAAATGAACTACCAAAATATTTTTACAGTGGCTTTATCGTCTTACATTCCTACCAAAAGTGTATGAAGGATCCAACCTCTGCACATCCTCCCCCCAACTTGTTTTCTGCTTTTTTTTTTTTTTATTGTAGACATCTTTGTGATTGTGTAGTGATATCTCATTGTGGTTTTGATTTGCACTTTGCAAATGATGAATGCTGATGAATATCTATGTGCCTAGTTGCCATTTGTATATCTTTGAAGAAATGTCTATTCAAATTCTTTGCTTGTTGTTTAGTGTATTATTTGCTTTTGATTCTTTAAGTTGTAAGACTTTATATATTCTGGATACTAGACACTTACTGATATATGCTTTGCAAATATTTTGTCCCATTTTGTGGGTTATCTTTTCACTTTCTTTTTAGTGTATTTTTATGCACAAAAGGTTTTCATTTTGATGTGGTTCAATTTATCTATTTTGTCATTGATTGTTTGTGCTTTTGGTATCATATCTAAGCAACAGGTCTAATCCAAGGTCATGTAGACTTACGCCTGTTTTCTTCTAAGTTTTAGCTCTTCAGTTTAGGTCTTTGATCTATCTTGGGTTAAGGTTGGTATAAAATACAAGCTAGAAGTTCAAATTATCTATTTTGCATGTGAATGTCTGGTTTTCTCAGCTCTGTTTATTGAAAAGACTAGTCTACTCATTCAATTGTTTTGTTATCTCTGCTGAAAGTCAATTGACCATAGAAGTATGGGTTTATTTCTGGATTTTCCATTTTATTCCATTGGTCTATATGTCTTTCCCATGCCAGTATTATACTCTTTTGTTTACTGTTGCTTTGTAGCAAGTGTTGAAATTGGGATTCTTCTAACATGTTTTTTCTCTTAATATTGTTTTTATAGTCACTTGCATTTCCATAAGAATTTTAGGATTAGTTTGTTCATTCACCACTGCCTCTTGAATTTTTCTGAAGCATGAGGCTACTTTAAAATATAATTTTATAATACATTTTTTGTCCCTAATGAGCTATCATTCCTCTCTTTACTTATCTTGATTTTGCTCATCAGTGTTCTTTGTTTTTCTCAGTTGTTTGATCTTCTGTGTAAAGTAGGTGTCCATGTATATCTGTTGATGAAGTGAATGAATAAGTGACTGTCAATAATAATGGGTGCAAGTTAGGTCAAAATTTATCCCCTCTAGATTTATTCCTTGCTGAAATGCCAGGAGTGACTCTGATTAATACATACTCTACACAACTCATGATTTATGTGCTTAGTTTAAGGCATAAATATTATTAATATTCTTAAGTAATTTTATCTTGTTTATTCCTTTAGATAGAGATAAGATCTTTTGTATATCTGTTTCTTTCCTTCTCTCTCTCTTTCAACTTCTCCTTTCCTATCCTGCTTTCTTCTGCCACAGTGGTGCTAGTAATGCAGACTCGTTAGCCCTGAATTCAG
Source organism: Homo sapiens (assembly GCF_000001405.40). Taxonomy (NCBI): domain Eukaryota; kingdom Metazoa; phylum Chordata; class Mammalia; order Primates; family Hominidae; genus Homo; species Homo sapiens. The sequence continues at coordinate 118,256,643 of NC_000003.12, read as the reverse complement.
CTGAACAGAAAGAGCAGTCACTGGGCAGATTTACTTCATCTTTACAGTTTCTCTTGGGTTCATACAATTGTATGGTAATCTTTCCCTTGTCATTGACATAGGTATTAGAAAGTCCTAAATCATACAAAAATTTACAACCGATAAAATAAATTTTTATGAGAAAACTCATCTCAAGAGAGCTAGTAGAAACTACATAATCTACATACAATTTAATAAATGTAAAAGGCATTTGACATTGGTGTGTATGAGCTCATTTTGAAAGACTCTTCCTATATTGGAGTATTCCTGTTAGAAGTCTACCTTTCCCTATGGGATCCAAAGGTTGAGGCAGCTATGATATAGAAAATTGCCCTAAACTTCGCAAATTAGATGCTGCTCACACACGCTTTGACTATTGAGGAAGTAAAACAAAGATTAAGGCATGCGTAGAGATTATGTGTGGCCTCTGCTATGGAACCATGAGCCCTATGTCCCAGCAGAGAGTGTCCTAGCAGTGAGTGAAGTTCAGGGGTAGGGCTTCTAAAGTAAGATCTTACTTTTATTTATTCTTTGTTCCTTTTCTAAACTTGGCTGTATAGCATTCCTGATAATTTTGTAAGCTACCCAATATCATTCAAATAAATCATCTTCCAATAAATCCAGTATAGTTTGGTTTCTGTGGTTTGCCACAGCTGCTGGTACAAAAAAAATCAATTAAGATAGTTCTCTAAAGAAAACCCAAATTAAAAACACTAAAAATCTTAAACTATGAATGATACATAAGTGCTTGTAATTTCCATTTGTGATTCTTTACCTCATAAATATATTTTTGGATCACTTTCCTCAATAGACTTAATTCATATATTTAATTTTAATATGTTAAACAACATTTTTTAATCCTTCACCTGGTACTACAACCAAATATTAAAGAGCTACCTGATTGTGTGACTTGTAGCTAGTAAGCCCTGTCTCCTCTTCTCACTAAGCACCTATCCTTTTACACAAATACCTTTTACACAAATGTACCAACCATCAGAACACAAATAGGACACAGAGATTTGCCCTCTCCTATCTTCCCTTACTTTACCTAGAAGATCATTGCAAAATGTATTTTTTTCTGCCACCCATTTTATATTCTTTTTTCTACCCATTCCCTGATTTCTTATTTATGTAATTATCTTCAGTAGAAGCAACTCAAAACTCAAACCATTCATATGTCTTAGAACAGCAATTTTTATTGTTGAAAATTCACTAGTAATAATATTCTCCACTATTCTAGTACAAGCCACTATAATTTATTGGATGTAATTATTAGCTTCTGGTTCAGTCCTCAAATAACACAAACTCCTAGGACAATCCAACATTAATCATTTTGTGGAGATTTTCTATGCAGTGCTTCTATCACAGAAGAATCCTGGGAGGCTTATTTAGTCCCCATACTGAAGAGGAAGGAAGCTCTGCTTTTTCTGTGTTCATGGGTGCTGCTGCTTTTTGTTCCAGAAAAGAAGAACAAATGCATTCCCAAATGCTATGGCAACAGGCAGCTGGAATTGAGTGGCATCAACCCCCTTTAGGCAGGACATGAACCCACTAGCTTGCCAGTCTCTAACATTTCCTACCGTATCCCAAAAGTCCAGGGGTCAGCTATAATTTACCTTACCAGGTCAGCATTGGTCATTTCCATGTCTGCCTCTTCCTTGAAAGGCTTTGAGTTTGTGAACTCTGGCCGTAGACCCATAGACCATCAATGGACAAAAGCTTATTTATCATCTGAGTGACTCATTTACTTAGCAACTTCTCTTTTGTCTAGAAACACGATGCTGATTATTGTTCCCCTAGCTCTTATGGAAGAACAGTCCGACCTTAAGAGCAAAAGAAGTTGACTTCCCACTAGTGGGGAAAAAAAAAGATTCCTCCATGTTTGCTTTTTTCCTACCATGTTAAGAAACAGTATTAGGCAATTTCTCAATAGGCTCTCCAGCTACCTGTACTTTGCAGCAAGTCATCCTGTTACCCAGGCAAGACACATTTCATTTGAGGGGAGCTCATGCTTGCAGAGGGTTTACTGGACCACATACACTTCCCGGCTATAGTTTCCACTGGTCACTGGATGATTATAAATAACAGCAAGTGTTTAGAACACAGAATATAGAATTCTAAAAAGTTTTCAGGAAAGGCTGCCAGCTGACTAGGCGTCAGAGTAGGCACCATGTAACTGCAAAGCCAAGTGGGAAATGAACCAGCTGCAGCAGCTACCCCTCTGAGGGTGGCCAGATGTAGCTGCTGTCTAGTTTATTTTATTTCAGAGATGGAAAGTGTAGCGACAAGGAGTGGAGGGTGTCTCTCAGGACTCCCTCGTGCCACCAACACAGGCAGCCAGTTTGGGCTTCCTGAGGAAACTTCTCTTCCCCCACTCTCTCCAGACTCTTATTGTTTGGGCCGTGATGGTCAACACTGGAATAGAAGATGCATCTCTTCCCAGGGGGCTTCTGCCATAAATGGCAAGCAGCCAGGGCTGAAGTCATGTTTCTGTTGTGTGCCCAGAAGTATATCCAGGACCCAAGCTGATAAAAGAGATGCTTATGTTTTTTCCAAGGTGCACTTGTCAATTATGGAGAAGAGAGCAACTCCAATTTCCTTCTGAGATCTCAACTGCCCTTTTCGGGAAGCTAAGTAGTGTGATGAATTATTCATTATTACGATGCCTCAAATCTCTGTGTCACCTTTTTTGAAGGCCTCTCACAGTTTCTGAAAAAAAAAAAAAAAATACCACATTTGTATACTTAAATTTGCTGGCTGAATAGGCATAGGAGTCCCGTCTAACAGGAAGACAGATACAGTATCTGGAAAATTACTTAAATGAAACCAGTTAGGTGAATAGAATCTGGGCAATGGTTCCCTTTCTATGGCTGATTGAGGTTGTGAAGATCTCTCTTTTCCCTGCTTGCCTTATTGTGGTTATTTCTTGAATAAACCCTGGAATTAACAGAGATCTTGAGAATCACTTTGGGATTACCACAGGGTTTAGAGGCCATTTGCCACCCAGCACCCACCAACGTTTATTACCACTAATTTTAGCCATCTGAAGTAGGCAAATTTCCCCTAGGCCAATTGAATTAATCAGGTATGCCACAATAATGCAGTGTAACAAACCATCCCAAAATATCAGTAGCTTCCTAAAACAAGCTCTATATTGCTTGAAGTTCTGTGGGTCAGCCGCAGTAGCTCTGTTTTAGGGAGGAAGTTAGCTAAGTTTGGTTTCAGGCTTAATTTTAGGTTAATTTCAGACCATCTGCATGTGTTGCTTTGGTTGAATGGCTATCTAGGAATATTTTCTTGGTGAATGACCGGAGTTCAAGAGAGCAAAAGGAAATGTGAGAGGTTTTTTCAGGACTTAATGTAGAACTGGAACACCTCCACTTTCACCTACGTAAACCATGGCTAAACTCCATATTACTGGGGAAGGGAAATAAACTCTTTCCATTCTAGAAGATAGTACCACAAAGTCACATGGCAAAGGACTTGTGTAAGTAGTTCTAAATCAGGAAGGGCATTCAGAGTGGCATCTAATGACTTAATCTTCCACAGCAATAAAGAACACAGAAAGGAAATCTACCTGAAATGATGGAATAGAGAAAAAAATTGATTATTAGACAGTGAAATTATACCTATTAGGAATTTAAGTAGGCTATTCTTGGAAAGGTAGTTATAGGTTGAGGAGCATGTCTTGAACTGGACACAGAACCAATTAGAGGATGTGAATGTTATTAGATACAAGTTATTTAAAATACTTACATGTTTTGCAAGTTATTAAACAATTCCCACAAAGAGTTTTATCTGGAAAGTATAACTCTGCTAAGATGAGATAAGAAAAGAGAGAGGTTGAGTGAATAAGTATAGAAAGGAGAGAAAGGGTAAGAAAAAACTGGTCAGAAAAGATACAAACTGTATCGGTGTGGTACATTCTGGAACAAACTTTAGGAGGGTCAAGAAGTCATCATTCTAAAACCATTCTTCCTAGTTCAGACTAACTAGTCTCTAAGTTATGGAGATTCTTCACAAAAATTTTAAAAAATGATGTGTGTTTGTTCTCAGTTATTTAAAAGATGCATTCCACAAAAACATAAAATGACAAAAATATAGAATTTTAGATTAAAGTATATTCTGTTCAGGTTGAGTACCCAATATCTATCCTCCCCTTCTCGTTTATTAAGAGAATGCAATGCTTACGTGGGTGACAATGTACCCAGTGAAAAATGCATATTTTTAACCTCTATTACAGCTATAGATGGCTCTGTGACACAGTTATGGCTGATTAGGTATAAGTTTTTGGATGGGTCTTTTAGGTAAGCTTTTAACAAAGGAGTATGCTTTTCTGGACACTGTCTTGCCCTTCTTCCAATCTAGATGCAATTGCTGGAGACAGAACAGCCTTCTTGAAATCACAAGTGAAAAGCATAAAATCAAAAGTTACTCACTGAGCAGAAATATTAGAGTATTGCTCCCTGCTGGCATTGGAGAGCCTCTATGCAGCCTTCACTCTCTACCTCCCATACTTATTTTTATGTGAGAAAAATAAGCCTCTGAAGCTGGTTCAGCCACTGTAGTTGGATTTCTGCTACCAGTACAAAATATGTTCCCTTACTAAGAGAGTGGTGGAGGGTCATTAGAGATCAGCTAATCAGCCCTTTCCTCTTTATTTTACAGTGAAGGAAACAGCAGTTCTAAAAAGTAAAGTGATGTGCTCAAGGTCAGGCAGCTGGAGGCCTCAACAATTCTTTCAACAGTGTGAACTAAGGGTTAGGACTATAGAACCATGTGTGAATTAACCTAAAAAATAACCAATCAAAAGGACGCACAGCACAGTTGTATTGTGCTTCTAAGCTCTGCATTCAATGCATGCTTCTGCCCATGTGAACCTGACATGAAGCTGGGCACTTTAATTTCACAAGTCAGAGTCACTTCACCTTCAATTGTGTTGACATTCCCTTTGCTCTCTAAAAAGAACACAACCTGGAAGTGCAGAATTGTGGACAGCCTTGGCAAGAGACAAGAGTGGCATTTGGGATATTCTCTCATGCATATGCTAACTCCCAGAAGTAGTGGTTCGGGGTAGTGAGGACATCTCCCACCATTTTTCAGGGGATGCAGCAGCTGGCAAACCAGCTGGCTTCACCATCTTGAGATGCTCTTTGGAGCCACAGATGGGACTGGGTTACAGTGAGTACAAGCATTATGAGCACAGAATCCATGGTGTGAGGGACAGGAGTAAATTGTCTGGCTGGAGTTGAGGAAACCCTATCCAAGCATTTCCCTTCCTACCTTGTAACTTCTGCTTAAGGGAACCCTTGCATGGGAGCCCATGCAAGAAAACTATCACTTCTGCCTTTGGGATTTTTAAGGAGGTAAGTTTTATGCTTCAGGCTATCTGTAGCAGTCTAATGTCATCTCAACCCTAAATGTGCACACACACTCACTGCCACACACTTGAGGGCCCATTATTCAAATCTGCATTATGAATCTTCGAGCATTTTGTACACTTCCTTTTCATAAAATGGAGGCTACTATTTTTCTTTTAGGGGAAGAGTGGGCAAGAGAAACATATCCCTAGCTTCCAAACTGCCTTGCTCAAATTC